>NC_000023.11:21531427-21834457 GCF_000001405.40 Homo sapiens
TTATACCTACTGTCTTAAACACTAAAAGCAATTTATGTGCAAAGGTAAACTGGCAGAAGAAAGCTATATACTTAAGTTAACATTACTAACATTATACCTACTCTCTTGAACACTAAAAGCAATTTATGTATGACATGGTACAGTGAAAAATGGACTTGGGCAACAGTTAAAAGTTTCATGGCCTATTTCAAATTCTGTCAGTTATTAGCTGTGTAACATTGAGGCAAGTTGTTTAGCCTTTCTGAGACTCACCATTTTGTTTTCAGCAAAATAAGAATAATTACAAATTGCCCTGTAAATCTCAAAGAAAGTTTGAAAAGGTCAGGAGATATATTGTATGGGAGTAAATTATTAGTATTTTAGACCCTCGGCCATTTACTACCCTAACATGTTTCTACATCTTCTCCTTTACTCTAACCTTTCTTTAGGGATGAAAAAGGAAACCTTCCTTGTGAAGACCTCAGAGGACATATGGTGGGCAAGCCAGTGCATAAGGGATCTGAATCACCAAATTCATTTCTGGATCAGGAATATCGAAAGAGATTTAATATTGTCGAAGAAGATACTGTCTTATATTGCTATGAATATGAAAAAGGAAGATCAAGTAGTCAAGGAAGACGAGAAAGCACCCCAACTTATGGTAAGAGTTCTTCTTTTATGTTTATATAAGACTATATTTCTGGCATAGGAATCTCAATTTCCTTTAATAAGTTTTTGGGTTGTGAGAGTTACTTAGGCGCTTTTGAATCTTTATAATTGATCTGTCTCTCTCATGTGCTTCTAAGTGGAATTTCTACAATATGAGACATTATATTAAAAATTATTCTAGATTTTCAAAAGATAAGAAAGAACAGTAGGTAACATTGTAGCTCATAATGATTTATAAAAATCTTTTTAGCATCACATGTATTTCTTGTGTGTTAGATGTTGCCAGTTTGGAAAAATTCAAGTGTTTTTTTATTCTTTTTTGTTTTTTTAAATGAATACTTACTGTTAACATGACTTATTTAAAATAAAATTATCTCCATATTCCTCAGGGATTTTAAGAAATATAATTTTCTCGAGAAATTCTCACCTCAGTTTTTGTATTTTTTAAAGAAGCTGTGAAATTTATTTGACATTAGAGTGGAAGTGGATTTTAAATAGAATGGATTGAACATACTGTATTTAAGGCAAAAATGGGCTTAGAGTTATGATGGGCACAGGATTGTTTTAATCTTTGATTCATGACCGAAAAAGTAACCCAGTCACAAATACTTAAAATTGTTATAGTATATCTGAAAGATTTGCAGATAAAGTTGCTTAAAGTAGTCAAGCTTGTGGTTCTTCTGCAAGAATAAATGGATTTAATTGAAAGTCTCTGCTCCTCCCTTTCCACTTTTCAAATTAATAATTTTTAGCGAGGAGCTTATACTTTGAGGAAGGACAGCATCCCTGCTAATTAGTTCAAACTTGATCAATGGGAGCTGAGCAGAAGCAAAGTTGTTTTTAGCTCCTCCATTCTATTCCTACACCTCACTTGTCTGTCATGGCCATATGCCTCCCTCCTTTGGTCTCAAAAGAGCAGTCATCACATATCTTCATATACATGTCTTATTTCCTTTCAGCTCTTTGGTAATAAGTATGAAAGAAAAATTTTCCCCAAAATGATGCTAAAGAATAGGAACCATACTTATCTTACCTTGTGTTATTCTCTGTACATGTGCTTTTTAATCATAAGAATAAATAATATATTTTAACATAAACTCCTCAACTACACTACTCTAGTGGCAATTAAACTGTTAAGTATTGAAGATATTTGAACCTTTACTTTTCTCCTCTACTATATTGTAAACCTACAATATAGAGTATAGAGGCCTGTAATCTTTGCTATCCCTACCCTTGCCCCATGAAATAATATGAAATTTTTTTTCTTATTCATTCATTCCACAAGTACTAATTGACTGCCTATTACCAAATAGGCAGTAATGTATGTCAACTCTTCTTTCTTTGTGTCCCAGTATTATCTGGCTATTTTCTACTTGTGTTGAAGTAGATAATTAATGTTTAATTTAAGAGAAATTATAGTCACCAAATGAAAGTGATTGATTACTGATGACTTTATTTTAAAAAATGTTTACTAAGTTCTTACTCGAATGGCTATAAATTGGTAGTCCCTTCGGACTACATTTTAAAGCCCCTAATGCCATCATGTGCCACAAATCTCCCCCGACTAGAATAGAATACTTTTTAAATATTAGAAAATTTAGATAGCCTATAAATACTTGACATCTTTTTGTAACCAACTTAGGAGAAAAGAAATATGTACATACTTAAAAGAGAGAAGTAAGCAGAGTTATTTGTTTCATTCAGTATGGCTTTTAACTTTCTAAAATTGACACATAATAATTGTACATATTTATGGGATACAGAGTGATATTTTGATACATATATAGAATGGGTAATGATCAAATCAGGGTAATTAGCATATTCTTCACCTTAAACATTTATCACTTCTTTGTTCTGGGAACATTCGAAATCTTCTCTTCCAGCTGTTAGAAATTATATAATAAATTATTGTTACCTATAGCCATCCTATAGCACCGTAGAATACCAGAACTTAACTTCTCTCATGTAGCTGTAATTTATATCCATTAACCAATCTCTTCAAAATCCCTCTCCCACTCACCCCTCCCATTCTCAGCCTCCAGTAACCACAGTTCTACTCTCTATGAGCTCAAAGTTTTTAGTTCCCACTCGTGAATGCAAACATGCAGTATTTATCTTTCTGGGCCTGATGTATTTTACTTAACATAATGTCTTCCAGGTTCATTCATGTTGCAGCAAATGATAAGATTTCATTCTTTTTTAGAGCTGAGTAATATTCTGATATATATATATATCACATTTTCTTTATCCATTAATCTGTTGATAAACACATAGGTTAATTTTAATATCTTAGCTATTGTGAATAATGCTGCAATACACATGGGAGTACAGATATCTCTTTGACATACTGATTTCCTTTCCTTTGGACCTATACCCAGTAATGTGAATGCTGAATCGTATGGTAGTCCTGTTTTTAGTTTTTTAAAGACTCTCCATACTAATTACTATAATGACGGTACCAATTTACATTCTCATCAATATTGTATAAGAGCTCCCTTTTCTCTGAATCATTGCCAGCATTTCTTATTTTTTGTCTTTTTGTTAATAACCATTCTAATTGGGGTGAGATGATATCTCTTTGTGGTTTTAATTTGCATTTCCCTAATGATAAACGACGTTAAGCATTTTTATATAGCAGTTGGTCATTTGTGTGTCTGCTTTCACGCAATGTCTATTCAGATCATTTGCCCATTTTTAAATAAAAATATTTCTTTTATTGCTGTTGAGTTGTTTGAGTTCCTTGCATATTCTGGATATTAGTTCCCTGTCAGATGAATTGTTTCCTTTGCTCTACATAAGACTTTTAGTTTGATATAATCCCGTTTGTCTGTTTTTTTTCTTTTGTTGCATGTAAACCTTAGCCATAAAAATATTTGCCTAGACCAATGTCCTGAAGTATTTCCCCTGTGTATTCTTCTAGTAGTTTTATAATTTGGGGTCTTATATTTAAGCGTTTAATCCATTTTGAGTTGATTGTGTACATGGTGAGAGATAGGGTTCTAGTTTCATTTTTCTGAATATGGATATCCAGTTTTCCCAGCCCTATTTATTGAAGAGGCTATCCTTTGCCCAATGTATGTTCTTGTTGCCTTTGTCAAAAATCACCCGGCTGTAAATACGGACTTATTTCTGAATACTCCATTCTGTTTGATTGGGCTGTGTGTCTGTTTTTATACCAGTGCAATGCTGATTTGGTTATTACAGCTTTGTAGTGTAATTTGAAGTCAGTCAGTGTGATGCCTTCAGCTTTGTTCTTTTTGTTCACAAATGCTTTGGCTATTTGGGGTATTTTATGGTTCCATACAAATTTTGGATTTTTTTTCTATTTCTGTAAAGCATGTCATTGGTATTTTGACAGGGATTCCATTGAATCTGTAGATTGCTTTGGGTAGTATAGTCATTTTGACAATGTTAATTCTTCTAATCCATGAAAATGTGATGTCTTTCCATTTTTTGTGTTCTCTTCAGTTTCTTTCATCAGTGTTTTGTAGTTTTCATTGTAGAGATCTTTCACTTCCTTGGTTAACTTTATTTCTAAGTATTTTTTGTAGCTATTATAAAGGGGATTGCATTCTTGATTTTTTTTCAGATAGTTTGTTATTGGCATATAGAAACACTACTGATTTTTGTATGTTGATTTTGTATACTGCAACTTTATTGAAGTTCTTAATCAGTTCTAAGAGTTTTATTGTGGAGTCTTTAGGTTTTTCTATATATAAGAACATATTGTCTGCAAACAGGAACAATTTGACTTTCTCTTTTCCAATTTGAATGCCCTTTATTTCTTTATCTTATCTAATTTCTCTGGTTAGCATTTCCAGTACTATGTTAAATAGGAGTTGTGAAAGTGCTCATCCTTGTCTTGTTCCAGTTTTTAGAGAAAAAGCTTTCCACTTTTCTCCATTCAATATAATGTTAGCTGTGGGATTGTCATATCTGGCCTTTATTGTGTTGAGGTGCATTGCTTTCTAATTTGTTGAGAGTTTTTATCATGAAGGGATGTTGAATGTTATTAAGTGGCTTTTTTGTGTATCTATTGAAATGTTTATATGGTTTTTGTCCTTTATTCTGTTGAGGTATCACATTTATTGATTTGCATATGTTGAACCATCCTTGCATCTCTGGGTTAAATCTCATTTGATAATGGTATACAATCTTTTTTATGTATTGTTAGATTTTATTTTCTAGTGTTTTGTTGAGGATTTTTGCATCCATATTCATGAGGGATATTGGTCTGTAGTTTTCTTTTTTAGTTTTCTTCTTGTTGGATTTTAGTAGTAGGCTACTGCTGGCCTCATAGAATGAGTTTGGAAGAATTTCCTCCTCTACTATTTTTTCGGATAGTTTGAGAATACTTGGTATAAGTTATTCTTTAAAAGTTTGGTAGAATTCAGCAATGAAGCCAGCAATGAAGTCATCTGGTCCTGGGCTTTTCTGTGTTGGGATCATTTTTATTACTGATTCAATCTCATTACTAGATAGTGATCTGTTCAGTTTTTTTATTTCTCCTTGATTCAATCTTGATACATTATATGAGTCCAGGAATTTATCATTTTCTCTAGGTTTTCTAATTTGTTGGCTTGTAGTTGTTCAGAATAGTCTCTTATATTCCTTTGTATTATTGTGGTATCAGTGGCAAAGTTTCCTTTTTATGTCTGACTTTATTTGGGTAATCTCTGTTCTTAGTCTGGCTAATAATTTATTTTGTTTACCCTTCAAAAAATCAACTTTTCGTTTTGTTGGTCTTCTGTAGGTTTTTTTTTTTTTTGTCTCTTTCATTTAGTTCTGCTCTGATCTTTATTATTTCTTTTCTTCCACTAATTTTGAGTTTGATTTATTTTTGCTTTTCTGATTTCTTTTTTTCCTAATTTTTTGAAGTGCAATGTTGGAGTGTTTATTTGAAATCTTTCTGCTTTTTTGATGTAGGCATTTCTTGCTATAAACTTCTTTCTTAGTATTGCTTTTGCTGTATCCCATAGGTTTTTGTATATTGTATTTCTGTTTTAATTTGCTTAAATTTTTTAATTTCCTTTTTAATTTCTTCATTGACCCATTCGTTGTTCAGAAGCATATTGTTTAACTTCCATATAATCGTACAGTTTTTAAAGTTTCTCTTACTATTGATTTCTAGTTTTATTTCATTATGATCTGAAAAGATACTTGATAGAATTTCAATTTTTAAAATTTGTTGAAACTTGTGGCCTAACGTATGGTCTATCCTGGAGAATGTTATTTGTACTGATGAGAAGAATGTATACTCTGCAGCTGTTGAATGAAATGTTCTGTAAATGTCTGTTAGGTCCATTTAGTCTATAGTGCAGTTTAAGTCTGACATTTCTGTGTTGATTATCTCTCTAGATGACCTATCTAATGCTGAGAGTTGGGTGTTAAGTCCATAGCTATTATTATATAGGGGTCTATCTCTCCCTTTAGCTCTAGTAAGGTTTGCTTTATATTTCTGGGTGCTCCTGTGTTGGGTACATATATATTTACAACTATTATATTCATTTGCTGAATTGATTCCTTTGTCATTATATAATGACCTTCTTTTTACAGTTTTTGACTTAAAGTTTATTTTATCTAAGTATACCTACTGATGCTTGATTTGGTTTTTGTTTGCATGAAATATCTTTTTCTGTCTTTTTACTGTCAGTCGGTATGTGTCTACAGGTGAAGTGAGCTTCTTGTATGCAGTATAGAGTTGGGTCTTGTTTTTTTTTTTTTTTTCTTTAATCCACTCAGCCAGTCTATATCTTTTGATTGGGGAATTTAAACCATTTACATTCAGGGTTGTTACTGATAGGTGAGGAATTACTCCTTCATTTAGGCAATTGTTTTGCTTATTCTTTGTTGCTTTCTTCTCTTTTTGTTTTATCTTTGCAGTTTGGTGGTTTTCTGTAGTGATAAGGTTTGATTCATTTATCTTTGTCATTTGTGTTTCTACTCTACCAGTGACTTTTATTCTTTTGTGTGCTTCCATGATGGAAATTACTGTCTTTTTGCTTATAGATGTAGGATTCCCTTAAGTATTTCTTTTAGGCCTGGTCTAGTGGTAATGAATTCCCTCAGTCTTTTCTTGTCTGGGAAAGACTTTATTTCTCCTTCATTGCTGAATCATGGCTTTGCTCGTTGTAGTAGTATTAGCCAACAATTTTTTTCTTTCAGCACTTTGAGTATATCATCCCATTCTTTCTTGGTCTGTAAAGTTTCTGCTGAGAAATCCACTGTTATTCTGATGGAGGTTCTTTTTATGTGATCTGACACTTTTTTCTTACTGTTTTTAAATTTTTTTCTGTGTCTTTGACTTTTGACAATTTGAATATAATGTGATTTGGAGAAGACTTTTTTGGGTTTGAATCTGTTTGCGGTTCTTTGAGCTTCCTGTATGTTTGTATGGTATATCGCTTGCAAAACTTGGGAAGTTTTTAGCTCTTATTTTGTTAAATAGTGTATTAGTCAGGGTTCTCCAGAGGGACAGAACTAATAGGATATATGTATATATGAAAGGGAGTTTATGAAGCAGAATTGACTCACACGATCACCAGGTGAACTCCCACAATAGGCTGTCTGCAAGCTGAGGAGTAAGGAAGCCAGTAGTGGCTCAGTCCAGGTCCCAAAGCCTCAAAAGTGGAGAAGCCAACAGTGCGGACTTCAGTATGTGGCCGAAGGCCTGAGAGCCACTGGCAAACCGCTGATAAAAGTTCAAGAATCCAAAGGCTGAAGAACCTGGAGTCTGATTCAAGGGCAGGAACCATCTAGCATGGGAGAAAGATGAAAGCCGAAAGACTCAGCAAGCCAGCTTATTCCACCTCCTTCTGCCTGCTGTTTCTAGCCATGCTGACAGCCAGTTGGATGGTGCCACCCACATTGAGGGTGGGTCTTCTTCTCCCAGTTCACTGACTCAAATATTAATCTCCTTTGGCAACATCCTAACAGACATACCTTGAAACAACACTTTGAATCCTTCAATCCAATCAAATTGACACTTAATATTAACTATTACAAATAGGTTTTCTATGCCTTTGCCCATTTAATTTACTTCTGGAACACTTAAATTCAAATGTTTGGTCACTTTATGGTGTCCCATTTGTCATGTAGAGTTTCTTTATTCTTTTTTATTCTTTTTTCTTTCTTTTATCTCTGACTGGATTATTTCAAAAGACCTGTCTTTATATTCAGAAATTCCTTCTTAAGCTTGATCTAGTCTATTGTTGAAGTTCTCAGTTGTATGTTTTTATTTCATTCATTGAATTCTTCAGTTTTAAGATTTTTGTTTGGTTCTTTTATATGATATCTATTTTTGTTGAATTTCTCATTCAGATCATGAATTGTGTTCCTTATTTTGTTGAATTGTCTGTATTTTCTTATATCTCTCTGAGTTTCCTTAAGATCATTATTTTGAATTGCTTTTCAGGCATTTCATACAGTTTTTTTTTCCTTTGGTGTATATTGCTAGAGTTGTGTTCCTTTGGAAGTGTCATATTTCCTTACTTTTTCATGTTTCTCATGACCTTACATTGATATCTGTGCATCTGGTGAAGCAGTCACTTCTTTGAATTTTGTGGGTTTGCTTTCACAGGGAAAGACATTTTTCTGCATTTGCATTCTATAGTGTCAATTGGGTAGGGTGCTTTGTTTGGGTTGTGTGTGTGTGCACAGTAGTGTAATCTCCATATGATATCTTTGTCTATAGTCACTCTTGTATTCTCCAAAGTTTTTTTTTTAACTTTTGAAACTGAAACAAATATAACCTTAATGTAGATACTTGTAGATACTTCACTGGAGATTCCTCAGTACAAGAACTGAAGATTGTTTCAAGTAAATAACAGTTTAATGTATTTACCTTTTTAAAATTAAATGTTAAATAATAAAACCTATATGTCAGGCACAGGACTGTGTGGCCCTAATTTTCCCAACAATTTATTTGTTAAGTCATTCAACTAATACTTGTATACATAAAGTCAGCCAGCCACTGGGACACAAAAATGAATAAAACCATAAATCCTAATTACCCAAAGGGAAGAAACAAATAAATAGATGCATCACAGTCACTTCAGGTAAGTTGGAAGGTGTGCACCAAGTGCTGTAGTAGCCTAGGAAATAAAGTCTCATAGTTTGCCTTGGAAGTCAAATGAGTACACATGACATTTATGCTGGGTTTTAAATGATGAATAGCGATTTCATCCAGGGTTTTTAAATGCTAGTCATCCCACCAAATACCTGGTACCTTCTCAAGCCTATGTCTGAGATCTGAAGATTTGTCTAAATATCTCAGCCCAGACCCTAACGACCCCAACAGAAATAACTTCAAACCTTCATAAGCAATAATCAATGACAACTTTTTTATTTAACCTATAAAATAGTCCCATTACCTGGACTCCCAAGTGCGACAATATTATCTTGTATTTGAAAATAATGATAACGAAAGTATGTAATCCTGCTTAAATATATTGTTTAAAAAAAAACTAAAGTACAAAAAACTACATACTTGACATTTTCTGGAAATAATGGTAATTTAATCTCTTAGCACTTGTGTGATACCTTAAAATGCACTATGTAAGTCTTTTATCCTTAGAGTGTTCAATTTCTGTTCTTGGTCACAAAAACCCTTACCTTGAAGTATGTGAATTTAGCTACCACTTCTTTCCTATTAACTTCCCAGATCATCTGTTTACTCAAAGAGACTTTAGAGTTAAGATTATAAGAATATGGGTAGGATTTTGAGAAGCAAAAGCGATATGACACAGTTCTTCATATGTGCTTTCAGTTGAATGTGTATGTAGTTGCTATATTTTCCTTGTACATTCATATTCTAAATTTAGACATCTAATAGAAAAATAGGGACACTCTGTTATTAAACACAGTGACAAAGAAACACAGATGTAAAGAAAAATATTTGAAAATATCTGGTTGTTTTTTTTTTTTGAGATGGAGTCTTGCTCTGTTGCCCAGGCTGGAGTGCAGTGGCACGATCTCGGCTCACTGCAACCTCCACTTCCCGGGTTCAAGCGATTCTCCTGCCTCAGCCTTCCAAGTAGGTGGGACTACAGATGCACGCCACCACGCCCAGCTAATTTTTGTATTTTTAGTAGAGACGTGGTTTCACCGTGTTGGCCAGGATGGTCTCGATCTCTTGACCTCGTGATCTGCCCACCTCAGCCTCCCAAGGTGCTGGGATTACAGGCATGAGCCACCACGCCCGGCCTGAAAATATCTTAATAGTAGCTTTTAAAGTATGTTATTTAACGAAGATTCTTATGTTATACCATGGACCCTCTAGTTGTTAAGAATGAGTTAAAAGAAGTACAGGTATTTACCCTAAGCAATTAAACAAATACAGTATGGACTGACAGTAGATGGCATTTCTAGAAAATAAGTAAATACAATAAGCCCTCATTTAACATCATCTACAGGTTCTTGGAAACTGGGACTTTAAGCAAAATGATGCACAGCTGATCCCAATGCCATTTCCTTCAATATCATTTTGTTATAACAATGAGGAAGAAGATGGTTTTGTAATCTGTGGTTTCACTTTAAGTCCCAGTTTCCAAGAACCTAGAGACAACATTAAGTGAGGACTTACTGTAATACCTGTTGAGCGTTCAGGTATGCCAAACACAGTTCTAAGCATTTAAAAGCATTAATCTATTTAATCCTCACAACAACTCTATGAGGTATGTACTAATAAAATATTTGTTTTACAGATGAGAAATCTAAAAAACAGAAAGGTTAAATAACTTACCCAACTAGTAAGTGATAGAGCTAGGATTAAGTACTCATGGATATTTTTTTGACCCTTACCAGTGGTAATGCTAGCTAAATGTGATGAAAATAATTTTTTAATTGTAGGTAAATAATTTCCAAAAATTACATTCCTCGTTCTAAATTCAAGAATTTGATTCCAGCAAGCAGAACCAAGTCTGATTTTATATGTTCTTGTGTATGTTGTTTTGGATTTACTAACACTATAACGAGCATGCATTTACATAGATATGAACCTGACAGGCCTTAGGAAAAGACTGCTAAATTTAGATGTAAAATGAGCAACAATGTGTTATGTCCTTTTTAAATCAGAGAGTATAAAATAGGTTTACTTTCCTAAAAAGATAGACAGGAATAACTTATGGAAACATGGATACCAGTAGCAGAAGCAATCTAGATTAGTAGTTACTAGCATTGGCTGTAGCATCAGCCATAGTTGGTAATTTTGTCTGCCATCTAATTATTCCAGTGTGACCTTGGGGATGTTACTCTGGGCCTCAGTTTTCTTATTAAATGAATATGATAATATCTGCCTTGTAGAGTTTTGTGAGATTTAATGGTAAGACATTGTAAATTGCCTCAGTGCCCAGTATGTTGGGTCTTTGTTTTCATTATTATCATTATTACATAGAAGCTTTAACATGGAAATAGAAACAGGGAAAAGGTGGCATTAAATCATTTTAACTATATAGGGTCTCATTGCTCAGGCTTCAAAGGCAAAGGCTTAAATTTGATGAGATCAGTTGCTTGGCAACTTTTCAAAATGGTAATATTTCCCATCAGCTTTTCCATCTTGCTGTACATGGACTCCTTGCCCTTGCTATTTCATCATAACACATTTCTATGCATAGAAACATGCTAAAAGGTAGACACAGTTGGCTGAGTCCCTTTGTGGCCATGAATGGTCATATTTTATAAGAATAGGAGGAAAACATATCTTTTAACAATAATATCACCAAATAGTATTGGTTTGAAGGTAGGAATCCAGACCTTTTCTGATTTATTGAAAATCCAGGACCTCACAAAAAGCACAGGAATGAATGTAAAGCTGATATTTTAGAAATTATCCTCATAAATGTTACTTGTACACATTGTGCATTGAGGAAAATTAATCTCTGTAACATTATACCTGAACATTTTCTACCTGAGTAGTTGGGACAAGAGAAAATCAAATACTATGTCCTTTTTATCCACATAAATAGCAAACGGCTTGAGTGACATATAGCAGTATGATGAAGGGCCTATGGGCAATGACATCATAAACTGAGTTTTATCAATGTGAAGTTAGGATAGCGTCTGTAGGTTCCAGGGTCTCTCTGTCCTGTGATTTTAAAATGTAAATAATCTTCCTTATCAGGTAAAAGTTCAGCTGTCATTAATCAGCTATTCTGGAGACAAAAGAAAATAGGATTCTACCCATGGGAAATTTTTGTGTTCAAGTAAAATGTACGATTTCCAAAGAAGAACTAACCACAGAAATAGAAATTAGTGATTCAAAGATGAAGAAATGTGGGATGTGCACTATATTCATGGGAATTCTTATTCCTTTAGACTTATTTAATAAAGTTCATAAAGACTACATGTTGGTTAGCCTCACAAAATAATTTTTAGCATCAAGCTGATGGTGGTAAGGAACCATGTAATTGATGGAAAAGCAGTTCAACAATATTTTGACATAGAAAGTAGTCTGTTTCTATTGTAAAACTTGGAGAAATCGTCTAAGGAAGGCATTCTTCCTGAATTTGTGCAATTTTACTGATGGAAATGGAAGAGCATGAATTATGAGGTCAAATAGACTTGAATTTGCTATCACAGCTTGGCTTTTAATAGCTAATTGACCTTGAGCTTCAGACTTAACCTCCCTGTATTTTTGTTTCCCTGTCTGTAAAATGGAATAGTAATATTACTCATGGTGTTTTTTTATGAGGATTAAATTAGATAACATACGTCAAATACTTAGAAGAGTTCTTTTTTTTCTTTTCTTTTCTTTTTTTCTTTTTTTTGAGACAGGGTCTTGCCCTGTTACCCAGTCTGTAGTGCAATGGCATGATCTCGGCTCACTGCAACCTCCACCTCTCGGGTTCAAGCAATTCTCTGCCTCAGCCTCCTGAGTAGCTGGGATTACAGGCGTGCATCACCACGCCTGGCTAATTAGCAGAGTTCTTGCCTCATAGAAAGTACTCAAGAAATGATGCCTTAGATGGTATAATAAATGCTTGCTGCTCATAAATAAAAATGTCCCAAAGATTTTTCAAGTCTCCTGTGGAAGGACTTAGTTAGTAAAGGACAAAGTATCTAGAAGTCTTTCCACATGTTTGGTCACTCTACCAAGCCAATAGCTGGCCATTTAAATTATAGCAGTTAAATATGAGTAGAGCTTTTTGGTTTCTTTTGGTTTGATTTTGCAAACCAAAGCAGAAGGAAGATCTTTCAAATAGTTAATAACACTGCAAACTGCCCTCATCCAAATCCTCTTAAGCTCCAGTATAAAAATCATCAGCTCACATGCTGGATTAGAAGGGCCCAGTTATAATCTCTCAGCGTCAGGAATCTGAAAACAGTTCAGCCCCCACATCTTTTTAAAGTTTTTGATTAGTTGCTTAAAAAATGGAAGAATAGTATATTATATAAAATAAATAAAATGGTTGGAGAGCCTTAAAGAAATTAAACCTAGGAAGAAAAGATTATTCTGAAAGAATTCAAGGTACTAGGTAATGGATAAAACAGTAAGATTAAGAAAAAGAACTTTCGGTGGCTGGCAAGATGGCCAAATAGGAACAGCTCCAGTCTGCAGCTCCCAGAGGGATCAATGCAGAAGGTGGGTAATTTCTGCATTTCCAACTGAGGTACCTGGCTCATCTCACTGGGACTGGTTAGACAGTGGGTACAGCCCGTGGAGGGTGAGCAGAAGCAGGGTGGGGCGTCGCCTCACCCTGGAAGCACAAGGGGTCGGGGACCTCCCTCCCCTAGCCAAGGGAAGCCATGAGGGACTATGCCATGAGGAACGGTGCATTCCGGCCCAGATACTACGCTTTTCCCATGGTCTTCGCAACCCACAGACTATGAGATTCCCTCAGGTGCCTACACCACCAGGGCCCTGGGTTTCAAGCACAAAACTGGGCGACTGTTTGGGCAGACACCAAGCTAGCTGCAGGAGTTTTTTCCTACCCCATTGACACCTGGAATGCCAGCGAGACAGAACCATTCACTCCCTGGAAAGGGGGCTGAAGCCAGGGAGCCAAGGGATCTAGCTCAGTGGATCCCACCCCGACAGAGCCCAGCAAGTTAAGATCCACTGGCTTGAAATTCTCACTGCCAGCACGGCAGTCTGAAGTGGACCTGGGATGCTCAACCTTGCTGGGGGAAGGGGCGTCCACCATTACTGAGGCTTTAGTGGGCAGTTTTCCCCTCACAGTGTAAACAAAGCCTCTGGGAAATTCGAACTGGGCGGAGCCCACCACAACCTCGGCAAAGCCACGGTAGCCAGACTGCCTAGATTCTCCTCTAGATTCTTCTAGTTTCTTCCTCTAGATTCTTCCTCTCTGGGCAGGGCATCTCTGAAAGAAAGGCAGCAGCCCCAGTCAGGGGCTCATAGATAGAACTCCCATCTCCCTGGGA
Source organism: Homo sapiens (assembly GCF_000001405.40). Classification (NCBI taxonomy): domain Eukaryota; kingdom Metazoa; phylum Chordata; class Mammalia; order Primates; family Hominidae; genus Homo; species Homo sapiens. The sequence continues at coordinate 21,545,456 of NC_000023.11, forward strand.
CAGAGCACGTGGGGGAAGGGGTGGCTGTGGGTGCAGCTTCGGCAGACTTAAACATTCCTGTCTGCCAGCTCTGAAGAGAGCAGCAGATCTCCCAGCACAGCGCTCGAGCTCAGCTAAGGGACAGACTGCCTCCTTAAGTGGGTCCCTGACCCCCATGCCTCCTTATTGGGAGACACCTCCCAGCAGGGGTTGACAGACACCTCATACAGGAGAGCTCCAGCTGGCATCTGGCAGGTGCCCCTCTGGGATGAAGCTTCCAGAGGAAGGAACAGGCAGCAATCTTTGCTGTTCTGCAGCCTCTGCTGGTGATGATACCCAGGCAAACAGGGTCTGGAGTGGACCTCCAGCAAACTCCAGCAGACCTGCACCAGAGGGACCTGACTGTTAGAAGGAAAACTAACAAACAGAAAGGAATAGCATCAACATCAACAAAAAGGACATCCACACAAAAACCTCATCCAAAGGTCACCAACATCAAAGATCAAAATAGATAAATCCACGAAGATGAAGAAAAACCAGCACAAAAGGCTGAAAATTCCAAAAACCAGAATGCCTCTTTTCTTCCAGAGGATCACAACTCCTCACCAGCAAGGGAACAAAACTGGACGGAAAATGAGTTTGACAAGTTGACAGAAGTAAGCTTCAGAAGATGGGTAATAACAAACTCCTGAGCTAAAAGAGCATGTTCTAACCCAATGCAAGGAAGCTGAGAACCTTGAAAAAAGGTTAGAGGAATTGCTAACTAGAATAACCAATTTAGAAAAGAACATAAATGACCTGATGGAGCTGAAAAACACAACATGAGAACTTCGTGAAGCATACACAAGTATCAGTAGCAGAATCTATCAAGCAGAAGAAAGGATATCAGAGATTGAAGATCAACTTAATGAAATAAAGCGTGAAGACAAGATTAGAGACAAAAGAATGAAAAAGAATGAACAAAGGCTCCAAGAAATATGAGACTATGTGAAAAGACCAAACCCACATTTGGTCTTGTTTGGTGTACCTGAAAGTGACTGGGAGAATGGAACCAAGTTGGAAAACACTCTTCAGGATATTATCCAGGAGAACTTACCCAACCTAGCAAGACAGGCCAAATTCAAATTCAGGAAATACGGAGAAAACCACAAAGATACTCCTCAAGAAAAGCAACGCCAGGACACATAATCATCAGATTTACCAAGTTTGAAATGAAGGAAAAAAAGGTTAAGGGCAGCCAGAGAGAAAGGTCGGGTTACCCACAAAGGAAAGCCAATCAGACTAACAGCAGATCTATCTGCAGAAACCCTACAAGCCAGAAGAGAGTGGGGGGCAACATTCAACATTCTTAAAGAAAAGAATTTTCAACCCAGAATTTCATATTCAGCCAAACTAAGATTCATAAGCTAAGGAGAAATAAAATCCTTTACAGACAAGTAAATGCTGAGAGATTTTGTCACTACCAGGCCTGCCTTACAAGAGCTCCTGAAGGAAACACTAAATATGGAAAAGAAAAACTGGCACCAGCCACTGCAATAATATACAAATTGTAAAGACCATCAACACTATGAAGAAACTGCATCAACTAATGGGCAAAATAACCAGCTAGCATCATAATGACAGAATCAAATTCTCACATAACAATATTAACCTTAAATGTAAACAGACTAAATGCCCCAATTAAAAGACACAGACTGGCAAATTGGATAAAGAGTCAAGACCCGTCAGTGTAGTATACTCAGGAGACCCATCTGACATGCAAAGACACACATGGGTTCAAAATAAAGGGATGGAGGAATATTTACCAAGCAAATGGAAAGCAAGAAAAAAAAAGCAGGAGTTGCAATCCTAGTCTCTGATAAAACAGACTTTAAAGCAACAAAGATCAAAAAAGACAAGGGCATTGCACAATGGTAAAGGGATCAATGCAACAAGAAGAGCTAACTATCCTAAATATATATGCACCCAATACAGGAGCACCCAGATTCATAAAGCAAGTCCTGAGTGACCTACAAAGAGACTTAGACTCCCACACAATAATAATGGGAGACTTTAACACCCCACTGTCAATATTAGACAGATCAATGAGACAGAAAATTAACAAGGATATTTAGGACTTGAACTCAGCTCTGGACCAAGCAGACCTAATAGACATCTACAGAACTCTCCACCCCAAATCAACAGAATATACTTTCTTCTCAGCACCACATCACACTTATTCTAAAACTGACCACATAATTGGAAGTAAAACACTCCTCAGCAAATGCAAGAGAACAGAAATTATAACAAACAGTCTCTCAGACCACAGTGCGATCAAATTAGAACTCAGGATTAAGAAACTCACTAAAACTGCACAACAACATGGAAACTGAACAACCTGCTCCTGAATGACTACTGGGTAAATAATGAAATTAAGGCAGAAATAAATAAGTTCTTTGAAACCAATGAGAACAAACACACAACGTACCAGAATCTCTGGGACACATTTAAAGCAGTGTGTAGAGGGAAATTTATAGCACTAAATGCCCACAGGAGAAAATGGGAAAGATCTAAAATCGACACCCTAACATGACAATTAAAAGAACTAGTGAAGCAAGAGCAAACACATTCAAAAGCTAGCAGAAGTCAAGAAATAACTAAGATCAGAGCAGAACTGAAGGAGAGACATGAAAAACCCTTCAAAGAATCAGTGAATCCAAGAGGTGGTTTTTTGAAAAGATTAACAAAATAAACCACTAGCCAGACTAATAAGGAAAAAATAAAGAAGAATCAAATAGACACAATAAAAAATGATGAAGGAGAGATCACCACTGATCCCACAGAAATACACACTACCATCAGAGAATACTATCAACACATTTACACAATTAAACTAGAAAATCTAGAAGAAATGGGTAAATTCCTGGAGACATGACACCCTCCCAAGACTAAACAAGGAAGAAGCTGACTCCCTAAATAGACCAATAACAAGTTCTGAAATTGAGGCAGTAATTAATAGCCTATCAACCAAAAAAAGCCCAGGACCAGATGGATTCATAGCCGAATTCTACCTGAGGTACAAAGAGGAGCTGGTACCATTCCTTCTGAAAGTATCCCATACAATAGAAAAAGAGGGACTCCTCCCTAACTCATTTCATGAGGCCAGCATCATCCTGATACCAAAACCTGGCAGAGACACAACAAAAAAAGAAAATTTCAGGCCAGTATCCCTGGTGAACATCTATGTGAAAATCCTCAATAAAATACTGGCAAACCAAATCCAGCAGCACATCTAAAAGCTTATCCACCACGATCAAGTCGGCTTCATCCCTGGGATGCAAGGCTTGTTCAACATACCCAAATCAATAAACGTAATCCATCACAGAAACAGAACCAATGACAAAAACCTCATGATTTTCTCAATAGATGCAGAAAAGGCCTCCAGTAAAATTCAGCACCCCTTCATGCTAAAAACTCTGAATAAAATAGGTATTGATGGAACGTATCTCAAAATAATAAGAGCTATTTATGACAAACCCACAGCCAATATCATACTGAATGGGCAAAAGCTGGAAGCATTCCCTTTGAAAACTGACATAAGACAAGGATGCCCTCTCTCACCACTCCTATTCAGCATAGTATTGGAAGTTCTGGCCAGGGCCATCAGGCAAGAGAAAGAAATAATGGGTATTCAAATAGGAAGAGAAGAAGTCAATTTGTCCCTGTTTGCAGATGACATGATTGTATATTTAGAAAACCCCATCGTCTCAGTCCAAAATTGCCTTAAGCTGAGAAGCAACTTCAGCAAAGTCTCAGGATACAAAATCAATGTGCAAAAATCGCAAGCGTTCCTATACACCCATAATAGAGAGCCAAACCATGAGTGGGCTCCCGTTCACAATTGCTACTAAGAGAATAAAATACCTAGGAATACAACTTACAAGGGATGTGAAGGACCTCTTCAAGGAGAACTACAAACCACTGCTCAAGGAAATCAAAGAGGACACAAACAAATGGAAAGACATTCCATGCTCATGGATAAGAAGAATCAATATCATGAAAATGGCCATACTGCCCAAAGTAATTTATAGATTAAATGCTATCCCCATCAAGCTACCATTGACTTTCTTCACAGAATTAGAAAAAAACTACTTTAGATGTCATACGGAACCAAAAAAGAGCCCATATACCCAGGACAATCCTAAGCAAAAAGAACAAAGCTGGAGGCATCACACTACCTGACTTCAAACTATACTACAAGGTTACAGTAACCAAAACAGCATTTACTGGTATCAAAACAGATATATAGACCAGTGGAACAGAATAGAGGGAGGCCTCAGAAATAAGGCCACACATCTACAACCATGTGATCTTTGACAAGCCTGACAAAAACAAGCAATGGGGAAAGGATTTCCTATTTAATAAATGGTGCTGTGAAAACTGGCTAGCCATATGCAGAAAACTGAAACTGGACCCCTTCCTTACACCTTATAGAAAAATTAACTCAAGATGGATTAAACACTTAAACGTAAGACCTAAAACCATAAAAACCCTAGAAGAAAACCTAGGCAGTACCATTCAGGACATAGGCATGGGTAAAGGCTTCATGACTAAAACACCAAAAGCAATGGCAACAAAAGCCAAAATAGACAAATGGGATCTAATTGAACTAAAGAGCTTCTGACAGGAAAAGAAACTATCATCAGAGTGAACAGTCAACCTACAGAATGGGAGAAAATTTTTGCAATCTATCCATCTGACAAAGGGCTAATATCCAGAATCTACAAGAAACTTAATTAAACAAATGTACAAGAAAACAGCCCCATCAAAAAGTGGGCAAAGGATATGAACAGACACTTCTCAAAAGAAGACATTTATGTGGCCGACAAACATATGAAAAAAAAGCTCATCATCACTGGTCATTAGAGAAATACAAATCAAAACCACAGTGAGATACCATCTCATGCCAGTTAGAATGGCGATCATTAAAAAGTCAGGAAACAACAGATGCTGGAGAGGATGTGGAGAAATAGGAACACTTTGACACTGTTGGTGGGCCTGTAAATTAGTTCAACCATTGTGGAAGACAGTGTGGCAATTCCTCAAGGATCTAGAACCAGAAATAGCATTTGACCCAGCAATCCCATTACTGGGTATATACCCAAAGGATAATAAATCATTCTTTTATAAAGACACATGCACACGTATGTTTATTGCAGCACTATGCCCAATAGCAAAGACTTGGAACCAACCCAAATGCCCATCAATGATAGACTGGATAAAGAAAATGTGGCACATACACATCATGGAATACTATGCAACCATAAAAAAGGATGAGTTTGCCGGGCACAGGGGCTCACGCCTGTAATCACAGTACTTTGGGAGGCAGAGGCGGGTGGATTGCTTGAGCTCAGGAGTTGGAGACCAGCCTGGGCAACATGGTGAACCCTGTCTCTACTAAAAATACAGAAAATTAGCCAGGTGTGGCAGGATGTGCCTGTAATCCCAGTTGCTTGGGAGACTGAGACGGGAGAATCACTTCAACCTGGGAAGCGGAGATTGCAGTGAGCCGAGACCGTTGCACTCCAGCCTGGGCAACAGAGCAAGACTCCATCTCAAAAAAAAAAAAAAATGAGTTTATGTCCTTTGCAGGGACATGGATAAAGCTGGAAACCATCATTCTCAGCAAACTAACACAGGAACAGAAAACCAAACACCGCAGGTTCTCATTCATAAGTGGGAGTTGAACAATGAAAACACATGGACACAGGGAGGGGAACATCACACACCGGGGCCTTTCGGGGGTTGGGGGACTAGGGGAAGGATAGCATTAGGAGAAATACCTAATGTAGATGATGGGTTGATGGGTGCAGCAAACCACCATGGCACGTGCATACCTATGTAACAAACCTGTGCATTCTGCACATGTATCCCAAAACTTAAAGTATAATTTAAGAGAAAGAAAGAAAAATCACTTTTAATAAAGTTCGGTGGTATTCATATGTAGATAAAATAGAAGTATTAGCAAACCAAATCAACATAGCTGATGCAACTATGAGGGGGGAAAAAAACCTCTTCAGATGAATTAATCGAAAAGATATGAACTAGATGAAATAGTGTTCCCTTATAAACAGAATGGGAAAGCCAAGAAGAGAAACAGTCTCACTCAGTGATTCTCTGGGTTCAGTATTGTCCCCCAGGGGACATTTGGTAATTTCCGGGGACAATTTTGTTGTCACATTTGTGGTGGAAAGTTGCTACTGGCATCTAATGGGTAGAGACCAAAGATGCTACTAAACATCCTGCAGTGCTCAGGACAGCACCCAACAAGAATGATCTGGCCTGAAATGTCTGAGAAACCCTGGCTAACTTAAGAATCAATTTACAAATAAATTGAATACAGAAGCAGATACTAGAAAATCAAAGTCAGAGACCTTGTATGGCACAGAGGTGATTGCCTTATATTTTTTTAATTGAAAGAACCTGGGAAGTTACTGCCCTGGAAAGATATACCAACATTTATTCACAGTTAGTATATTCTCTGGACAGAAGTATTCATTTAAGGTTGTTAGCGTCAGGGATTACCTAGCCTGTTCTACAATAGATAATCTAATCATGACATCCCCTGGAGCAGGAGACAATACGTTTATCCCTAGTCGAAATCCGAATACATTTTCCCCCATGAGAAAAAAAAAAAAAACTATAATAAATGGTAGCTAGGTAAAGTTTAAATAGGGCTATTCATGTTAGCTTTCAGATCACAATATGACTTAAGTAATCCAGCGATTTCCTAAGTACGTTCTTCAGATCACTAGTTCTGAAAGATAGCCTATGGAAGAAAGAGGTTATATGGTTAAATAAGATTGGGAAGTTTTACATATTTTAGGCCCCTCTTGGAGATTAATAAATTCACATTCACATACTACATCTTTGAAAGTTTTGTTGAATTTGGGTTAATTTACTGTTTCCCAAATGTGTTTGTATATTAAATCCCTTTTTTGGTCACATAATACTTACCAGCTTCCCAATGGAACTAATGTTTTATGGAATGTATTTTGGAAAATATTGTAAAAGACTTTTGCAGCTCTTCTTAAAGACCCAACTACCAATGATACGATTTCTTTGTGTCTTAAGTTCCAAACAGCTGACTTACAGATAAGCATATAGAACAACCTCTGTTCTCAATATTTAAGCCTGCCCAGCGGTTGGATTATTGAATGTCATCTTCATTCTTCATTCTTATCTTGTAGAAAAGCCATATGTAAACTACTTTCTAGAGTAAATCTTATTTATGATGAAAGTTCAAACTAAAGTAAGAAAAACTATCTAGAAAGATCATTACATGGTGTTCTATACTTCAAGCCACTTGTGGAATTACTACTATCACTGCAAAACAATTTGCCAGAAGTCATGGAAGAAATAGATCCTTGGGGATAGAAAATGTCAGGTGTAATATTCAGTGTTCAAAAAGAGATAAGTAAAAATTACACACTGAATAATGACTGGAGACATTAGAGCAAATAATTAAAACAGTATACAGCCATTTAAAAATGTACATATGACAACTTAGCATTGTTTTATAAGCAACACATCATGTCATACCAATTTATTTGCCATCATTGTTAAGGTATTGGACCACAAACAAAAAGTTGCATCCACAGTTTATGCTGTAATCCTCCACTAGTTCTTCACATAGCCTTAGTATTTTGCAAGAGTTGCAAACTGGCTGTGAGGACACTTAAACAAACAAAAAAAAACTAATCATACATGCCATTAAATTTTTGAAGAAAAATTAATTGGATTTTTGTCTAATGTAATGGTCTTGAATGATACATCACTGAGGCAATTTGATGTAGTGAAAAGAGGTCTGGGATAGGAACTTGAAAGTCTGTATTCATGGACTGACTCTAAGTGTTTATTACCCTGAAACTTCTTTAGTTTTTTTTCACTGAATATCTGTGAAATCAGATTATCTGTGAAATCAGGGAGAGGATGAGGGTGAAGAGTATTAACCTGTGTGCTGTACTTTTACACTCCATTGTCTTCTAATTGTCTTATTTTTGTTCTGTGAATGTGTCCATTAGGGTCCTACATTGTCAATAAAAGTGATGTTTCCATTACAAAAAAAAAAAAACTTTGGTCTGTCTGAAGTTTTTCATCTCTACCTTTCTTGCTGGCTTCACTAACAAGTAATGGTCTCAGAAAAATAGGTGAAAGGAATTGTAAAGTTATTACAAGATGTCATTTATTTTCAAATAAGAATGTTCAACTAGTTACCTTATTATCTTTTTTTACTTTTCATGAGAGTGACTGTCTTCCATATGCTGATAGGATTTGCAAGACACACTGCTTTACTAAAATTTTTAAAACTAGACTGCTTTAATTTGCAGTTCTTTAACTTGAGAACTGCATGCTTTTAACCAATAATATTTACATGCCTGTGTCATCTTTCTTGTTCACATTTATATCAATGCTGAGCACAGCAAAGAGACAAGTATTTTAGCCTAGCTCATTTTATACCAACCAGAGCCTTCAGAGTACCCAGAACTCTTTTGCCACTTAAACAGTATTTAAATCATCTAAATCCTTTCTCATTCCTCCCACACCCCTCTAATGTAGAGAAATTGTCTCTATGAACAGAGACAACATTTCAACTATTTCAGCTATTTCAACAGATTTCCAAACTCCAATGTGTATGTATAGCTTGTTCCCTCTTGTGGTGGAATACTTACAAAAGGTAATTTGGTTCAAAATATAATTAGCCTTGGAATTAGGTGTTAGAAGTGCCGCATAATTTTTTGACGCAGTTCAGTATTTTCTCCTTTAGCAATTCTTTCATGTTATTCCCCATTTAAAGTATATATCACTTTTAGAAAGCAGTAGGAAAATACACAACCACAATGGAGCTTATTCTTGGAAATGATTTTTTTAACTTTAAGTTTAGGGGTACAAGTGTGGGATTGTTACATAGGTAAACCTGTGTCATGGGGTTAGTTGTACAGATTATTTTATCCTCAGGTGTTTAGACTAGTACCCGTTAGTTGTTTTTCTTGATCCTCTCCCTCCTCCCACCTTCCACCCTCCAAAAGGCTCCAGTGTATGTTGTTCCCCTCTGTGTATCCATGTGTTCTCATCATTTAGCTCCCACTTGTAAGTGAGAACATGCAGTATTTGGTTTTCTGTTTCTGTGTTAGTTTGCTGAGCATAATGGCCTCCAGCTCCATCCAGGTCCCTGCAAACAACATGATCTTGTTCTTTTTTATGACCACATAGTATTCCATGGTTTATATGTGACACATTTTCTTTATCTAGTCTATCATTGATGGACATTTATGTTGATTCCATGTCTTTGCTATTGTGAATAGTGCTGCAATGAACATACACATGCATATGTCTTTATAATAGAATGACTTCTATTCCTGTGGGTATATACCCAGTAATAGGATTGCTGGGTCAAATAGTATTTCTGTCTTTAGGTCTTTGAGGAATTGCCACACTGTCTTCCACAATGGCTGAACCAATTTATACTCCACCAACAGTGTATAAGAGTTCCTTTTTTCTTTTTTTCCACAACCTCACCAACATCTGTCTTTCTTTTTTTTTTTTTTTACTTTTTGGTAATAGCCATTCTGACAGGTGTGAGATGATGTCTCATTGTGGTTTTGATTTGCATTTCCCTAATGATTAGCGATGTTGAGCTTTTTTCCATATGATTGTTGGCAGCATGTATGTCTTCTTTTGAAAAGTGTCTGTTCATGTCCTTTGCCCACTTTTTTTATGGGGTTATTTTGGAAATGAGATTTTAACTGGTTTTGTTCTCTGTCAATGAAACTGAAAAGATTTTAAATTAATCAATACAAAGTTTATATTTGATTTGTATTATTTATAAGTCATTAAAGGTAATCCTTAAATAATCCTCACATTGAAATGTTTACAAACCAATTTCTTCAGCCTCTTTTATCCAGAAATGAAATTTTTAAAATATGCCTATAAAGATCAGATCGTTCATTCTTATTTTACTGGATCCAGATATGTTACCATTATCCTTTAAAAATTACTGACTTTCCATTTAATTCAGTTTTACTTCCTCTTTAAATGTGTGATTCTCTACCTTAAATAACCCCAGGATGTTTTCCTAGAAATTCAGTCAGCCATCTGAAAGTAATTTTTCTGTCTGGTATGTGGGGTTTTTGATGGGTGTATGTGGCAAGCATATAGCTTAACTATACTCACTATACTCATTTTCATCAAAATATTGGCTAAAATATTCAGAACAGATGTATATATGTGTATACTTTTTCTGAGACTCTAGAGAAAGCTTTTTTGTGAACATTAAAGGGCATGTCAGACTTATGGAGAAATTTCTTTGAAAATTTTTTTAAATCTTTGACAACTGTAAGAGAAGATTGCTTCTCAGGTGCTGTTTATTACCCTGAAACTTAATGACTTTAGCGTGCTTTTAGAGAGTTTTTAAAAGCGATACAAATGAAAAAGGCAGCAATTCAGTGGTGTTTCAACAGACAACATGGGAATGTATGTAGATAAGAAATCAAGAGACAGAACTAGTTCTGACTTGATTGGCAAACAGTTCTGTAAAGCTCAGTTTGTCAGAAAAATGAAGAGTATTGGTGAGGGTAACATACTTGCCTTAGAAGGAAGGAAGAGGGAGGAAAAGAAGGAAATGGAAAATTAGAAGGAAGGAAAGGGAAAGAAACTACGAAAATAGAAACTAATGATACAGCTTGGATCCTTTTTGGTCTAGTGTCTGAGGAAAGTCCCCTATTTACTTTCTTAACAAGCAGTGAGTTAAATATTGAGCAGTTACTGTGTTTAAGGTACTGCGCTAAGTGTGGGAGATACCACAGTAGACAGTAGAAAAGTCTGTCTTCTCCCATGAAGTTTACAGTCTAGAAGGGTGACAGAATTCAAGTAACTAAATTAATAAATACTTACGTGACTATAATTGTCATGCTACAAAGAAGAACTTTGAGAGGAAATGAGACAAACACAGAGAATCCTGACCTAGAATGAGAGGCCAAGGATTGTATCCCTAAGGAAATGACATTTTTGCTTAGCTCTGAAGGATGCATGTGAATTTATGATAAGAAGAGAGGAAAATCAGAAGACAGAGTCTTAGGGTGCCGGGTAAGGAAAGTGTTTCAAGGAAGGAGTAGTACTCGGTGCTAATGCTACAGATACATCAGAAAAGTCAAGGACTCTGAGAATTGTGTATTGGATTTAGCAACATGGAGGCCCTAAAAACCTTGACAATAGCAGTTTTGGTGGAATAGTGGGGACAAGAGCTTAATCGGGGAAGATTCAAGAGGGGAGGAGAAGAATTGGGGGCTACAAATATAAAGAAGCTTTCTACAAGGTTTTCTGTAAAGAGAAACAAAAAATAAGGTGGTAGCTGGGTAGAGGTTTGTGGGGTGAGGAGAGTTACTTTTTAAAAAACGATTGGAGAAATTACAGCATGTTTATATGCTAATGGGAATGACTGAGTAGAAAGAGAAAAGTTGATGATGCAGGAGAAAGAAGGGAGGATTGCTCAAGGCATGCCCTTGAGTAGGTCGGAGGGAATAGGATCCAATGAGCAACCCAGTAATTTCAGATCTCCCTAATGTCACAATACAGTATAATAAGTATTGTATATATGCTAAAGGCACTAGGAAAAAGCTTAGGGAGCCCAGTAGAGTGAGCAGTTAACTCTGCCAAAGGGGATTGTAGCATTTGTGATATCACCTAAAATGCTTATCTGAGGTAAAAATTAGTTTATTTTCAAGCAATGTTGTACACTAGCATTAAAGCATAGCAATTTTGTATTAAAATACAGTAATTAGGATATATCATTATACAGCACTTCATCATTGTCTATATTCTTAAAATTGTATTTTGTGTTACATTTGCTTAATTGCGCTGAATATAGTCCATAATTCTTAAAAACCTACTTGCCATCAATATCATAATAAAATTCAGACAAAATCCAAAAAATAGTTATCTTTTTTTCTGTGTGCCTCTATAAAAATATTTATCTTTTACCTTTACCACATTTATTAGAATACAGGAATAAATACAGCACAAAATTTCTGCCTCTATGGAGACACCAATTAAAAAACTCTAGATGTGCAACAGATATTAAAAGCCAAATAAAATAATGGTTATACTATGAGGCACTAGCACAGTGGTATCACAAGGCTTATGATAGGGTGCCAAATGAACTCTGCAATTAATGCATGCTTTATACTTAAAGGAATAAAAAATTAAGAAGTGGTCAGCAAAAATATTTAAATGGGCCCTAATCCTCGTTTTCTAGATTATATTCTTTGCTGTTATTATTCTTATCATGAATTAGTAATCTTAACTTTACAACTTCAAAAACCAATATAAGTACTACTATGTAAAGATATGTCTTAAACTTTTCCAGATTACTTTTCAGAGATTTATGTTTTATTTATGTTCATTTACACAGGAATGGGTCAGATGTATTTAATTTTATTAAACCAATCCATTTGTATTAAAGCCTTAAAAAGTCATATGAGTATAAAAATACTTTGCATGTATTAATAATAGCATATATTTGATTTAAGTCTATAATGCTTATAGTACTCTTGCCTTTGGTGTTTTGTTTCACTTGGTTTTTTACCAACAGCACTAAAACATTGAATCATAGATTTATCTTTCCATTTGAACTTTGCTGTCCTGTGAAATTAAAATGCTGCTGTATACATGCAGTAGCAAACATATTTTCAAGCTGTAATCAATGATCTGTATATTTGGAATTAGAAATAATTTAAGCCATGGTCTATTTTTCAGTCTGCCATGGACTGCTATTTATACAAGAATGTTACCTTATGTTATTGGTTTAACTGCTTTATTAAGTCGACTTCAGTATTTCAGCACAATTAAAAATCAATACTTATAAGCAACATTATTTGTTCTACCTAAATCAATAATATACTTTATTTTTTAAAATACTTATTTTTATTTGCATTGCTGAATCTATGGTTTTATAACTAATAAAAGCAAAACCTTGATGTTCTCCAAAAGTAAATTTCAGTAAAGCTTTTTCTTTCGGTTTTTTTCTAATTTAGTATATTTTCCTTCAATTGTGTATTAGTAATATACAGTATAATTCTGTTAAAAAAAAAAAGTCACCCCCGGAAAAGTCAGTGTTAAAAATCTTCTGCATAATTGTTTCTATGGCTAATTATACAACCAGACATATCAAGGGCTTAATTACATGCTTCAATGACTTAGCTCCATTAAAATTTCAGAGATGACGCAAAATATAATGAATACAATTATGTATTTCATATTCTGTGTGTGAAGTATGTTTCTTCTTGTTTTTGTGCACATATGTTTGTCTCCAAACAACCAATTTTCAAAAAATATCTAACTAGCTTTTTAATATATATAACATATAGAGCAAGTGAAACAACTGCTTATTTATTGGATTTTCACTTTTCAAAAGATTTTTTGATGACATGTAAAAACAGTGCTAGAGCTGTTAATTGCTTCAGTTTCAGTGCCCATGCTGAAGTAGAGTTTATTTCTAAAACCAGATCCTAAAGAAATAAATTGTAGATATTTTGAAAATACAGCCTTCATAACATTGAAAATCTGGAGGACTGACTGTGCAAAGTGGTGGGAATAGACATAACAAAAGGAGACCTTCCCTCAAACCTTTACCCTACTTTCGATGGGCAGAATATTGACCTGGATCTATAGATGGCTGTTGTGAGACCTCGGTTCTTCTTAGCTTAAAAGAATTTAAACAAGAGACACACAGCAAAGGAGATATAGTATAGAGCAATTTATTGCAAAGGACAAAGAATATTATGAAAGTTAGGTTCAGAACAGACAGTACACCCTGAGAGAGGATTCAGGGTGAGCTGCTCCTAAGGATGAGACCACCAAGACTGGCACTAGGGAGACTCCCTTTATGAGAGTCTTACATAATTATTCATAAAGGAGTGGGAAGAGGTGTTGCTATTAAGCATATTCTTGGTTGTCCTCTGGGTGCACATGCATAGTAGCTGTACATACTTGTTCATACATTGCATGTCTCATTAGCATCTTAAATCTCTATCCAGGGGTGTGTTGCTTACTGTTATAATGAACAAAGGGTCGGTCTGAGGACAGGTGTAATCAAAATGCATGTGCTCCCTGCAGGGGAAATTCCTTACTGTAGATAGCTGTGTTTGAATGAGCTGGACTACAGTGTGAGTGCTGGGGCTTATTGTGTTAACTGTATTGTCGCCATGTGAGGACATGTTTACTTCCTTGACTACCTATCCTGCCTCAGATCATCTCACTCAAATTCCCTCTGTGTAAAAGAGCAGAGATATACTGTTGGAGAATTTGGAATATTAGGTGATCATTTACAAAGTTGTTTGCATACCTTGAAAGGAAGCCATTAAATAAATATTACATTTTTGGCTCATTAATAATTTTATCATGTCTAGTTAATCTTCAGATTTTAAAAGAGCTTAGCAAAACAGACTAAACTGTATCAGTGTTCACAATAAAAAGCCATAAGATTGATACTTTTTCCTTAAGAACAGAATTAGAATTCTCCTGACAGAATTTTTTAAAGCACATTGAGTGATTTTAATAATCATAAAATTTAGCTGGGCAAGGAGGGAAGCTGCAGGGACAGAAGGTGACTGACAGATACTGAAAAGTGGTATGACAGGTATTAATAGATTAAAGGAGGAAGAATTGTTGGAGTACTGTAGGTAGTGTGCTAGAAATACAAAAGGTGGTAGTTCGTAAGCTGGATATTTAAAGGGATTGCAGTCTTTGCTGATGAGACTAAGCATATGACGACAGGAATGAGTGTGAGAGAGAACCTCAAGAAACTGAAAGGCCAGACTCTCAGAGGGTGAATATTGAAGTCACCAAGAATTATGACAGAAGTGTGAGTGCCTGGGTTTGAATCCTGATACTATGTACTTACCAGGTATATGTCCTTGGGCAAGTTATATAACCTTAGTTTCCTCATCAGTTAAAATGAGGATAATGATAGTATAGTTCTCTGAATTATCAGGAGTAAACAATTTAATACTTATGAAACTCTTAGTATGTGGTATATGGCAAATGACATATAAATGTTTATAATATTATCAGAATCATAATAACCATTATTATTTGTATGATCCAGTCCTGTGTGAGTCTCCGCTTTTCATTCACTAGAAATTTATTAAGCGACTATTTCATGCCAGGCATTTTGCTAGGTATCCTGTTAAAACTTCTGAATTATTTTATTTGGCTGTTTTAGGCTTCAGGAATTTCAAGTGGAACAGAAATAATATACTGCAGCCTCACCAAAATAAAAGTTATTCTTGAAGTCTTTGCCATGAGTTCTCCTTGCTGAATTAAAATGCTGTTTAGTAAGGATACAGACCCAGGGGGAAATGGAGCAAACCAAAGCAGTGATTACTTGGATCTCTATACTGGACAGGCTCACTGTAGCAAAAGAGATGCTTAGAAGCAGACTCAGCTGTAGGACATGAAAGAGAATCTAACCATATTTTTGAGGCATGGTGGTGTCCAAAATGTATGGTGATAGGAGATGGGAAGCAGCGAAGATAAAAAGTTATCCTTGTGGTGTTCCAACTTGAAACAGTGGGTTAATGTCTGGTAGTCAGGTTAAACACAGAGAGCTACCATTTTGGAGGTTGGCTGTCAAGATATAGACACTTGGATGTTAGGAAATAAGATAGAGATCCAGTTACTGAGTAAAATCACTTATATGATTATCTTCTTTAAAAAAAAAAAAAAAAAACTATACCCTTAAAGTCTGGGGTTCCTAAGAGAGCTAACCTAGGCTATTCATTATTATTTATAAAAAGTACCTTAAGTTTGCTTTATCACCTGGCCAATAGGCAATTTCACCTTCTGGCTCAAAACACATTTTCTCCATCTACACAAATGCCAACCATAATGTTGCATAAGAGTGAGTGTGTTTGGTAGACTTTAGCTAAAAATCAGTGTAAGTTTGAGCAGACATGGGGAAGAAAAACAATGTGATGTGAACTTTGTTCTCTGTGTTTAGGCAAGCTACGACCTATATCTATGCCAGTGGAATATAATTGGGTGGGGGACTATGAAGATCCAAATAAGATGAAGAGAGATAGTAGAAGAGGTAAGTGTTCTAGAATTTCAGTGTAGGCTGGGTTGTTTGAACAATAAGCAAATTTAAATGTTCTGTAAATAGATTGTTATGGCTTCAGTGGAAAACTTATTCTATCATTGACTTTATTGTACAACAAAACCAAGTAAGACCAACATTTGACTATCTTGACCCATTATTAAACAGATATTGTCTCTGAATGCCTTCTAAGGGGTTCCAGGTACATAAGTATGGTGTTAAAAGTAAATATCTGATTATTATTTGAAAGGTAATATTTGGAACACAAGGTCAGGAGTGTGAAACTGCATAAAATAATTAAGTTCAGTGAATAGGAAGAGTTTATCATCAGTCCTCATCGGTCTGCAATGCAACCTCACCAGTTTTGTATGGAATCAACCTCAAAATGAGCATTGAAGCACATGGGTTAAAAGCTAATGGAAACTGGGCCAGTGACTTCTAACAAAAACCATGTAGAAATAGAAAAAAAAAAAACCGTGCTTTTTTTTCCTGTTCTGTTTGCTGCTCAGAGTTATCTTCTTACATGGGGGTGGGCTACTCTTGAAGGATCTACCAAAAGTAAGTTTTTATGTTCACTTATCCTGCTATAGAGATGAGCAATAGAGAGCAACTGAAAGTTTCCCTACTAAATAGGATTTGATCAAGTGTGGGTATGGTGGGCCCAGTGGGTCATGCTGCTACTTTGACTTTCTGAAGTAGAGAGCCGTAAGGTCGTAGGTGGAAAATAAAACAAATCAAAACAAAAAACTATTCATAGAATGTAAGTTCACTAAGCTTCCTTCATGATATGTTTGACCCGTTTTCTTGTTATTTCTAGCCAGTATACAGAATTTATTTTATTACTGCACAGATCCGCAGACCATATGGACAAGCAAGCATGAATATCTGATTCATTAGTCTTCTTAATACTTGTTTTATGGAGTGAGCATTTCTGAAAATGTTGATAAATACAGGAACATTGACAGATTCCTTTATATCTGTGTATTCATTCCATTTTCCAATCTTCAATTTCTAATCTCATTTGTTCTATAGAATAAATCAAGAAAAGTATAAAAGAGAAATGCTTATCACATGCTATCTCAGAGTCACTGTTTTGGGACTTCATATTTTAGAGACTTTTGTTGATGGGGAGGGGAACCATGTGAAGTACTAAGAGCTGACTACCAATTTAAGCATAGAATTCCTGAACTAAATTTCCTGACTATTGGTTCTTAATGTGGGCCTTAACTTCTCCAAGCATGCTACCTTGCATGCCACGGGCCGGTGTTTGTTATTGGGCTTTGGCAAAATCCCCATGAGGGTGATTGTTACAAATTTTATAAGCCACACACCTAGAATTTCTGATTCAAGTTCCAGAGGTGATTCTAATGTAGTTGGTCCAAAGCTAAAACTTGGAGAAATAATCTATCGACTGTCTATTTTTTATTGTCTTATCATACCAAATAATTAAGATATACTGTATTTCACTACATATTTTATAAGTTAAATCAAGTTAAAGTTCTGAAATGAAATATATTAGATTGGGGCAAAAGTAATTGCGGTTCTTGCAATTAAAAGTAATGGGAAAAACTGCAATTACTTTTGCGCCAACCTAATAGCACAATTGAGAAAGAATGGTAAATTTGGGGTATTTGTGTATTTATATTGGTGTATTTATCTCTTTTTATATAGAAAACTCTCTACTTCGGTATATGAGCAATGAAAAGATTGCTCAAGAAGAATACATGTTTCAGAGAAACAGCAAAAAGGACACAGGGAAGAAGTCAAAAAAGAAGGGTGATAAGAGTAATAGCCCAACTCACTATTCATTGCTACCTAGTTTACAAATGGATGCACTGAGACAAGACATCATGGGCACTCCTGTGCCAGAGACCACACTATACCATGTAAGTAAAATTTCAAAGACTCTTCAATACAGCTTTTATTGGAAGACTGGCAAGTGACTCTTTTGGGTAAAGTCTAGGTTATTTTTATCCTTTTACTAGATTTTCACAAAAGAGCCTAACTTTAAAGTTTATGCCCTTAAAAAATGATGGGTAATTGATTTTTTTCTTAAGTTTATGTGTTCAATGAGTTCATAGTTGTAGCAAGTTGGATTTTAATGGGATAACTTAATATGCACAAAATTGATGGAGAACAATAATAAATAGCTGATTAATCATCAGTGTGATACTATGCAATGCACAGATAGCTATAAAATTCAACATTAAAGATATAATTTTAATATAGTCATGATTCCATTTAAAAATGACCATCTATTATTTTCTAGACATGGAGAGTAGGGCTAGAGGTAAAATGGGAAGACGTGAGACACCATTTTATGGGGAGAAAGACATGCTGAGAGTCCCAGTATAACTTAACTGTTGTGATGGGTGGGTGCAGAAAGTATAAGAGGAACATAGGAGAAATAGAGCCTTAGTCTTTAGGGGAAGTGAGAAAAGGCTTCAGAGTGGGGAGCATTTGAATGGAGAATAAAATATGAGAAGCAGTATTTTAGTGCGAAGGCATATGCAGGTGCGCCACAAATGTGTGAGAATGTGGCATGTTCCAAGGATTTTGTGTGGCTTATGATTGCTGGTTTATTAACAATTGGAGGAAATGGCATGAGGAAAGGACAGTAGATGGGCCTGGAGTCATAGGTAAAGGTTAGATGAGGAACTGTATGATAAAGTACTTAGTTTCTTTCCTGCAGTAATAAAGAGCTATTGAATAATTTTGAACTGGGAACTTGCGTGATCAAATCGGCCTATTGGATCTCTCTAGTGCAGAGCGTCATTTGAGAGATCAGAAGCAGGGCTATTAAGTCCAGGCCATATGGATGATGAGAAACTAGGATAATGGCCGTGTGGAAGCTGAGAATCATGTTAGCAAGAACATTTAATCCACAAAATTATGCATGTTAAACCATTTTGGTTAAAAGGAGTTTGTTGTGTCACTGGAACTATAGCTTCTTATTAGGAGCCCTTGAAAAACATGGACTGCAAGTTTTTAAGTAATTTGAATGATTGTGCTTAATGCTTAAAATATCAAAAAAATTTTAATCTGCCCCTGCTGTAGAAGGTATAGCATCTAGGCATTCAAAATGTGAAAGATTTAATAACTTACAATTGAGTTGTTTCTCTGAGCAAATCTCTTAAATCATCTACTTATTCTATAGCTCTTCCATAAAACTAGAGTGTAGAAAAATGTTTTTTTTTTTGGACTATAGTGTTATTAGCACTCCTAGGTGCCTCATTCTTTACCCTCCCTTCTCCCCAGTTACATACTCTCAGAAGTCTCTAAGACACTAGTGCCTGTATCAGAATCTGCTCCGTTAAATGACTGATCGATTGAATTATTATTTTTTCCACAGACATTCAGAGTCAGCCTGAAATCAGTACTCTTAGTCGTTTGAAAGGGGACCACTTTTGTTATTACCACTATTCAGAAGAGCTGTATGAGCACTGAGCTTCCTCTAGAATCTGGTGTTCCAGTCATAAGTAATACCCTGAACAAAAGTTTGAAGATGAGGGACAGATGGCCTATTCGAGAGGGTAGTTGGTAGTGAGAGATGAACCTAGAGAAGGAAGAAGAGACCATCACTTTGACTCAGAGTGTACAAATTATTAAAAGTTTGGATTTATCCTGAGAGTAGTGAGTCATTGAAGGCACATTTAAATACTCAGCCTGCTCCATTCTGTCATGCATATCCTGACAGATGTTATACTGTGTGCGGAAGGAAAGTAGTTAAGTCTTGTGAATTATGAAGTATTAAATTAGGGAAGACAGTAAAAGGTGAGCCAAATTGGTAATCAGGAATATTGCGAATATTTTTGAGGAGTATAAATTGTTACCACCTTTCTGAAGGACATTGTTTAGTTATGTATATCAAGAATCTGATCTACTAACTTCACTTCTAGAAATTTATTCTAAGAAAGAAATCAGAGTCCACTTTTGCCTCCTGTTTTTATTATATGTCTTGAATCTGTAACATGGTATTTCCCAGATAGTTGACATCTATCTCAACTAATTTTTGACAGAGGACCAGCACAGAGTAAGGAATATTGTTAACTTTGGGGGAGATCTTCCCCTATAATGCTGATACACCAATTCCAGAGTAGAAGGCTGGGTATTTCCTAACTCTGTTCTCAGGTTTAGAAGAAGCAAAATAATCGCTAACCCCCAAGTGCGTATTGGATATCTATAACCAATGTTGTAAAAGAGAGAACTCTAATTGGTGGGGTTTTTACTAGGCTCTTGAGTTCCCTTGAGGATCTCACCTTGCCCTTATTTAGTGCTTTCACAGTTAGCAAGGAAGTTTCCACATTTGATATGTCTTTTGAACTTCACAGCAACCCTATTTGCAAATAACAAAACTCAAACTCAGAAATGATTTACAAAAGCTGTTTTGCAAAAAAAAATACAAGTACTGTTGTCAGGACTAGAACCAAATCACCTACTCCAGGGGTCTTTCCGCACTCTATCCTGTTGCTTTGTGCATGGTACACATTCCATATACAGAGGAATTTGTGCTTTAATGAATAAATGAGTGCATTTGAAAGGCTTGACTTGAAAAAACATGTGGCCTTGTATGATGATGTTAATAATGTTTTCAGTGCCTGGATTGATTTCTTTTTTGCTTCATGTTACTATTTGTTAAGTTAGGGGAAACATACTGAGCTGCCGCTGTTATAAAACACAAATAGTTATTTAGCTTGATCTATTGCTGGGACAACAGAATATTATAGTTAACAATGCTTGGACCTTGGAGACAAAACAACATACGCTTAAATAATAGCTTTTTATATTTCACAGGAATTTCTGTTTTATTTTTACCTGTTTATACATGCTTATTTAAAAATGAAAGGCTTTTTTCTTATGTTAAATTTTCCTGAAAACACAATGTCAGTATCAATCTGTAATCTAATCGCTTTCATGATGAACCACTAATCTTCATTTTTGCCAATTACTCCTTTGGATAACATGGCCATGTTTAATGGAATAGGACTTAAGTGGAAGAGGACTATGAAGATTGAGTATTGCATTTCATAGGCTTCTATCTCTGCCGTAATACTAGCTCTATGTAATCTAAAGATTTTAAGTTAAAAGTTAGAGAAAATTTAGTATGAATTTAATAGCAAGATAATATCATCATTAAATCCCCTTAAACGGCAAAGTAAAGGGGTGTGTGCATGCATGCATATAGTGTTCCTTATAAGCACACCTAGAGTATAGTCTTCACTGTTCTGTTGTGGAAAACGTCCCAATAAAAATACACAAAGCAAGACAAATATTGTTTGGCTTCAGGGTTCAACTCATTATCCTATAATGAAGACTTAGAAGTGTATGGGATTATAAAATACATTTTTATTAATTCCATATATCTGATATTCTAGTTCATATATATTTTTCTTAAACTTATTTAAAAGGAAATTATTCACTGTGCTGTAGCTACCCTAGTCATTGACCAGCTCTTTGCCACCACTTTCCTTTTCAACATGCTATTCCCGCTGCTGAGAATGCTTTTATCTCTTTTTTCTCCCAAGAATTCCTGCCTATCTAAACCTGAAATCACAAGGACATCTTCCCTGACCACTACCCTCTGAACTAAATCAGTTCTCCTATTTTCTCTTATCATCCAGTAGTTTTTCTTCAAAACCTTTGTTGGGATTTTTAATTATATATTTATGTGAACATCTGCCTAGTGTCTTTCTCTCCTGTACATGGTAGGACAGGTATGCCTATGTTCATGATGATAAGCAGGGACAATTTCTCCATTTTGTTCAGTACTGTATTTCAGCACCTAGTACAAATGTAGTACCTTATAAGCTCTCAATAAAAATGTCATGAGTAAGTGAATTAATGAGTGAGTGAGTAAATTTGACAGGAACTTCAGTGGCTTTCTCAGTGTCTTCAACCTGCAAACATAGCCCCCTCCATCTCCTAGGTCAACCCCACAGGGGCGAACAATGCAAGAGGATTAGCTGCCTTACATCCCCTACCCTACCTCCTTCACTCCAGCTGAAAACTTCAGTTCCAGCTAGTTCTTGCTTGCTTCCTTTCCCTGCCATCTCATTACAAAGGTTCCAATATGCCCATCAGCCAAGCATGTTATGACATTTTTCAAAAGAGCATAACTTTATTTTACCTACTTACTGATTCTGTCTGAAAATGTGGAAGCTGTTAGCTGCCAAAGCCCTCATCTAACCTGAGAGTACATGAAGACAAGGCAGACAGAAGTTTTTGTGTGGTGTGTGTGTGTGTGTGTGTGTGTGTGTGTGTGTGTGTGTGTGTGTAAAATTCAGATGTGGTAAGAAAAGTCTTTAAAGAATAACTGAATTATTCTGAATCTCATCTTTAAATCTTGTAGGACTTATTTTTCCCCAATATGATGTGCATATGACAACTTGCTCTCACATTAAAGCTGCTGAACTAAATTCATATACAAAATAATTACTTAGGCCGAGCACGGTGGCTCATGCCTGTAATCCCAGCACTTTGGGAGGCCAAGGCGGGTGGATTGCCTCAGCTCAGGAGTTTGAGACCAACCTGGACAACATGTCAAAACCCCATCTCTACAAAAAATACAAAAATTAGCTGGATGTGGTAGCATGCACCTATAGTCCCAGCTACTTGCGGGGCTAAGGCAGGAGAATCACTGGACCCTGGAAGGTCTAGGCTACAGTGAGCCATGTTTGCACCACTGCACCCCAGCCTGGGTGACAGAGTGAGACACTGTCTCCAAAAATAATAGTGATAATAATAATAGTCATTTATTTTAAGTCTACATGCTGAGATGCCAGAACAAGTAAAATTGGATTATAGATTCAAGCAGTATGTAGGTATACTTTCATAAACTGAATACTGATGTAATTTTGGATGATTAAAAACAGACTTTTAGTAGGTGTTCAAAAATCTGGATAATTCCTTTCATGACATTCAAACATTTAGGTGGCCTGTCTTTGTTTTTTTAGGATATAACTGCAAACATTCAATTGTTTTATGTCTCATAAGTACTTTCAGCCACTCTGGCCAATTTGTGAGGTTTTGTGGCTTTTTTTGATGGAGGGAAGAGGGGTAGAACTGTTAAAAAACATTTTTATTTTTTTTTAATTTAGCAAGTAAATAAACATTATGAAAATGCTATTCTGATTACTTTACAAATACTATCTTATTTAAATCTCATAATGCTGTGAGGAAGCTCAGTTGCTGGTGTTATCCTCATTTTACAGACTAGAAAGCTGAGGCACATGGATTAATTAGGTAGTTATGTGGTAGAGCTAGGATTTGAACATTTGCACTCTGGCTCTTAGCATACTATATTGCCCCTCAAAAAATAGCATAATTTAACAGAAACCTAACAACAGTTGTATAGTGGCAACCACGTGTAAAGCCCAGTCTAAGTGCAGTGGTATATACAAAGACTAATACAGGCATATCTCAGAGATAATGCATGTTCAGTTCCAGACAACCACAATAAAGTGAATATTACAATAAAGCAAGTCACACAAGATTTTTTAGGTTCCCTGTGCATATAATAGTTATGTTTATACTATACTGTAGTCTGCTAAGTGCACAATAGCATTATGTCTAAAAAACAATGTACATAACTTAATTAGGAAATATTGCTAAAATATGCTAATGATTATGTGAGCCTTCAGCAAGTTATTATTATTATTATTATTATTTTTGCTGGTGGAGGGTTTTACCTCAATGTTGATGTCTGCTGACTAATCAGGGTGGTGGTAGCTGAAAGTTGGGGTGGTTATGACAATATCTTAAAACAAAATGACAAAGTTTGCTCTATCAATTTACTCTTCCTTTCACAAAATATTTATTAGCAGCATGAGATGCTGTTCAACAGCATTATATCCACAGTAGAACTTCATTCAAAATTGGGGTCAGGCTCTACTTCCAATTCTAGTTCTCTTGTTATTTCCACAACATTTGCAGTGACTTCCTCCACTAAAGTTTAGAACCCCTCAAAGTCATCCAGGAGGGTTGGATTCAATTTCTTCTAAATTCTTGTTAATCTTGATATTTTGACCTCCTCCTGTGAATCACAAATGTTCTTAATGGCATCTAGAATAGTGAATTCTTTCGACAAGGTTTTCAATTTACTTTGCCCAGATCCATCAGAGGAATCACTATCTATGGCAGCTATAGCCTTACAAAATGTATTTCTTAAATAATAAGACTTGAAATTTGAAATTACTCCTTGATCCATGGGCAGCTGAATGGCTGATATATTAGCAAACATGAAAACAACATTAACCTTGTACATCTCCAACAGAGCTCTTGGTTGACCAGGTACATTGTCAATGAGCAGTAATTTTGAAAGGAATCTTTTCTTTCTGAGCAGTAGGTCCCAATGATGGGCTTAAAATATTCAGAAAACCATGCTATAAATAGATGTGCTGTTTTCCAGGCTTTGTTGTTTCATTTATAAAGTACAGGCAGAGTTAATTTAGCATCGTTCTCAAGGGCCCTAGGATTTTCAGAATGGTAAATGAGCATTGGCTTCAAGTTAAAGTCATCAGCTCCATCAGCCCCTAACAAGAGAGTCAGCCTGTTTTATGGTTTGAAGCTAGGCATTGACTTCTCTCAAGCTATGAAAGTCCTAGATGGCATCTTCTTCCACTGCAAGGCATTTCATCTGTATTGAAAATTCTATTGTTTAGTGTAGCCACCTTCATCAATGATCTTAGCTAGATCTTCCGGATAACTTGCTGCAGCTTCTCCATCAGCACTTGTTACTTCACCTTGCACTTTTTTTGTTATGGAGATGCCTTCTTTCCTTAAACCTCATAAACCAGCCTCTGCTAGCTTCCAGCTTTTCTTCTGTAGCTTCCTTACCTCTCTGATCCTTCATAGAATTGAAGAGAGTTAGGGCCTTGCTCTGGATTAGGCTTTGGTTTAAGGGAATGTTATGGCTGGTTTGATCTTCTATCCAGACCACTCAAACTTTCTCCCTATCAGCAATAAGGCTGTTTCGTTTTCCTATCATTTTTATATTGGAGGCCTTGCTTTCAGTATATCTTGGCTTTTGACATGCCTTCCTCACTAAGCTTAATCATTTCTAGCTTTGATTTAAAGTGAGAGACGTGTGACTCTTCCTTTCACTTGAACACTTAGAGGCCATCGTAGGGTTAATTAATTGGCCTAATTTTAATACTGTTGTTTCTCAGGGAATAGAGAAG
Source organism: Homo sapiens (assembly GCF_000001405.40). Taxonomy (NCBI): domain Eukaryota; kingdom Metazoa; phylum Chordata; class Mammalia; order Primates; family Hominidae; genus Homo; species Homo sapiens. The sequence continues at coordinate 21,570,746 of NC_000023.11, forward strand.
CCTGAGGAGAGGAAAAGAGATCGGAGAACAGCCCATTGGGAGAACAGTAAAAACAGACACAACATTTATTAAGTCTGTTGTCTTACATGGCTTCTTTCTTTAATCCTCATAAACCAACCTCTGCTAGCTTCCAACTTTGCTTCTGCAGCTTCCTTACCTCTCTCAGCCTTCATAGAATTGAAGAGAGTTAGGGCCTTGCCCTGGATTAGGCTTTGGTGTAAGGGAATGTTGTGGCTGGTTTTGATCTTCTATCCAGACCACTTAAACTTTCTTCTGTTTTCTTCTGTGTCAGCCTGTCTTTTGAAGCTTTGAAGCCAGGCATTGACTTCTCCTCTCTAGCTATGAAAGTCCTAGATGGCATCATCTTCCACTATAAGGCTGTTTCATCTATATTGCAAATGTGTTATTTAGTGTACTGTTGTTCATGGCACCCCAAAATAATTACAGTAGTAACATCAATGATCACTGATCACAGATCACCATAACAGATATAATAATAAAGAAAAAGTTTTAAATATTGTGAGAATTACCAAAATATGATACAGAGACACGAAATGAGCACATGCTATCGGAAAAATGGTACCAATAGACTCATTCAGCACAAGATTGCCAGAACCTTCCATTTGTAAAAATTGCAATCTTCAAAGAATAAATTGAAGCACAGTAACAGGAGGTATCCCTATAATATTTCCACTGCTAATATTACTAATAGCTAGCATTTACTGATTACTTACTAAGCTCCAATGCTAAGCACTTAAATACAGTATCTCTTGGAATCTTCAAAATGATCCTATGAGGTTGATATCATTATTTCTATTCTGCAGAACTGAAAGGAACTGGAACACAGAATTTACCTTAAAGAGCTAGAAAATAGCAGAGTTTAGAAATGAGTCCAAGCATCCTGACTCCAAAATTCACACCTTTGTGTGACTAAAGCCATATCTGCTCATAAGGATTTTATCATCTATTAGGGAAGACAGAGCTATTATTATCACAATAATGGAAAAACTGTGATATTACTAACATATAAACATTCATAATTAAATTTACCTGCAGTTATAAAGGTTGGTTTGTCTAACGGCTGCCTGACTTAGCTGCATTCTTTCAGGATAAAAGTAATTCAAAGAAGAGATCAGTTATTTTAGTGGCAAAGAAGCCACCTCTAAGCCGTCACTTGTTTATAACAACCAATTTCTCTCCGTTTTGACTTTATTCACCCAGAAGACAGCTGTATTACAGAATGACATGATGTTTCTCCCAATCAAGGTACATTTAGACATGTTAGAGTACAACAGTACACTAAATATTATCATATTCATTTGTATATTCTCTGATTCCTATGGATGACTTTATTATTTCTAAAATGTTTCATAGTAGCATTTGCAAACCCCTACATGGGAACAGTCTGTACTATGAAAAGTATTTCCCAGTGGGCTGCTTCCCTACAGCAGTGATTCCCAAAGTATGGGCCATCCTTGGCAAAGGGCTCTGATGACTGAGGTCTGACCCAGAAGTGACAGTACTTTCTTTGATTCTTATGGGCAAATAACACATCACAAACTTCCATTTTCACTTGTGACTAGATATTGCTTACTAGTAACCTACTAAATGAGTTTAAAAGGTTACAAATTGAATAATCATAAAATAATACATTCATAGAATTTATTGAATATTCTAATTTAGTATTTTTTCAGTATGCCTGTGTTTTAGTTCATTCTTATACTGCTATAAGGACATACTCAAGACTGGGTAATTTATAAAGGAAAGAGGTTTAATTGACTCACAGTTCCACAGGACTGGGGAGGCCTCAGGAAACTTACAATCACGGCAGAAGAGGAAGCAAACACATCCTTCTTCACATGGCGACAGCAAGGAAAACCGCAGAGCAAAGCGGGAGAGGGGAAGCCCCTTATAAAGCCATCAGCTCTCATGATAAATCACAATCATGAGAACAGCATGGAGGTAACTGCTGCCATGATTCAATTACCTCCCACCGGGTCCCTCCCATAATACATGGGGATTGTGGGAACTATAATTCAAGATGAGATTTGGGTGGGAACACAGCCAAACCATATCATTACGCCCTTAGCCCCTCCCAAATTTCATGTCCTCACATTTCAAAAGAGAACTTCCCAACAGTCCCCCAAAGTCTTAACTCATTCCAGCATTAACTCAAAAGTCCAAGTCCAAAGTCTTACCTGAGACAAGGCAAGTCCCTTCTGCCTAAGACCCTGTAGAATCAAAAGCAAGTTAGTTACTGCCTAGATAAAATGGGGGCACAGGCATTAGGTAAATACAACCATTCCAAATGGGAGAAATTGGCCAAAACAAAGGGGCAACAGGCCACATGCAAGTCTGAAATCCAGCAGGGCAGTCAAATCTTAAAGCTCCAGAATGATCTCCTTTGACTCCATGTCTCACATTTAGGTCACACTGTTGCAAGCGGTGGGGTCCCACAGCCTTGGGCAACTCTGCCCCTGTGGCTTTGCAGGGTACAGCCCCCCTCCTAACTGCTTTCATGAACTGGCATTGAGTGCCTGCAGCTTTTCCAGGAGCACAGTGCAAGCTGTTGGTAGATCTACCATTCTGGGGTCTGTAGGATGGTGGCCCTCTTCTCATAGCTCTACTAGGCAGTGCCCCAGTGGAGACTTTGTGTGGGGACTCTGAACCCACATTTCCCTTCTGCACTGCCCTAGCAGAGGTTCTCAATGAGGGCTCCACCCCTGCAGCAAACTTCTGCCTAGACACCCAGGCATTTCCATACATCCTCTGAAATATGGGCAGAGGTTCCCAAGCCTCAATTCTTGACTTCTGTGCACATGCAGGCTCAACACCACATGGGAGCTACCAAGGCTTGGGGCTTGCACCCTCTGAAGCCATGGCCCAACCTATACCTTGGCCCCTTTTAGCCATGACTGGAGTGGCTGGGATGCAGGGCACCAAGTCCCTAGGCTGCACACAGCAGAGGGATCCTGGACCTGGCCCACAAAACCATTTTTTCCTCCTAAGCCTCCCAGCTTGTGACATGAGGGGCTGCCATTAAGGTCTCTGACATCACCTGGAGACATTTTCCCCATTGTTTTGGTGATTAACATTCGGCTCCTTGTTACTCATGCAAATTTCTGCAGCAGGCTTGAATTTCTCCCCAGAAAATGGGTTTTTCTTTTCTACTGCATTGTCAGGCTGTAACTTTTCCAAATTTTTATGGTCTGCTTCCTCTTGAACACTTTGCTCTGAGAAATTTTTTTCACCAGATACCCTAAATCATCTCTCTCAAGTTCAAAGCTCCACAGATCTCTAGGGCAGGGGAAAAATGCCACCAGTCTCTTTGCTAAAGCACAGCAAGAGTCACCTTTGCTCCAGTTCCCCACAAGTTTCTCATCTTCATCGGAGACCACCTCAGCCTGGACTTCATTGTACATATCACTATCAGCATTTTGGTCAAAGCCATTCAACAAGTGTCTAAGAAGTTCCAAACTTTCCCACATTTTCCTGTCTTCTTCCGAGTCTTCTAAACTGTTCCAACCTCTGCCTGTTACCCAGTTCCAAAGTCAGTTCTGCATTTTTGGGTATCCTTATAGCAGCACCCCACTCTACTGGTACCAATTTACTGTATTAGTTCATTCTCACACTGCTAATAAAGACATACCCAGGACTCGGTAATTATAAAGGAAAGAGATTTAATTGACTCACAGTTCCACAGGGCTAGGGAGGCCTCAGGAAACTTACAAGCATGGCAGAAGGGGAAGCAAATATGTCTTTCTTCACATGGTGACAGCCAAGAGTGAAGGGGAGGGGAAAGCCCCTTAGAAAACCATCAAATCTTATGAGAACTCACTATCACAAGAACATCATGGAGGTAACTGCCCCCATGCTTCAATTACCTCCCACTGGGTCCCTCCCACCGTATGTGGGAATTATGGGAACTACAACTCAAGATGAGATTTGGGTGGGGGCACAGCCAAACCATATCAGCCTGGTACCTATGCAGCCCTGACAGTGCAATCATGTTCATATCGCACAAGCACAAGTGTAGATGATCCAGTTTTCTGTGGTTTTCAGGAGGAATGCTCTATTGATACATCATTGGGATTTTTTAAAAAGTAACCTATAGTTTTCAGTGGCTGTTTATTTTCATTATAAGTTATCATTAGACTTCATCACTATCAATTTTAGTTTGTTTTAGGTTGCTTGCTTTACCCTCTAATATGTAGTGATTCATATTTACCTATAATTTTTCAAGAATGATACTGTGAATCATCCATACCCAACAGTACTTACAGAGTAATCGTCTATTGGTATACCTAGTTATTTTTTCCATTGAAAAGTAGAGATAAAGAGATAGACCCAAGGGATCTGTTGGCCTGTCTTAGGGAACCACAGTCAAAAACTGTGGAAACCCACTACCTAGATACAGATATATGGTTAAAAGAAGAAGAAAACAATATTGGCTTTACTTGGTTATAAATATAAAACAGTTTTGGTGAATGCTAGTCCACAAAAAATTAGTTCACTTGTACTTCCTCACTTATTTATATAATTTGTTCTTTTTGCTTTCATATTTAGGAAGGTTTGGTTTTTTTATTAAAAAAAAAATCAACTATCGGTACTCCTCCTATCCCCCCATATTCTCATTCACCGCAAACTGGTGTACTTATAATGGAACTGGCCAGACTAGAGGATTTAATAATAGAATTACTCTTTGAAGATTTAAAGATTCACAAATACAAACTTTCAGTCCCAGATAAGATGGAGTACACACATTTTATTTTATTTTTCCTGCTACTCACAACCAAAAATTACCTGGAGAAAATACATTAACTCATCTACCAGAAGACTCTGAAAGGTGCAAAAAAATAAGGCAGACAGGCTAGAGACCTCCAGACCCAAGGAAGTGCTGTGAGTTCCCAGGCTTTTTTACTTGCCTCCTGTATTACCTGGCCTGGGTGTTATAAAAGCCTGCAACCTGAAAACATCAATAGGCACCGACAAAATACAGTCTTTAGCCAACGGACTCTCTTTAGCCAACATGACAGAAATATTTTAACAACACCTGCCTCTTCTCAAGGCAGAAACCGTGAAAAAAGTCATGCTTCTCTTCCTTCACCACAACAGGCATAAAGAGGTTCAATTCACTAAGAAGACATGACAATCTTAAACATGTATGCACCAAATAACAGAGATTCAAACAGTAGAAGCAAAATCTCCCAGAACTGGAAGGACAGATTGAAAGATTTACAATTAAGGTTGGGGTCTTCAACATCCATCTCTCAATAATTCATAGACCCACTAAACAAAACACCAGCAAGGGTACAGAAGTACTGAATGACTGTCCACCAGCAGTTTCTAACTGACACCCAACAACAGCAGAATACACATTATTTTCAAATGTGCATGAGATACTCATCAGAATAGAAGTTATCTTCAGTCATAAAACAAACCTTAGCTTTAAAAGAACTTGAAATAATACAAAATATGTTCTCTGATTATAATGAAATCAAACTAGACATCAGTAACAAAAAGATAACAAGTAAATCTCCAGCCACTTGGAAATTAAAGAACATACTTCTAAATAATCCATAGGTTAAAAGGAAGTATAAAGGAAAATGAAGCTGAGTGAAAATAAAAAGCATATGCTTAGAGGAAATTTATAGCCCTAAATGCTTACATGAGAAAAGAAGAAAGATGGCAATAATCTCAGCCCCTACCTCAAGAAATTAGAAAAAGAACAAAACAAAAAGCAGAAGGAAGATTTAATAAAGATAATGGAATTCAATGAAGTTGAAAACAGAAACAATAGGTAAAATCAAACCAAAAGCTATGGGATTTTTTAATTTAAAAAATTGACGAACATCTAGCAAGACTGATAAAGAGAAAAAGGAGAGAAGACTCAAATGACCAATATCAAGAATAAAATAGGCGATATCACTACAACCCTCATAGACATTAAAAGAATACTAAAGAAATACAACTCTGTGCCTGTAAGTTTATCAGTTCAGATGAAATGGACCAATTCCTCAAAACATACAAACTGCCAAAACTCACCCAAAATGAAATATATCTGAATAGTTACATAACTATTAAAGAAATTTAATTAACTATTAAAATTTCCAAAATATCAATACAGAAATACTTTAAAACAAAAGAAGCAAAACCACAGTACTAATATTTTTGTATTGATTGAGTGTGGGAATAAGGAATTTTGCTTTCATTGTTATGTTCTGCGCTGCTTTTAAAGTGTTGGAAGCCTATAAGAGATTTGATGTACAAGACTTGTAACTTAATGGAATTCCTAAGATACTGATTAAATTCATCAGTTTTATTAATTTTGAAAATATTGTTTAAATGTTTAGAAATTTTTATTTCCTCAATTTTTAAGTTTTAAAATTTGAAAACTAAACAAACAAAAAGATTCACAAATATGCCCTCACTCTTGAGAAAGATTTTTGCTCCCTGTATAAAACAGATTACTGATAAACTGAAGCCAGCCCTTTCAGCTTCACATTTGAACAAATGTGGGTCTCAGTCTGCTACTTCCTGGGTAGAAAATGACTGCCAGGAAGCAAAACACAAAATTTGGCTCAATTAGTGATGCACCATGTAAAACATGATGCAGAAGAATTGAATTATAAATTTATTAAATTTAAGTCTTATTTTTAATTCCTTTTTGCCTTTAGGGAAAAAAAATACACAAATTCTAATAACAGGCCCTTGGCTTGGTTGGTAAGTTCAGTAATTAAAAACTATTTGGGGACATACCTGCCTTTAGTTGCTTTGATCAGAGAGCGTAAAGAAGCCCCATTCCCTTTTATGTTGTAGACGTTTGTCTCCTAGCTTTATAGCCTCAGAAAATGTCCTCAAATTTTGTAGGCAATTGGCTTTTTTTTTGCTCCCATAATCACCCTACTCGTATTACCTTGCCACCATAACTCATTTAATCAGACATCTCAAGTTTAATAAAACTGTAGGTAGAATTATCTTACCCCTAGAATTCTTTAAAGCCTATTCTGATTGAAGGTCATAACCTGTACCAAATTATTTTCTTCACTTAACTCCCACAATATATTAATATTACTCCCTTGATGGTTTCAGCACTCTCAGCCTCCACAAAACTATGGGTATAATGATTTGCTGTATGTACTAAAATTATCCAAAGTTTCCTCTTAATAAATGATATTAAGGTACAATAATTTATTACTGTTAGATTCTAGTTTTTTAAAGATAAATTTTCTAAGAACTATGTTAAATTGTTTGCAGCCATTATGGATTTTTCACTAGTTTTGACTCTGACAGCAATTGGCAATGGACCAAAGTGCATAAGCTCAACCTAGAGTCTCAGTTCTAAATGATACTGCTAAATCTGTCTCTTAACATTTCTACAAATACCAGGGTAATTTAGGAACAGGATCCTAATAGACTTCAATCCAAAACAACTTGGAATGCTGAGAAATAGATCAATGTTTCAAACCCATGTTCTTTATATGTGACTGATTTTAGGTAAATTAGTGTAAACTTTCCTGCCATAGTAAACAGGAGAATAAGTTGTCTTCCCATGGTTTCTTTTATTTTCATAAATCTAGAGTGGTCCCAAGACATAATGGTTCTTGTGTCTGATAGTCTCCAGATAAGAGTTCAGCATTAAGAAGAGAATTGCCTTTTTTAAAATTCAGCTATAGGTCAGCTATATATTTAAATATATATAGCTATATAGGTCAGCTATATACTTAAATCAGCTATAAAAAGCTAGGCACATTTCTGAACCTCAGTTTCTCATAGGTAAAAAGAGGATAAGACTACTTACCTGTTTTTTTTTTTTTTTTCAGAATTAAATCACACGTTGTATATAAAATTATTTCCACTGTGCTGAGCACATACTAGCTATTCTTAACTCCATATAGAAAGAAAATTAGTTACTCTGCATGTAAGGGAATTTATCTTCTGATGAGCAAATCAGGAAGCCTTCTAGGACTAAAACAGAATGCACTTCTTTTGGGCATTAATGAGTATATCCATTGAAGTACAACCAGGGAACTAGAATCTCTAAGTGGCATGGAATAAAGGACTAGATCTTATTCAGTTGAGGAGCTGGCAAAGATGCCTCAGCAGAGCCAGTGGTTGGGAAGAAAATCTAGACATGAAGTGAGGAAGAACAAGACAAACTAGAACCCATGAGCACAAACCAGAGCATTTCCTCCAACTTCAACAAGAAGCTGGTACCCTTCTCCATGGAGATTCACAGATTCATGGTCCCATACTCAGGTGCTGAAGGAGGAGATCCGATTGGAGCTGAAGGAGTTGTAGACCTGGCTGCTGACTCACACCAGTAAGGCAAGCCAACAGAAAAGTAAAACAATGTGTATCAGCTGCAGCAGTGACTGACACCCTGCCCTGACCTTCGGAGCAAAAGAGCTGCTGCTTTACTTGTATTCTCCAAAACTGACACAAATTTACGTAGTGGCCAACCCTAAACTAGAACCATATAGACAAAAGAATTCTAAAACACATAGTTCCTTCCAGCTTAGCTAAATTGATGCAATAGGAAACTACCAAACTGAGGTTTCCTTCTCTGTGGCCATTATCAGTGTTTACTGTGTAAAACCTGCTTTGAAAATTCTCTACTGGGAGTATGTATGAGGTTCAGTGGTAAAATAAAAATCATAAATTATCATAAATCTAGAGTGGATTCAAGAGTGTAGCCTACCTCTATGAGAGTACCATCTCCACAACCTACTTCTTTAATTTACCAAAGCATATACTGAGAAATACATCTTAGCCAAATGTTGAATCTTCTTCACTTAGTTGCATTTTAAAATAATGTCCTCAATTTTTATCATATGGTTATTACAAGAAACAGCCATATGAAATACACTTCTTCATTTGCTATAAAATGTTTTTTGATATTGTATTTTCTATTTCTTTGTACCTTCCATCATATATATTTTTATAATTGGGTAAAAGCTTTGGCTCTGTGTGGTGACAGTATATGTAAAGATCTGATTCAGTGTCTGGCACTATGATAGTGCACAAATAGTATACCCTTCCTCCAACAGTACTACCAAAATGTCCTCACCAGTGGGCTGAGAACAAGCAAAATGTAATCTAGGTGCATTTGAGGTAACCAGTTCTGAAGAAGTGGCAGCAAATATCAAGCCCTCCAGAAATTTAATTTTTTATACTGAGATTGCGTAAGTTGCCTCCTTTCTTTTACTCAGTTTTCTCATTTACAAGACAAGTGTAGCACTGCAGAGAGGACTATGAAAAATGCCATCTAAATTGACAGCATAATGATGATTTGATTCCTGCTGCAAGCGCAGAAGTTAAAATATCTCCCCATCAAGTTCTTTTTTCCCTTCTGTTAGATAAAACCAATTTTCCTTTTTTTAGTCTTAAAATCATGTTTTACTATATAGTTCAGTATTAAAAGGAACAGTCTGAATTATATATCTCAATTATTTTATAAAATAAATTGCATATAGTGACTTTTGATACTTTTTAAAATTCTATTTTTATACAGTACTCTTTGAAAAATATTTCTGTTATGAAAAAAGTCTCTAAATCAAGAAAACTCTATTAAAACTACCAGATGTAGAAACATCTGAAGTAGTTGTGTTGGAGAGCTTGTCTATTATATAAGAGCAAAAATATCAGAATAAGAGTTTAACAGAAACGTAGTATTAATATGATAAAGATATTTAGATAAAAGCTAGCATTCTTGGAACAAATTATACTGACACAGACTTTCATAATGAGAAATATGTACATTATATCAGAGAAATCAACCTAAAAATAAAGTTAAAGTAATCAGAAAAAAACTTTGATTTCAGATTCTTTTACAAATAAAACCATTAAGTCCACAACCAGAAAAGTTTTTCAGTAAATATGATTCAGTCACATCATTGCTGACAGAATCATCAATCATACCATAATTGTGACTTCATTTGAGATTCTTGGGTTTCATGCATCTCTGTTAGAGGTGATTCTTTCTATATTATTTATTCCTCTATTTCTTTTACACATAGTTTATTTCCTTGTCATTCATTAGCCTGCAGGTAGCAAATCTGGTCCTCTCCATTTTTTCTGGTTATAAACATTTCTTTGTCACAAAAGACAGGCAAATCTACTCTTATTTCTCTGACACCTAAATTTCAACGGTTTCTGTCAAACAGAAGTGTCAGGAGTAGGAGCTGCCCTAGTTCTGCTTTTCACCTGTTAGAACTTGCTGCCTCTGTCTCAAGTGCAAATCTATGTTAATTGTACACATCAATCAGGCACCCCAAAATAGCTGTATCTAATATGGCTGGTGATAAGTTATTTCCATACATGGTGGAATTCAAACATAAACTAAGTGCTTTTCAATGAATAATCTAGCATTCAGTGTTAAGACTGACACTGATTACAGGTATACATATAATATTTCCTAAAACATCAATAATTAGGTCTCCATTGGTGATCATTAACTGGTTTTCCATTCATTTTTAAATTATGATCCTGGAAAGTTATTGTTCTATGAGACATACTAAGAACATGTGGTCCAAATCCCTGATTTCGCAGTTGAGGAAATTGAGGTCAAGAGTAGTCCAGTAGCTTGATCAAAGTCATAGAGCTGGAATATAGACTGAAATATGAACTGAAAGTCAGGTCTCCTGATTCCTACCATGGTGTTGCTTCATTGGTAATGTGTGTTCCTTTCTTGCTGAGAAATGAGCATTCTAAGTGTATCACTCCAACTGATTTGTTGAAAATAGACTGAAGGGGCCAAGGGTAAGTGTGGAAGCGGGGAGACAAGATAGGATCTGGTCAATTCAAGTGAGAGATGAGAGTGACTTAACCCTGGGTGTTAAAGTGGAAGTGGTGAAAAGGGGTTGGACTCTGGATATGTTTTGAAGGTAACTGGACAGGATGCGCTGACAGATTGCATATGAGAAGCCATGAATCATAGCCCATACCTCAGTGTCCCACACATAGGTGGTGAGTAACTATTCAATTCATGCCTTCAACAGATAATTGTATGTCGCATCCTGTGCTAGGAGCTGAGTATAGAGTGGTGACCTAAACAAATGGTTTCTGCCTTCATAGAACTAATATAGTAGGTAAAAACCATTCCTTCAGAAAGTGAGCCAAGTAATTCCAAAGCATTGCGTAGTATTGAGGAGTGTTTTGGGTGGAAAATGGCATAACACAATGAATCAGCTCAAGAGAGTAAAGAATTAGTCAAAAGGCAGGCTGGATCCATGATTTTCTCATCAGTATTGACACAGGGTTTTCTAATTGAACTGAGTTCTGTTAATAGGCTTGTACTGAAATGTAATTGCAGTCCCATCTCTGTCTACTTAGGCTGGGCCTTATAATATTATCGTACCTTAATTTCTGTCTCAATTGCAAAATTAAGATGTTACCATGAGCCTTCCTTTCATGCAGATGTTATTATAAGCGGTTGCCCAGAAACTCCTGTAAATCTTCTTTTATAACCTACAGAGCAATATAACTTGCTAATTAAAATAAAATTGAGAAAGCATGAAAATTAGAGATTGATGAGATGTTATTGGTTTGAATTATCTCCATTGATATAAAAGTGTTTTTCTCACTGATAATCTTTCTGTTTTGGAGAATCCTTTCTCTTCACATAGCAATGTACTTGCATCACCTGTCATGAGATGTTTTCATAAATGGATGTCTTAGTGCCAGAAGCACTTTTTCTCTCTCTTTAATTGTTACTATGACTACATAATACTTACTTGGGAGGCAGTAATGCATGTAGTAGGAGTATAGGTTTTGGGGTTGACAGACCTGGCTTTGAATTTTGACTCTACCCCTACCTGTGTGATCCTGAGCAACTTATTTATGCATTCTGGGTCTCAGTTTCCTCTTTCTTAAAATGGGGTTAATGATAACCACTTTACATATGTATTATAAGGATTAAAATGGATCAATTACATCACTTATAAACACTTGTAAGTGCTTAATATTGTGCCTGACACATAATAAGCCCTCAGTAAATGATTATTATTTTGAGCTAAGGATGGCAGTTCTTATTTCCCAAGGGTATTGATTCATGTTAGCCTTCCTGAATATTTTCCAAGTAATCACTTCCCTTCTTCCTACATTACCACTGTGTAGGAACAGGAGGACTCACCTTATGGGATCCTGCATGAGAGTCAATCACATCCTTCCTTCAGAATCTGATACATATGACATTCTTTTTGATGGAACATTAACTCTGCCCAACCTAAGTAGTTGTAGTTTGACTGACCTTCTCTAGATTCTTACCAATTACTGTCTTTTTGTTCTTATTTGACTGCTAATTTACTGGTTTATAAAGCATGCTTATTTTTGAGTAAGTGTGGAGCCATTTTCAGTTATACATGTACCCCGATCCTAAAATAAAAGTTTAAAAAAAATCAGGTCGACCTGACTGACAGAATCCAGAGCTACCTCATCCCACTCTAATGAAAGACCTACGGTGTGTGCAGTGCCACATCCTTCACCCTGATTGACTCCAAGTTTTTCTTTCATGCACCAGAATGAGCAAGGCCACCAACAACAGCAGACTTAAGTTCTATGCTGTTATTTCTTATAAATGGAAATTTTTTGACTTAATATTTGGTTCTATTGTCATCCTATCCCATTTCCATATATTTACTTTTTTCTTCCTACATACAATAATTAGAAAGTTAAGAGAAAACATTTTTTGTAAAGTATTTAAAATCTCAAAGAGTTTTACTTGTTTATTTAAAAAAAAAGTGTGGAAGCAGCTATCATCTAAAGTGTTTCAAATTGTTAAGCACCTTCTTTTCTTATGTATAAGAAAGAAGCTATTGGTTTGACTAGTCACTGAAGAAATCTTGGAACTTTGCAGAAAATTACAGTAAGAGGAAATTGCTATTACTGCAACAAGAGAGTACTTTGATTGCAAATTTTTCCTTAAGTGTGTCAATTTGCAACTTGAGAAGAATTTAATAGTAGCTGAGCTTTCAAAATGTAACACAGAAACTGATTTTTTTCACAATTAAAATAAGTGCTTCTGATAATTTGAGGATAAGAATGACCCAAATTACCCTGCCCCCACACTTCTCCATCCAAAAGAGTGGGGAATGAAGTTTGAACAGAACATCTGTGGACAGAATGAAAGACAAATGGTCTTTTCAGGCAAATGTCTGAAAAAGGGATCTTTCATAGCCAAACAGAATACTGTTGCATGCATCGCCATGGTTAAGAAGATCAAAAATACTTTCATAATAGCCTTTTATTTTAGCACATTCTATTTTTATGGAAAGAATTATGATTTCAACACATTCATTCATAACTCATATAATTATTAGCATAAATATCTTTTGACACAGATTTAATGTACTTTTGCCAGGCATATTGTGAATTTAAATTTAAACTGTTAAATGCACTAAGACAATCTCAGTGCAAGTAGTGCTGAAGGAGATTGGATAAAAGGAAATTCTTCTTATCTACCAAAAGGAATGGCCTATTAAAGAACAGAATTTTCAATAATGTATTATACATGGATTCATAGACTTCTTCAAGTTACAACAATCAGCTAATTAAGATTACAACCTGTATTCTTTGCTGATGGTTTGTTCAACATCCATTCACATAACCAGTATTTATTGAGTGCCTACTGTGCTAAGTCTTACTCTAGGCAGAGGACAAAGCAATACATAAAACAGGCAGAATTGCCCTTTTTTAATGGAGTTTATATTTGGAGGAAGTCCAGGTGATAAACAAGAAATATAAATACTTAAGATAATGCTAAATGCTCAGAGGGGAAACAAAGCTGGGAAAAAGAACAGAAAGTATTGAGGGCAATTGGGATAACAATTTTGGACAGGGAAGCTTGGGTAGAATTTACTAAAAAGAAAGCCTTTGTGTAATGACTTGAAGGAGTTAAGGGAGTGAGCCACAACAACATCTGGGCAAAAAACATTTCAGACAGAAGAAACAGCAAGGGTGAAGGTCTTGGGATGGGACTGTACTTGGCATAATCTAAGAACAGCAAAGGTAGCTGGAACAAAATTAGCAAGGGGAGAGCAGTAGGCAAAGGTAACAGGGGACCAGATCATGTAGGGCCTTCAAGTCATTGAAAGGATATAGGCATTTATTCAGAGGGACATGAGAAACCATTGATGAGTTTTGCATATAGGAATGGCATGATTTAAATCATATTTTAACCAGATCACTCTGGCTCTTGTGCTAAAAATTAGAGGGGGCTGGTCTTAGTGGCTCACACCTGTAATCCCAGCACTATGGGAGGATAAGGCAAGCAGATCACTTGAGCCCAGGAGTTCGAGACCAGCCTGGGGCAACATGGTAAAACCCCATCTCTACTAAAAATACAAAAATTAGCTGGGCATGGTGCTGTGTACCTGTAGTCCCAGCTACTCAGAAGGCCAAGGTGGGAGGATCACTTGAGCCCAGGAGGCAGAGGTTGCAGTGAGCCAAGATCATGCCACTGCACTCCAGCCTGGGTGACACAAGACCTTGTCTCAAGATAAATATATATAAATATATATATTTATATATTATATAATATATGTATAAATTCATAATATATATAGTATAAATATATTAGAGAGGGTAAGAGCAGAAGCAGGGAGAACTGTCAGGGGGTATTTCAGTAATCCAGGTGAGAGATTGTGGTGGCTTAGACCAGGGTGGTAATAATAGAGCTGGTGAGAAAAAGTCATATTATAAATACATTCATTGTGAAAACAAAGCTGGTAAAACTTGCTGATGGATTGGCTATGGGGTATAAGAGAAGGAAAAGAGTTAAAGTTGACTCCAAGGTTTTGTACCTGAGCCACTAGGGAGGAAAAAAATGTAATTACTATTTAATAAGATATAGAAGAGTAGGAAAGAAGCAGATTTGGCTGATGAGTGATAGATATCATGAGCTCAGTTTTGTACATATTAAATCCACTCAGTTAGGCAGGCTTTAGCTCAGTGAAGAAGTCCTGGCTAGTGGTATGAATTCTTAAGTTGCTAAAGGTCAGAATTTATGGAACATTCTTAGAAAGTTCGAAGAACTTTCACCCAGATGCTCACTATAATAAACAGAAAGTGCTAGTGAAGGCATTAGAAAGATTTTAATAAATGATGTTTTTGGAAAAAATGAAGATGGGAATTTTTAGAGAATTGGACTTCAAAAATGCTAACAAGAGAAATCCATTTTTGGTGATCAATAAGCGTTACAAGCTTGTGCTTTAAATTCACATACATACACACCCTCACACTCACCCTACCCTAAACACATAGCAATAAAATGAAATAAAAGATATGGTCATGGTCAAAAATGAAATCTAATCTCCAGGCACCAGAAGGAACAAAAATGCTCAGTGATAATTGGGACCTAAAGCCACATATCTTAGGCACCGAGTCCAGAAAAAGATAGAGATGCCTGAGAGTCTTCTCTAATGAGTATCAGAGAACCAATGGACCTCAGCTATGTCGGAAATCTAAAAATTGACTCACGAGGTGTAACCAACTGGGAAGGCAAGCAGAGCTTCCTCATTCATGAGTAAGGAGGTTAAAGATGCAGTTACTAAGAAATAAATAAAGATACAGCTACTTGTATAAAACTGAATTCCTAGGTGTCTACAAGTAACAAAAACAGATACTCAGAACCATGGGCCATGCCTCTCCCACTTGGATTTCATGGATGGAACTGCAACCCATTGCCACCACTAAAACGCCTGGTTAGTGTCCCAAGGAATGGAGGCAGAGACAGCAAGACGCTTAGTTAAGAGGGATGAGTGCAAAAAGAAACATCCCTCCAGGAAGAACCTTCCACCCAAGCTAAAATTCCAAAGCGTCTAGAGAAAATTAATACTTTTTTAAAAAAGGCAATAAACTAAACAATGAGGTGATTTTCTTCACTAAATGCAAATTACAAGAAGGTCACAAAAGCCCTTAAAATACATTTTTAAGTAAAAACAGGAAGGTTAAACAGTGGATATTCAAAAGAGCCACTATCAACTAGATACACTGGAAATGTAAAATATATGAAATAAACACTCTATCGATAAGATAAACTTTAGATTAGATTAGATACAATCAGTGAAAGAATTAGGAAATTGGAAGACAGTAAAATGAATTCCCCTAAAAGGCATCGCAGAAATATGAAAGGATACAGAACATGAAGGACACATGGAAGATAAATTGAGAGGTACCAACATATGTCTAGAGTTTTAAAAAGGGGCTAGTAAAGAAGACCATTTGAAGAGATTTTCAGAATTAAATAACACTTTCAATACAACACAAAAATTGCCAAATAGAGTGAATTAGATAAATTGTAACCTAGACACATAATAGTGAAACTGCAGAATATTAGGGATAAAGAGAAAAATATTTTAGAAGCTACAGAGAAACTAAAGACAGATTAAAACAAGCAAATGACAGTGTAACTACAGATGGCTTAAGAGAAGAAAAATAGATGCAAAAAGAAAATAAAGTAATACATTCAAATTGCTGAGGCCCAACTCAGAATTCTATACCCAGCCAAACTATTATTCAAGAGGAAAGGATTTTCAAACATTAAAACTAGGAGAGTTTGCCACTCACAGACTGCTGTGAAAGAACTTCTAAAGAATATACTTACTTGAGCATAAACTTGGAAGAAGGGTAATCTGAAGCTAATATGAAATATACATGAATGAGATATATTATGAATTTTTACCTCATGAGAAATACACTTACCACGAATGCAAAGATTCTAGGCCTCTTTCATTTTTCAGTTAGTTGTTGTAGCACCTTATATGATCAGCTGTGTTATGAATTACGGTCATATGTCTGTTTTTAATGTCTTGCTCTTATTAAATTTGCATAATCTTAAAACTGGAAAAAATGTACCAATTAAATTTCTGTCACTGACAATGAATAATTCCATCAGTTCTGCTAGAAAAGATGATACAGGATGATAAATTTGCACCTCAGGGGTGCTTACTAACACTGTAGCTGATGACATAAGGAAAACCCTTTCTGGAGATTATTTATGTCCATTATTTATGAATAATGAACAGTTTCTAATATAAGTTTGTAAGGGATCTTTTTGAATGTGAGGCTCTTTTGGATGTCCCCAAGACCACCTACATGTTCAGTGATTTGCTAGAAGAACTCATAGGACTCAACATATAGTTGAACTCACAGCTAGGATTTATTAACAGTGAAACAGCAGGAACCTACAGACAGATCAGTAAGGAAAAAAGACACCTGTGGAATCTAGAAAAATCTATCTGCAGGCTTCCTGTGCTCTCTCCCTCCCATGATAGGTCACACAGAGCATACTCTCCTCCCAGCAGCTAAAATTCAATCACATGTGTGCAGTGTTTCTGTCCAGGGAAGCCCGTTAGAGATTCAGTACCCAAGGATATTGAATTGGGCATGTAGACATCCTCTGCCTAGCAACTACCAAAATTCCAGACTTCCAGAAGGCAAGTGAATAATCAGTGCCCCATGTGGGCAAAATAATCTTATCATTTAGGGAAGCTTCTTATCAGTATAGGGAACTGTTTACCAGCCAAGTTCCTAGATGCCAACCGAGGGCAAATACTGCAAGTAGGCCTTTCTAAGATGGCAACCTCAGGCCTGCTACAGTAACTCTTTTCTGCACAGAGACCTAACTGTATAGTTTTAATAGATTTTCCCATTACTTCCAAAAGCATATAATACAATTAACTTTTTCATTTTAGAAAATGTCAAGTCAATTGGAAAAATAATAAAATCTCTCTTAAGAGAACTTTATTTTAATATTTATAATATCTTTAAAAGACATCTAAGGCTTTGCTTCTTTGAATGATGGATAAATCTGTATTTAATGTCTTGGAGTTTTCAGGTTTCCAGTGCACTGATTATACTCTGCAGTCATGATCTTTATGGAAATATATTTATAGGAAAAGAAAAGATAATCTTGTTAAAAAGAAAACCTGGAGAGTGTAAAATATGTTTCATGTAGATTTTTAGAGTAGACATTCAGGTTCTACAGAATAGCATGCAAAAAGCATAGAAGGTACATTATATAACCCAGTTCTTTCAAGCTGTCTGTAATCTATGTAGCTTTCTAAAAACAAACCACCTCCATCTTTGTCATTTTTCAAAATAATGAGCTGTAAAACTATAATGATTACTTGCAGAAATACAAAGGGAAAAAAAACCCCAATCAGTAATTTTACCATGAAACAATGTAGGGAAAATAACTATCTGTAAATGAGCTATACTTAAGCACACTAGCCTGAGTTATTATTTGAGTTATTATTTTGAAGCAAAGTGCATTCAAGAAAATCAACACAGCATAATGGGTTTTATCTTTTATGCTTTCTCTCAAAATTTGTGAATTTCTATAACCATGCATGCTGCAAAGTTTGATATGTGTGTGTGTATGTGTGTACACACACACACATATACCACATACATACATATTTATAATGCTTTAACACTTAGGTGATTATTTCTGGAAAGCTTTGTATGTCAGCAAATTATCTGACCCTTATCTTTAGGACTGATACACATCCGTAGTACTATGTTCATTAGACTTATATAAATCATATACAGAACAAAAATTATTATATAAGTAGAATATTATTTAATGAGCAATGATACTAAATAATAAAGTATCACAAAACATGAATTTATTGTGAAAAAAGACCAGCAAATTTTATATAAGCAAAATCCAGTTGCCCCTTATAGATATATCTTTGTAAAGAAAAAGAAGAATCTGTAACCTGATTTTCATTTTGAAGGAATATCTGTGAATTAAAAGCACACATGCTATCTCTGTTCCCTTTTAGCTGGCTGATCATGTGAATGTAATGAATCTTATTATACCAGTGAACAATATGGCTTAGTAGACTAACTGGAGCCAGTGATGTGTAGTCATTAATTGAAAGTTAGACCAATCAATATAGTTGTGGGTTTTTCTCTAGACATATCAAGCTCTTCAGGTACTTAGCATGGAGTGAACAGACAGGTAGGTTTAACTGGGATGGATGTTTAGCTTGGCAAGTATGATGCAGCGAGCATGGTCAAGGGAACGATTATAATGGTATCCCATGGAAACTAAGAGGAAAGAAAGAAATACAGGCACAAGAGGGTAGTTAGGTCAATGAACTGGATGCCTCAATGAAGTTTTTTTTTAAGTGATGACATGAAGGTATTAGAGACTATGTAAACCATATGAATTAGATACAGTGGCTGGTGTGTGCTTTAGATATCAAACATATGATTATGGGGGTAGGTAGCTGAGGAGTGGGGAAGTAAATGTTATTAGAACTGAGGAACCAGGGTGCTGACATCATCTACATGAAGATTAGTCACCAATAATAGTGACAGAAGTAGGCATGAGAAAAAAATATTGTTCCAAGTGCTGAAATATGTAGGGACTAAGGAAGTAGGAGAACAGTAGGTGATGGTGGCTTATGTAATAGAATGAACTTCATGTGAACAAAGGATAGTCATATTTTCCTGCTTACTTCATTAGATTTTGTGAGACTCAAATGAGATACTGTCTGGCAAACCACAATATACCCGTGAAAAGGTACAAAGTAGTGTGTATGTGTAAAAGCCTTTAGTTTTACCAAATGCTTTGTGCCCTGATTTCTCTGCCTACAAAATACGGGTAAATATAATATCCTTTCCTGCTTCACAGGAGATTAGAAAGTTAAGTGACATGATGTATATGAATTTGTTTTGAGGCTTTGTGGGGAAAAAGTTCTTCCCCTAACAGTGTTTAGAGTCATCATTTAGCTCTTGAGAGTTCTGTGTAGCGTGCTGGTGCTCTGGATCACACCCTGAGTATCAGATAACATTCTTTTTATCTTTGATTTCAGACATTTCAGCAGTCCTCACTGCAGCACAAATCAAAGAAGAAAAACAAAGGTAAGAAAAGGAAATGAAACCTTTACCTGCTTATTTTGCTCTTTGATAATCCCCAACACACTTCATCCATGCCCTCTTTCTTGCCTGAGCCCAGTGTGGTTTAGAAGAGCACAACCCCCTTGTGCGAAAGCTGCCAGCTTCTTCTTCAGTGCAATTATAATACAAGGTACCTTTTACAACAAATGATCTCAATAAGTTTTGAGAGTGGTGTTACATATTTCTGATTAAGATGTGTGTCACTTATGTGAGGGAAAATATTAAAGATTTTTATATTTTTCTAGTCTAATACAATATAAAAATTTTTAAGATTTTCAAGAACTCATACTTCTTTTTGGTATCTATAGATTAATCCTCTACTTTCATACCTTTGACAAAATTGAAAGAGCATTTCCACCCTTTAGGTCCTATAGCAGGCAAGAGCAAAAGACGAATTTCTTGCAAAGATCTTGGCCGTGGTGACTGTGAGGGCTGGCTTTGGAAAAAGAAAGATGCGAAGAGTTACTTTTCACAGAAATGGAAAAAATATTGGTTTGTCCTAAAGGATGCATCCCTTTATTGGTATATTAATGAGGAGGTAAGATAAAGCACCTTTTGTTTTCTCATCCATTCTCTATCTTTAATCAAAAGAATCATTTTGAGACTTATATTTTAAAATCGTATAATCACCTTAAGGCCAATTCAGTAGACTTCTGCTAGGTATTTTTCAATCCACCCTCTTAAAATGATTGCATGTTGGGGTTCTAGAAAGATAGCTGTCTCAATTATGCTAATGTAGCAACATATCTGAAACACAGATAAAGTGTAGTAAAATTCTGTATATCTAAATAAAAATGCGAAGCTAATCCAAGCAGTAGCTTAACTAAAAGGATTATATGTGGAAATTTGACATTAATTTTTAAATGTCTTGCTTTTGTTCAAAATTTTACACTTTTTTCTGGTTTTTTTTTTCTTTTTAGAAGTGGGGAAGGGGAAGCCCTTTACTAATTTAAGTAAACTAATACCACCTGAATTTATTTCCATTTTTCTTTAAAAATGATCTAGTAGACTAGTTTTGAAAATCTGCAAGTATTCATTTCACTTGGCCCAGTGGGGGGGTATATATATAATACATTTAAATTATTCTTATGATTTTCTGGGGTGTTTTAATATAACAGATTTATATCCAGAGGAGTCATATCAAAACTTATTACGTATCTTGACAGATATGCCAAAAACATTTGTTGATATTCCCTTTATTCTGCATTTGCTTTTATTCCTTTGCTATAGCCATCTACTAGTTCACTTTATTAGTTTTTTAAAACAATGATTTCTGCTATTTCCTTATTTTATAAAAAATGTACATGGCTTAATGTAGTGTGCTGGGTGAATAGTCCAATACTATTATGTTAAGACATTCATCAATTTGCATTTGAATATTGTTGAAATATAATTTAACAACATTATTATGCCTACGATTACAAAACATAATATCTAGATAATTTTATGTTCCCTAGACAGGTTATAATGTAGTGTTATGTTGTGTTTAAGAGTAGACTCAGAAATCATACCACCTGAGTTACTGTGCCATAGTTTCTTCATCTGCAAAATGAGAGTAATAATAATGCTTATCACTGGACTATCATATGGATGAAATGAATCAATGCCTGGCACATACTGAGTGTTCAATAAACATGTGGTAGGCTGGGCCCAGTGGTTCACACCTGTAATGACAGCACTTTGGGAGGTTGAGGCAGGAGGATCACTTGAGCTCAGGAGCTTGAAACCAGCCTGGGTAACATAGTGAGACCCTGTCTCTACAAAAAATTAAAAAATTAGCCAAGCGTGGTGGTGCACGTCTGTAGTCCCAGCTACTTGGGAGGCTGAGGCAGGAGGATTGCTTGAGCCAGGGAGGTTGAGGCTGCAGTGAGCCATGATTGCACCACTGCACTCAGAGCAAGACCCTGTCTGAAAAAAATGTGTGCTATTAGTAACATTTTTCAAAGGGACCTCTCATTTTATTTGTAAAATCTTGAATTAATATTTTTCTATTTAATGTAAATGTCTATATCACCTATATAAAAATATTTGGTTGTTTTCTGTACTTTTGACATTTTTGTGGCAAATCACACAATTACCTAAAATACCCTCTGCTTCGCTAAGTGTGTCTTATTTTAAATGTAGGAAACAAGCCATAATTTTACCTACAGTTTCATTTAATAGATATATATTAAATACTTTTTATATGCCAATCAAATATTATCAAGATATAGTATCTCCATGTTTCTCTTTATTGTAAGGTCACTTGCAGGTTTGTCTGCCACATACTAGATTATATCCTGTCTTTCAAAGTTTAAGTGATGAAAAACTGTGGCCCCTTTTTGTTGAACTAAGTTTCATTCAGCAAGTTATTGTTACTGTTAGCCTTGTGAGAGATGAGTGAAGAATTCTACAGTATACATTGCAAGAAATACCTTTAATATGATAATATTTTTAGGAGAAATGTAAAAATCCCTCATCACATCATTATGGGGAGATAATAACTACCTCAAAATATTTTAAATTGTTCAAAATTTTAAATATTTACATTATGAATGTCAAGGGTAAAGTAACATAGAAATTAAAGTTGGGAAAAGGATTTAAAAATACTGTCTTGTCCTTACTCCAAGATTGGAAGAAAAAATATTCAAATACTGAAAAAGTTTAATACTACTCTTTTTCATAACACATATTCAGTCACTATCAGTAGCATCAGATTTTTGTTTTGCGTGGAAGCTTAGCAGTGAAAGCAGTCATACAAATATACAATCTAAAAGAATCGAGAACTCTTTTTTTCCTCTGTGATAGTGGATGGGAGTATAATCTCACTTGAACTTGATATATAAGGAGCTATGGATATAGCACAGATCAAATGAAAGTTAGAGATAGTAAAACTCAGAGGAGCTTGATCATGAGCAGAACAAGGGATACAATGATTAAAGCATTTAGCAAAAGATAGTTTTAGCTTAGTTGGGATAACTCGTATCTAACATAATATTTTGGATAATTCTTCTGTCTTGTTTTTCCATCCAGCATTAGAGAGAGCAGGATTTTATGGATTTTATTCCATTTTCCAGGTGAAAAATGACCTTTATATATATATAGCACATACCCCAAGCCAGATATTTGAAAGTCAGATTGACCTATTTCATTTGTAAACTCTTGAATGCACAGAATAATTGTTATAAGACGCTGATGAGCTTGCAGAGAAGACAAGAATACTTATATACTGTTGGTGAGAGTATAAATTAGTTCAGCCATTGTGGAAAGCAGTGTGGCAGTACCTCAAAGAGCTAAAAGCAGAACTACCATTCCACCCAGCAGTCCCATTACAGGGTATATACCCAGAGGAATGTAAATCTTTCTACCATAAAGACACATGCACGTGAATGTTCATTGCAGCACTATTCGTGATAGCAAAGACATGAATCGACCTAAATGCATATCACTGACAGATTGGATAAAGAAAATGTGGTACATATACACCATGGAATACTACGCAGCCATAAAAAGAATGAGATTATGTCTTTTGCAGGAACGTGGATGGAGCTGGAGGCTATTATCCTTTGCAAATAAATGCAGGAACAGAAAACCAAATACCACGTGTTCTCACTCATATGTGAGAACTGAATAATGAGAACTCATGCACACAAAGAAGGGAACAGACACTGGGGCCTACTTGAGTAGGGTGGATGGGAGGAGGGAGAGGAGCAGAAAGAATAACTATTGGGTACCAGGATTAGTGCCTGGGTGATGAAATAATCTGTACAAAAAACCCCTGTGACACGCATTTACCTGTATAACAAACCTTCACGTGTACCCCTGAACCTAAAATAAAAGTTAAAAATAATTAAATAAAAGATCATTGTTGCATAATTAGAGAAAATCAAATTTGATAAGAGATTTGTTGGAGGAAAATTGAATCAGTGAACATCCCTATATTTTACATCTGAACATTAAGAAAATAGAAAATTGTGAATTACAAAAGTGGACTACATTTATTTTATATGTTATAGAAGTGTATGTATGTTCTGACCAGAAAATTAGTTATAAAACACATTCCACTTTGAGAATTAAAGAATTTTCCATTCTCATTTTAATATGAAAAAGACTTTTTAAAAGTTCTATACTTTAATTTGTAGTATTCTAAGTGTTCAAAATATATCTTCAATTTATGGAGTACAGCAGGTAAGCATTGAATTCTTATCTCTAAAATGTCAAATTTAAGGAATTAAAGGAACGGATTTATTAGTACAGATATCTAAGCCATAGTTACAGAGTATCATTACCTTCACACCTTTGTATATAATAAACTAACCAAGAGTCTTGGCTCTTCAGGATGAAAAAGCAGAAGGATTCATTAGCCTGCCTGAATTTAAAATTGATAGAGCCAGTGAATGCCGCAAAAAATAGTAAGTTGATTTTATTTGGGAAGAGGGAACGATAGTTTTTTTTTTTAATTTCCAGCTTTTAAATTATAGGTTGCTCATTTAATGCTTTCACATTGAGGTAATAAGAAAGCAGTTTTGTGGGCAGAAAATTGAACTTTTTACTGATTTCTGTCACCATGATAGAAGCATTATATATGTGAACTCGGGTTAGATGTTGAGGTAATTTTGCCCGTCAGAATTATTTGGTTCAAACTTATTTCCCAATTTGTAATAAATGTACTTTGTTTCCTTTTGCAGTGCATTCAAAGCCTGTCATCCTAAAATCAAAAGCTTTTATTTTGCTGCTGAACATCTTGATGATATGAACAGGTAAAGTATTTCAGAGTATGTAGAAGGTCAGTGAGGCCTAGAATTCTAAATTTTCTACAGTAATTCTTAGAGAATAATGTCACTGAAGTTTCTAGGTCAATCAGTTTAAAATAAAATAGACCCAGAATAGCTCCATGCAGCCATATCTAATTTTAAAGAACATCATTTAAAAAGTCAAAATAAACTCGTTAAATATTTTTGTCAAGTTTACCAAGACCATATACAGACCCAAAAAAATCTACCACCAAAAAAAGGGGATTTTTTAAGTTCATTTCAATAATATGTCTTAAAATTGACTCCCAGATGGGGGAAAAAGAGATGTCTACCAAAAAATCGGACTTTTTGAAGTACTGAGTATTTTTGACAGAATATTCATCTCAATAATTCAGGCCTAAGAAAAATTAGTATTTCTTTCTGTCACTTTTCATCTTTCACCTGACAGGACCACAACCAACAAATCAGATAGCTCAGTGGTTACTTGGTGGCTCAGGGAAAACTTATATGTACATTTTTTTTCTTTTCTCATCACCTACCACATTCTGCTTCATGTTAATACTTTGGCTTTTATGAATTTTGTGCTTTCTTCCTTTCTCTTTCCTTTCCCCTCTTCCTTTTCTAGAATTATAGAAATTGAGCTTAAGATTCAAAATTTTCCTCCTTTCTATAACTTACTAGCCAGTACATATTACAAATATAACTTGCCTACAGTTAGGGAGAGGCAGCATAGCATCATGGTCAGGAGCATGGACTTTGCAACCAGACTCTCTAAATCCCAGCTCTACCACTTAATAGCTGTACAGCCTTGGACAAAGAACATGACCTCTTCATTCCAATATAGTAATGTCCAATCTATACAAGAGGTGGATGGGGCTAATAACCAGCCCAATCTCAGCTCTACACTGATTAGCTGTGAGACCTTGGGCAAGAAACTGAACCTCTCTATGCTGAGGTATTAGCCCTTTAATAAAGTGAAAATAAGACTGACCCCTATCAGTAAGACTTTTATAAGGAGTAAATAAGCATACATAAAGGACTTAGAACAGTGCCTGCTAAATTATAAGTACTATATAAATGTTTACTATTAATATATATTCCTTTTATATACGTTGGGTTCTTACTCCATCTACCTTTCTCTAAAACAATTGTACCCAGGCATTTTTAAGCACAAAACTGTATAGCTGCATAAATTTGCTTGAACATACTAAATGAACACTTAATGTCCTTTTATAAATAATCTTGTTCTTTGACATTTGGGAATACAAACATGTTTTTTTTTTTTCAAAGCAAGGATATGAATACAAGTAAATGGCAAAGAAAGATGGTGTTGAGAGCACTTGATTAAAACTTTTATTACTAATAAAGGAATTGAGCCTTTCGTATAGTTTCCATAATCTTCTCTTAATTCATATAACTTATCATTCTTGAAATTTCACACCAAGCTATAAAATTTAAATAGTTTTTTCTCCTTGTTCTCAAAATGAAAATATTTATTCACATTCACATGGAGAAGGAGAGGTGTGATACTCCATTTTATGTTTTAATTATTTTATAATTCCACTGTTCTAGTACTTACTATCCATTTTACCATATGTTAAGCTCAATACCCTTGGGATAAATACGAAGAATTTTCATCATGACCACACTGAAATTAAGTGGCATACATGAGCATATCGTATCTTACAAGATGGATGCACTAGAATCCAGCCAACTCCAAGAATTAATACAATGTAATCATTCACAATACATGCTAATTGGGATCTTTTTAAGCTTAGAAGTTGCCTCTTTCAAAGTGCATTTTATGAACTATAAAATCCTTCTTGGCCCTCATTACCCACCCCAAGTTAGCAGTAGCTTCAAAAGGATGCTGATGTCACTGCTCTTTCCTAATATTTTGTGGCTGTATCTGGTTCGGGATATCGCAGAAACTAAACCAAATTTGTGTGGTTCATTTTGTTGGTTTTCTAAGCAATAGGTGAAAGAAAAAAAGTGAAACATTAAAAAGGCCGTCTCCACATTATACATTTAAAAGTGCTGTTTTATGTAAAGCCTGCCATGGCCCACTACAACTTTAAGAATTTAATTGTCCCAAAATACTGAATTTTATTTTAATTTAATTAAAATGGATTTTTATTGTTTTGCTTTGAATTTTGCTTTCTAAAAAATAACCCTATTCCTAATGTCTACTTTCAATGGGAAGATTTTTAATTACTTGTTAATAGAAGGGGGAAAGAGTCAGTGCTACAAATATTCACAGAGGATTAATGATGGGGAGGAACACCCACCTACAGCTTTGTCAAGTCACCTGACTGTTACATAACAGCAAGATGATCTGGGTGTTGGTTTGTTCTATATGTAATCTTTTAAAAGCATGTATCTAAGCCTTCAAGAGATTATATATTTATAAAAATTATTATAATTATATAATGTATGTGATTATTTCATAATTTTTTAATATCATACCTACTTCTTATGAAAATACACCATGTTTCAGAGAAATATATTTTTCTGTTCCTCATTTAAAAAAAACAAATGTAATGCTGGTGGTGACAGGACCTAGTAATTGGTGTTAAAAAGTTATCCTTACATTTAATTTTCTTCTGTAAAATCATACACATATATATATATATATATACACACACACACACACAACAAATATTTATATATGTGTATACATACACATACACATAGAATATTAAAATATCACCTTCTATTTTGAGAAGCAGTAAGTTTGATTGTGAGGTCATTTGCAAAAACACTTTTAGGCACCCCACTACTGTTCATCTGTTTCATCAGAAATAAGCACTGAAACATTAAAAACTGATTTTTTTCTTGTCTGTGTAAAATCTGTGGGGATAAAATAAAACATCATAGTACTCAGGTATTCTGAAGACTTATTTACTGAATTTGTTTGGCCTATATATTCCTTACCATGTCAGTACACATGTTCTTGTAATTGTGATGACTCACCAATTCCTATTTGGTAATTATTATTTATACATTTCTCTCATGGTTCTTTCTCTTATTTCCCTCCAAACACATTATTCTTTGTCAGTTGTGAATATCTCCTTTGAATGTTTGCTATAGGTTCAATATCACCTTACCTGTATTTTCCTATTTTAAAGCATTGGTGATATGGTAAGGTACTGACTGAATTTAGACCTGCTATTAAATATCTTCCTCATAAATATATTGAATAGATTCTAAATTCAATATTGTATCTCTGACCATCTTACCTAAAATAGCCTTCCCTCATCCGCAGCATCTTTGGCATTCTAATTTTCTAACTTGCTTGCTTGTCTGTTTTTAAATAGCATTTGCTACTATTTCACATATGTTTATTTGCATCCCTGTTTAGTGTTTATCTCCGTCACTAAGATATGGAAATCATGAAGGCAGGCACTTTGTTTTATCTCTGTATCCCAGGTACCTGGCACATATAGCTGTTAATAAATGTTGCTTGAATCAGTTGATGCATATGTGTCTGCTTTCATAATAACCTAAAATATTAAATTATAACTGTAACAAGTAAATCAGTAAGTATCTTCTAGTTTAATCCTAAAGGATAAGTTTATCCAAGATAGCACCAACAATTGTGTTGTATTTAGCCCCTTGTGGCTCTACACAGTGGCCTGAGTATATCCACACACTTTCTAAACAATTTTTCTTCAATTAACAAAATTTTTCTTCTTAAGAATAGTTTAAACTTTCAATTGTCTTGTGAAACTTAGTAAATCTAGAGTTAATTGAAGGCAGAAATTACGTCTTATTTATTTCCGTATCCCTAAAACATAGCTTATTGTTCAGCACATAGCAGACACTTAATAAATGCTGTTGAAGTGAAAAATTGAGCAAGCCCCTTTTTAGTTTCCTAATTTATTTCTTAAGGACCTCTTTGTTCTTTACATTTCTGATAAGATGAAATTTCAGTGTTTTTTTTTGTTTTGGTGTGTGTGTGTGTGTGTGTGTGTGTGTGTGTGTGTGTGTGTGTGAGATGGAGTCTCGCTCTGTCACCCAGGCTGGAGTGCAGTGGCACGATGTCAGCTCACTGCAACTTCCGCCTCCCAATTTCAAGCAATTCTCGTGCCTCAGCCTCCCGAGTAGCTGGGATTACAGGTGCCTGCCACCACACCCGGCTAATTTTTTGTATTTAGTAGAGACTGGGTTTCACCGTGTTGGTGAGGCTGGTTTCGAACTCCTGAAATCAGGTGATCCGCCCACATCGGCCTCCCAAAGTGCTGGGATTATAGGCGTGAGCCACCATGCCTAGCCTTCAGTGATATTTTTTAAAGTAGTAAAGATAAGGCACTGGATTAAAATTCAATGATAAATTTTTCTTTAGTGGTATTATCATCATTTTCACCAAAAAGCACCAGGCCAGTCTTTCCCAAGAGTGGTAAGATATGCCTTGTGGTACAAATTTAACCCCTTTTTCACTGCAAATCAACTTAGACTAAATTTTAACTTTGAACTTTTACTAATGATTAGAGTCATTTTTAAAACATTGTCATGAAGTTTACTTCTTGATTTATAGCTTATAATTTTCTGGATGTGTGTGTGTGTGTCTATATATATACCATGCTACTGAATTCATTTGATAATCTTTATTTTATTCCAGTTCTACTCCAGTCTTTTCTTCACTTCCCAAATGTACCTGAGGTGATAATTACATTGTAGGTTTTGCTAAAATAAAGTTAGGTTTTAATTGACCTATTCTTACAATTAAAGCTTAAATTTCCATAGATGCGATTTTGTCTATTAGAGACAGGAATTTCCTCACTTTTCAAGATTCAAGATATTCTAAGTATCTGATGCACAGTTAACACCATTTGGCATAAATGATGAAATATGAGTCACTTCAAAGAATGTGATCTTTCACTTGACAGGGAAGATAAATGTCTTAGGAGAAAAAGTTCTCAAACACAATTTTTTCTTAAAAATATATCTAGATTAGATTATTCCACAACTTAATGACATTAACCATACTAGTGATTCTGGACATATTCAAGCTAGCTTGAAATGTAGGTTTTTCTTCAATTTCTGATTTGGGAAAGTATATGGATTATGGCTCAGGATTGACCAAAGGGAAATTTGCATGTTGTTTAAAGACTTGTGATTAGATAATCTGATAGTGTAAATAGTTGAAATAATGAACATAAGGAGAGCCCTGGTGGGACAAAAGAAAGACAGTAAAACTGTGCTTTGCTTTAGGCAGTCCCTACATTGGCAATAGCAGCACTACAGAAAGAGCAAAGAACTGAGATTTATTTTTAACTTACAATTGCTCATGAAAATACATGTTCAAGATCTAAACAGATGTTAAAATTGTATAAGTTCATTGTGTCTTTGGAAAACCCCATACCCTTGTATTTAGAGACAAGTGTCCGAAGTACTCCCAAGATGTGTTTCCTGTTAGATTGTTAAATAAGCTTAATCAAAACTATGATTTCATAATAAAACTATTATTTTGACAGGCAAGGTCCATAACTTTTTTCCCTCATCAGAATAAATTGAACCTGATACTGTTTAAATATCTCTAAAGGAGCATTTGCTCTGAAGAAACAGAACAGCAGGAATATTTGGAGTACTTCTACATTTGGAACAATAGAATTAATATGGCTTTGGTCATCTCCAAACCCTTTATGTTACAGATATTAACAGCTTTGCCCAAGACTTTTCTATTGAAGTAGCATCTTTGGTATGGGAGCAATTTGTACTATAGCAAATTGTATCTCATTAAAGATTCTATGTATCAATAGTAGCAAAGAACACATCTTATATGTAGGATTATTCCGTATATTCTTAGACATTTTAAAATAAATGTTTCTAGGAAGTAAAATATAAGAAATTAGGTTACAATGTTATTGATTTTAATATTTGTTTTCTCAGGTGGCTTAACAGAATTAATATGCTGACTGCAGGATATGCAGAAAGAGAGAGGATTAAGCAGGAACAAGGTAAAGGAATACTTTTTTAAAATAATTATGTTATACTTTTTTTCCTGCAGTTATCCTATACAGAAATTCATTGCTATCACTTGAGAGAAAATACATGTCAATTTTTGGTTATTTCTCTTCTAGGCACTTAAGTGAGGTTTAACAACTTATATAGATAGGGACTGAACGCTCAAATTTTTGGAGCAGCTAGTGTGGAGTTCTCTCCTATTTGTTACCCCCTCCTCCCATCTCTTTCCTATGAAGAAACAAAATCTTAAAAATGGAAAAAGTCTATAATAGGTCTTATGATTGAACCAAGTCCAGATCCTTAGCAGTGAGCAATTTTTACTATTTAGCAGTTTTATAGACATTTAAGTGGCCTTTTATGCAAAGAAATGAGATGATCTTTTCTTTCTTAAATTTTCTCATTTGGTAATGTTCTTCAGCTCTGTTACTGTGTAACTCTGTGATCTTATGGAATTTGCCTTGGTATTGACCTCAGATTTATGAAACACAGTGTTATGGTGCAGAATTGAAATCTTAAGAACAAAAGCTGTGGTCATCGTTCTTAGGTGGCTTCACATTTCCCAAAGGGTGTTTGTTGTACATCCCTTGGAAACGTAAATAGGTTTTTGAAATTATCTGTTAAAAGAATCCACAGATTGACATACTTATAAACACAAACCTATTCGTAGTTGTGTCTTCAGTGGGCATAGCCAGTTTATTGATGTGGAGATTCTAAAAGCCTTCTGTTTCCTTTTAGACTTAGAGTAAAATCTCAGCCAGGTTTTGTTTTTTTTGTTTGTTTGTTTGTTTGTTTGTTTTTTTGAAGTAACGTCTCACTCCGATGCCCAGGCTGAAGTGCGGTGGCGTGATCTTGATCTTGACTCACTGCAGCCTCGACCTCCCAGGTTCAACGATCCTCCCACCTCAGCCTCCTGAGTAGCTGGGACCACAGGCACACACCACCACAACTGGCTAATTTTTGTTTTTATTTTTGCTTGTTGTTTTTTGTAGAGACGGAATTTTGCCATGTTGCCCATGCTGGTCCCAAACCCCCGGGCTCAAGCGATTCACCGATCTCCCAAAATGCTGGGATTACAGGCATGAGCCATCGTGCCTGGCCTTCAGCCAACTCTTTTTTAAAAAACACCTGAAAACTAAAGTTTTTAAAGATCTAAAGAAGACAGCCAGATCCCAAAACCAGTATGTCAGCAAATGTTTAGGCACAGATTAGTAAATTTTTTCTGTAAAGAACCTAATAATATTTTGGGCTTTGCAGGCCATATAGTAGAGACTATATGTTGCATAGGCCTAAATTTATGGTAAGAGTACTGAAAAAAAATTAGTGTTCCTTTTCAGATTTCTTTAAAAGGAATAAAACAGTTCTCTGCAGAGACTATACTTGCATAGGCCTAAATTTATGGTAAGAGTACTGAAAAAAATTAGTCTTCCTTTTCAGATTTCTTTAAAAGGAATAAAACAGTTCTCTAAAAGTGTTTATAGATTTTTTTCTGATTTGTTAAAGACAAGAATTAGAAGTGTGGGCAATGTACTGATAGGAAAATGAATCTCTGACTCAATTTGCATAAATATAAGGGAGCTTGGTTCTTAGGCTTAACTTCTGTATTTTATTACTTGGCATTACTACGAACCTGAGCTTCATCTTGATTTTAGTGAACTTCCTTTGTACTTGGTATTATATAGCCAAATTTTATTATGGATGAAATAACTGGTAAGCTATATAGTTGTATTGGACATGCAGGTTCCAAAAAGTATTTAGTCTGTGGATTCGTGATGTATTGGTCTATCATGTAAGTAGAGAATCATAGGCAGAAGCTAGTAGTTACAATTTAATGCAACAAGAATCTTGCTAATGCAATACAACCAGAATCTCTGAAATAATTTTGATTTCCACATAGAATGCATGTTCCTCAGTCACTTTATCATAGGTCAGAAACATATTAGACTTCTTACCTCCTGAATGATTAGGTTGCATGGTATTCCATGTAGAAAACTACTAGATGCACATATCTACTTCACCCTTCTGTAGAGTTATTTGAGTAGAGTTATATCTTCTGAGTACCATTCTAAGTAATGAAGATAAGCTTAATACAAAATATAGCTCTTTGAGGACTGGGAATGTTTCTCCACAATGGAGGGACATAGCTGCCAGATACTGTTTCCATCTAAATAGCCAGTATAGCTTAGAAGTGACTCTTTCATTGACTTAAATAAAAATTTAGTGAATTGCTGTCTTTGATTACAGAAGTATAAAAGATGTGGGGTTCTCTTTCAACATCCGTTGTTGTACTTAGAGAAAACAGAGTTACACTTAATTCAGCTGCCAAGATAGCAATTTGGCTAATTGTCTACTGATCATTTTTGTATTTTTTCCAGCTTCAAGACAGACATTCATGACATTATTTTCAGTCACACATAAGGTCTTTTTAAAGCCTTAATCACACACAAAAATGAATGAAATATATTGTATTTCTTCGACAGTTCTAAATGAAAAAGTCTTTTTTTTTTCAAATTATCCTTTTGTGTCAACATGAGAAAATAAAGTAGAAGTTTTCCTCTTCTAGTGTTGGCACTGCTTTTTCATGATTGCTTATAAAATTGCGTATCATTGAAAGAGACATTAAAAGTATCCATTTAATTTGTGCTATATAGACAGCTAAGAAAAATAAATTAATTTGCCATTAGAATAAAAATCAGACTAGTTTTCATCCTCTAAGCAACAGTGTGTCTCTAATTTTCCACACAAACCCAAAAGAGCCTAACTGAAATTTCTATGTAGCCTCTTCTCTGTCATTGCTCTCTCAAAGACACACAGCTTAGTGTAAGAAAAAAAATTAATTTGCAAAGTAGTATTTCAGCCTTTTCTTAGGCAACCCAAGAAAACTTTGGATTGACGATGATTGAATTGAACAATGAGAACACTTGGACAGTGGAAGGGGAACATCACACACCGGGGCCTGCTGTGGAGTGGGGGGAGGGGGAAGGGATAGCACTAGGAGATATACCTAATGTAAATGACAAGTTAATGGGTGCAGCACACCAACATGGCACATGTATACATATGTAACAAACCTGCACGTTGTGCACATGTACCCTAGAACTTAAAGTATAATAAAAAATATATATATAAAAAACAAGAATTCCATCAAATAGTGGGACTAAAATTCTTCCTAATTTAACTGGAAGGAAAAAGTAGAGAAGGAGCCTTCCAAAATCTGTCACTTGTAGTGACAGCTATGGAACCCTTGATAAAATCATGATCATCTCCTTAGTGTGCTAATAAGGACCACTTGAGGTATTAACGCCTTGAAGGCATCAGTGCAAACATCAAGGAGATACTCTGCACAGGTGCCACAGTTCCTGGAAATAGTGGGAAGAATGCTGGCAGGGTGATCTTTCCTTGGCAGGGGCGGGTTTGCTTATTCCATTTACCTACAGGGTGATTTCCCAGTAGTATTTCAAGCTCTCACAAAACTACCAAACCCAGGCCCCAGGACTCCAGATTTTACTTTTCATTGCTGGGCCTTGCTACAAGAAAAACTTTATGTCTAAGAAGAAGAACACCAGGCATTTATTTCTTATGTGATCTAGGTCACACTGTCCTGTCATGCTACTACAAATATACCCAAGAAGATAAGCAGTTCTAATATTTATTGAGTGCTATCAAGATGCAAGGCACTTGAATATGTTTCCTTATTTAGTGCCCACACACACACAACTCTGAAAGGCGGTTATTATTAGACCCCTTTTACAGATAACAAAACAGACTCAGAGAGGTTAAATAACCACCACAAGAGCACCAAGATGGGAAGTGGTCTAGCTAAGATTCGAACCTACACCTGTCTGACTATATAGTTAATGTGTTTTTCCATCAGCATTTGCTGGGTCCGTTTCTGGGCAACTGTGCCAATTCATATTTGAGGGAAAACTTGGTATACTGGCTGTCACTGGCATGAACCAATGGAAAAAAAACAGATATCAAATTAAGATTAACTAGTCTTTGCTTATCTTTTACTCAAAAGGAATAATTAAAGCAGCAATAGAATTTTCAGAGTCTTCGTATTTTGAGGCCTGAATATAGTTGAGAATGTATTTTATTTCCAACTTCCATTGCTGAAGAATTTATGTTCACAATAGCCGGAGGTACATAGCAGGAGGAGATAGGGGGATAAAATGTTCATCAATATACACATCAAACTCTCCTGCTATACTTTACAAAAGAGTCCCAGCAACTTAGTCTCCAGAGCTTTAGGGTAAGGCAGTTTCTTAGTTCAAATCCCAGATCTATTACTTTCTATTTGATATGTAGTAATTTCTTAATGTATGTTAGCTGTAATTATCATTAATATTAATCAGCACTGCAGGGAAACCATATACAAATATTACAATATGGGAATTCGTGGGTGGAGAGGGGTTCCTGTAAATATACGTGCCATGATTGTTCACCTAAATGTGAATATTAGTTAAGCCTTATGATAGTTCTTTTGTGATTTAAATTTTCATAAGAATAAGGAGACTTTTGTTTTAATATGTTTTTTCTTATCATCTGAAATTGATGGATAATACTTCAGGTTTTTTCTTGTAAATCATATAAAGAATAAAACCAGCAGTTACAGGGTGGTTGGAATATTACTGGAACAGATTCCGATTATTAGCCCTTTTGCTGCATTTGACTTACTCTAGTAATTTGAACTTCTCTCTCAGAGTTCTTTCCCCTCCCTCTTGCCTGAGGTCTGCCAAGTCACTTTGTCTAGCTGCTTACATTTGCTACCCTTTTAAGTAGTTCTGGAAGTTTGGAACTTGCAGCCCACATCAGCAGATTTGCCCTTTTGCATTTGGCAAGAATCAGAATTTGCCATGTGTTTCCAAGGAGAGGTGGGAGTATGGTGTTATAGAGATTCATGTCAGCATGAGTCTGGAAACAGTGATTGTTAGATAATCAGTGAACTGAAGCCAGAGAAGAGAATTGAGAGCATTATTTTTAGAGTTGTTTATATCTGTAGAGATCTACAGCAATGTATGTATTGCTTTTCTTTGAATATCTTTAGGATAAAATGATATACCTTTAAGAGGCATCATGTGATGTCATTCATTAACTGAAGCTTCAGAATAATTGGGTCTGAAATCTGAGGTACCCTAAACCTGACTGAGCTCATGCAGTACGTTCTTTTTAACTCTCTAAAATTATGGCTGCATGTAACTGCTTGCTTTAAAAGGATGTTAGAATTAGGTGATTGTACACTTACTTTCTCCTCAAAACTCAACTGAAAATAAAAGTTGGTAGGCCAAGGGTAAGGTAGTGCTGGGGAACATGATGTTGGAACAGAATTTAAATTTCCTTTTTTTAAATGATAGTTTATGTTCGTGAAAATATGACCAGAAACATTTAGTAGAATGTTGACGTATCCATGTCTGTGAATTTTCAGATTACTGGAGTGAGAGTGACAAGGAAGAAGCAGATACTCCATCAACACCAAAACAAGATAGCCCTCCACCCCCATATGATACATACCCACGACCTCCCTCGGTAAGTTAGCAACAAGAACATTACTTATCACCAGATTCTTCTACCTGAAACATCCTTTTGTATGTTAAAAACATATGTAGTAGATTGCATATCAAATTTAAGGTTTCTCAGCGGAAAAGAAAACTGGGAGTCTAAAATCAATAAGCAAATTTTTTTAAGTATACAAAGAATATTTAAGCAGGAAAAACAGTCATTACAGATTCCAGGCAGAATAAATATGTCATCACTTTTATTAACAAAATATACTGTTTGTATGAAGGTAGCCTTCGTGGAGATAATCAACAACAACAAA
Source organism: Homo sapiens (assembly GCF_000001405.40). Lineage (NCBI taxonomy): Eukaryota > Metazoa > Chordata > Mammalia > Primates > Hominidae > Homo > Homo sapiens. Next base: position 21,607,172 of record NC_000023.11, read on the forward strand.
AAAGTTTTCTTAGAAAAAGGTATATAAAATGACCTTATCTATTCCACACTAATAAAGTGTATTCCTATGTCCTTTAGAATGAACTCATAAAAATTAATATTATATCTATATTGAAGATATTTTTGCATGTAGCTTTTTCAGCAGCCATGGGACCTGGTTTAATGTATATGTTTGTATGGTGTGTCAGACAAATCTCTGTAAATTACTCTGTGTATAGACTGTACTTTGATCTTTTAATAGGGTAAACAGCTGGTTTACTTGGGACTGTCCCACTTTATGGCCCTTTCCCATCAGAATTACCAAGAGTGTCTCAGTAATGTTCCAGTTTAGACAATAATATTCCATGGTCAGGCCGGGCATGGTAGCTCACGCGTCTAATCCCAGCACTTTGGGAGGCCAAGGCGGGCGGATCACTTGAGGTCAGGAGTTCGAAAGCAGCCTGGCCAACATGGTGAAACCCCATCTCTACTAAAAATACAAAAATTAGCCAGGCATGGTGGTGGGCACCTGTAATCCCAGCTACTCGGGAGGCTGAGGCACAAGAATCGCTTGAACTTGGGAGGTGGAGGTTGCAGTGATCCAAGATCACACCACTGCACTCCAGCCTGGGCGACAGAGTGAGACTGTGTCTCAAAATAATAATAATAATAATAATATTCCATGGTCACATTGCCATAAGAAACAATTCTGCCTATCTTGGGACTAAGTCTTCCACATAGGAAATAGAAGCTGGATTTAGGTGACAACAATAGCTAACCTAATTCCATCTCAGTATTACTCCAGGGGGATAATTCATATTTTCTCTCTTTTTCTAAAACGTCAGGATCTGGACAATTTCTTTAAAATATCTATAAAAGAGGAAGAATAGGAAACAGCATCTTCACTGAACAGCTACTTAAACATGGCAATTTGTGAATTTCAAGAAGAAAACTATTCATATTATTATTAACATGTGGGAAGGTAACTGACTGCCCGCAGAGGATGCCAAGTAACTTCTCCTCCTTTACCAGGAGGAGTGGTATGCAGCTTCACCTCAGTCCGGTGTGTCCTGGCTGCCACCTCAGCCCTGTTTGTGATGATCACATTTAACAAATCAGGCTCGACCTGGGCCGGTGTGTTTGTTAGTCCCCAGAGCTAGAGTAAGGCTTGTGGCAGTAGAGGTGCCTGCAACTATTTCACAGTGTTCACTTGATGCCAGTCCTTTTTCTGGTTATGTTTTGTGCTATAACATATAGTCCCAAGCTTTAAATTCCAGGGATAAAAATTTTCCATTTTTCTTTTATATTTATGTGCCCTGCAGTATCTATGCTCAAGGCTAATGGTAATCCCTAGCAATGTATAGTCTCATCCTGCCTAACATTTTTAACCCCATAGAAAGTAAGACCATCAGACAGCTTTTCTCTGGCACCCATAGGAGCAGACATTCTCCTATGAAGAAAAGGAAGGGTTCTTTCTGTTTATAGGCAGCCTATCCTCATATCCAAAAGACTCTCTCCTAGTCCCCAAGCCCAAGCTACATGAAATCAGGAATATGAATCCAGGGACAATACTTCTTCAGGATCTGAAAATGTATAGTTTTTAAAGTGAAATTTTTGTAGTTGCTGAATTTTCTTATGTAAGCACTAACTCTTATACTTGCATTGTTGTAAAATTTTGCATTAATATGTCAGATTTTTCATGAGACCTTGGTATAGCCGCATTCCAATACATCCATGTCTCTGTCTCTTAAAATGTAAGCTGGGGCCTAACTTTGAGATGTCTGCAAACTTGCCTAGTCATTAACATGACTACGTAAGAGTTCATCTACTTAAATATTACCTGGTAGAAACCGAATGTGTTCCTTGGAATGGAAGTGGTCTGTTATTTTGGCACAGACTAATCAGGGGCTCCTTTCTACAGATGAGTTGCGCCAGTCCTTATGTGGAAGCAAAACATAGCCGACTTTCCTCCACGGAGACTTCTCAGTCTCAGTCTTCTCATGAGGAGTTTCGCCAGGAAGTAACTGGGAGCAGTGCAGTGTCTCCCATTCGCAAGACAGCCAGTCAGCGCCGCTCCTGGCAGGATTTAATTGAGACGCCACTGACAAGTTCAGGCTTACACTATCTTCAGACTCTGCCCCTGGAGGATTCTGTCTTCTCTGACTCCGCGGCCATCTCCCCAGAGCACAGGCGGCAGTCTACCCTGCCAACTCAGAAATGCCACCTGCAGGATCACTATGGGCCATACCCCTTAGCTGAGAGTGAGAGGATGCAAGTGCTAAATGGAAATGGGGGCAAGCCTCGAAGTTTTACTCTGCCTCGAGATAGCGGGTTCAACCATTGCTGTCTGAATGCTCCAGTTAGTGCCTGTGACCCACAGGATGACGTGCAACCCCCAGAGGTGGAGGAAGAGGAGGAGGAGGAGGAGGAGGAAGGGGAGGCAGCAGGGGAAAACATAGGAGAAAAAAGTAAGTATGTTTCTGGAGATTCTTAGCCTGTGTACACAAAGTCCTGACCTTTTCAAACTTCTTATTTGAAGAAAATAGAACCTTGCTTCCCTTTTTTCTTAAAATAATAGTATTGCTATATAGTAAGTTAGGTCTCCCTTGGTGACCTACTTTCAGAACTTCAGTAACTTGGGAAAACATGATGAGTAATGAAGCTTATAATCTCAAGATACCCACAGCTGGAGCAAATAATTTTTTTCTCCAACTAGCCATTTGCCTTTTAAGGTTAATGGTGTTTTTGTTTTCTTCCTTCTCTTATCCACTTTATTCTCACTTGCATGCACCATCTCACTGGCCCACAGTGGTTGCCCCCTGAGTTGGGTTAAGAAACTATAAATGTTTCAAGCAGGTTGTTAGCAGAGCCTTGGTTGAATAACTGAGTATACACACACACCCACTCACATCTATACATATACATATTTATCTTCCCTTTTTATTGTCAGAAGATTTAAAGGAAAAATCCAAAAGATAGTTTTTCCAAGGAGAGATTTCACATAGCATTTCTTTCAACTCCAAATAGCTGAATTTGTTTCTAGAAACCAATTTTCCAAAAGCATCCATCTAATTTCTTGGTATGTGTGTTGATCGTAAAGCTCAATTTATGTGAATCAACTCTTATAAGAAAAGTCAATGAAGTAATCCTCTGCCTTGTTGACATTAAGAATATCTTTACTAGTTATTAAGTTCTTTATTCAACATGCCATACCAAGCCTCTGTTTATTACTAACATGACACATCAGTCCAGAAACCCAGGCTGGTTTAAGGGAAAGGCTGTAACTCAGTTATTTTAGTAAGAAAGAAAATCTAGGTTTGGCTACAAGTCCTGAACATAAAATGCACAAAACAAAATATATAGAAGAAATAGTATAAAACTGTTCACATCTCTTTATTCAAAATGCAGTCTGGGCCAATTAGCGCAGATAACTTGAGCAAATGGTGATGAAATCACAGTTACTTGTTTGGTACCCCTAGGGCAATAGACTTCTCTTTTTAAAAAGATGAAAGCAGAGTGTAGCCTTCAGCCCATTTTACAAATATATGGGACTTTGATTACAGAATATATTAGTGTAAGTTCTTCATCACAAATGGAAAAATATCTCAAAGTTCACAGATTACCAACAGGTCAAGAGCCCCATGTCAGTGTCAAGCTTGGCTCATTTAAAATGGTAGTCTCTTTGGAAATGACTGACAAGAAAATACAGTGGACCTCCCTTTATGGTGTGGATCTTCATTGCATTATTTAATATTATCTCATCTACCAACAAAATATAAGAATTGCTTGTAATAAAATTCATATGCTGTGGCAGTTTCCATGTGAAGTATATTTTAGCCATAATCTCCATGAGAAACATTATAAAAGGTACGTTGTTAGTACAGGAAAAGTAATTACCATTCATTACTTGCCAAGCCCTTTCAACATTCACATCTATCAGAGTTTATGGAAGAAATATTTAGGAGCCATGTTAGTCCTCTGCAGGAATTCTGGCAAGCATAATAATAATGTTTAATATTCTAAAGATTACTAAAATTAATAAATTGTCTTCTAAAATTTAAAGATGAGTTAGAAACTTCATTTCAACTGTCATTCAGGTACTACACAACTGCTGTGACTAAGTATGTGAGGTTTATTCTTTTACAAACATTGGAGAAAACACTTTATCTCAGCCATTTTAAGATAAACTGTGTTGAAATTAGGCACAGCCCTCTGAAATAGAGAATTCTGTTCAGAAAACATTTCATCATTCCTACAGGTTAAGTCACTAATGTTGTCTTGTTTTGAATAAGCTAGGCACTTAACAGTTCATCCTGGTCATTGAATAAGGGAAGAGTAGAAAGAAGCAAGCGTGTCCTAAGACATGAAGGGAAAATATGGCACCATGCTTGCTCATTCTTCAGGTTTCCAGTAGTCCACAGAGCACTTCTAGTTAGATAGCTTTCAATTTTTTTCTTCTAGATTATCTTTTTTGTTGTTTAGTGGATTGGATTTTTTAGCCAAATAGATGCACTCCTAAGTTGGTTGGGTTTTTTCTTTACATTTCAGATGAGTTTAGTGGGTAGTTATTCAGTGCTTTCCATCTTTTTCAGTGGGCTCTCTGTAGAATAATTGTTATAAGATAGAACAGACCTAGTAAGTGTGTCAGTAAATTTGGTATTGTACTTTTTGTCTTTATGGTTCAATATTGTGGGATGTTTCGTGCTATTTCAGTCAGATCTGCTTCACTGAAAGTGGCCTTGCACTGTCTTTCAGGCCCCATTTCTTTCTGGGTATTTTTTCCATAAATCTTGCCACTTGATTTCTCCGTGTACTTCAAACTGTTCGTAACAGAGTAGTGCATTCATCCTTTCCTGGAAGATGCTTATTATTCAATGAAATGTATGTTTGTTCTAATGATGGTTTTCTGCATTGCTATTTCTAATATTTAGGAGTGGGCAATTTGATGAACACCTTATTCAGGAAACATCAGCTTTAAAAACCAGTGTTTTCAAAAGAATCTTTAAGGTCTAGTTATGGGATGTCATGTTCATGGCTTCCCTGGATTGACCATTAGGAGTAAGTACTCAGGCTGCTTGTTCAAATCAAGCTGTCTGGTGTTATGTCAGCAGAGCAAAAATTATACACGGAAACGAAGCTGTGGCCATTACATCAGCCTTAACGTCCTGTACATGTCCTCCAACACAGAGCGCTTACTGTGCTGCCACACAGTTCAGCAGGCAACCTGTGCTTTTAAAAATCAAAGTCCAACAGCAGTGTGTTACTTACTGTCCTGCTCCAGGCCAGCATTCAGTTTGACCTCCTGAAGTGAATTGTAGTCATCAAGTACAGAACTGCAGAGGAAATAAGTTTAATGTCTAGTTCCAAACGTTTTTCTCAGTTTGCCAAGAAATTAAAAATAGGAAGTATCAGGTGGCCAAAAGAAATAATGGAAGAAAACATGAAAATATAGTCTGTCATATGCTTTAAGGGTGAAGAATTATGTCATCAACCAAACCTCTTTCTTATCATTTACGTTTTATCTTACCTTATATCACAATATATGTTATATAGTGCTTATGAGCTTACAGAGCAATCTAAGAAGCAAGATATACCTAAATCCATGCCTTAGCTGTTTTTCATTTTCCTTATGGGTATGGAATTTGGCCCTGCTTATAAAGTATATATTTAGCCTTCCTTAGAACAGACTTCAATCTGTGTTCTCGTAGTTGAACTACCTTTTGCCTTATTTTGAAATTCAATTATTTAACTGAGTCATACTGTGATTTTCTTAGGCTGAACTCATTTTAGTCTGAAATGGATGGTACTAAAAGTACACAAATGAGACCTGTCTTGTTTTCCTTTGACTGAAAAGTCAGCTTGCATATTAATTGTCTTGACCTGCTTCACTGACATTTGAGAAAAGACAAGTAATTTCCTGTTATCCCAATTAGCAGTTTCAAACCTTACCTGGTATGGACATTATAAGACATCAGCTAAATTAACTTACAAATTATGTCATTCTATGCACCTTTAAAGGAATATAAATTATGAAAGTATGGGACAAAATATGAAGATATATTTCATTCAGAAATAATCTGCCATAACATTAAAATACTATTTTGGTTAATACAGCTTGAAGTCAGCTTAGAAAATCTCGCTTTCCTTTGCCGTATGTACTAGCCAATTCAGATGAGGTTTTGAAAACCATTATCCCTTAATCCTGCTGATTTTCCCCTAAGCAATTATAAGGGAACTCTCCTGGACTCTTGATGCCTTCATTTACTCGGTGAAGTCATGATGTCCTTTATCATTGTCTTGAAGATTACCTACCAGTATTCTCACTTAATTTACACGTATATGTAGCTTGGGCTTAGAAATCTAAAGCAAAACCTAGGTCTTTTAAGGGGGAATAAAATCTATTACCTTGGAGCCACTGTACACATTAGATTATCAGGCTGAAATATTATTGACACTTTCAAAATGAGATCTGCTGAGAAATATATTTTAAGGTTATTTTTAAAAATCTAGACTGAGTTTTGTGGCTCACGCCTGTAATCCCAGCACTTTGGGAGGCCAAGGCGGAGGATCACTTGAGGTCAGGAATTTGAAACCAGCCTGGCCAACATGGCAAAACCCTGTCTCTACGAAAAATACAAAAATTAGCCAGGCGTGGTGGCACATACCTGTAATCCCAGCTACTAGGTGGCTGAGACGGGAGAATTGCTTGAACCCGGGAGGTGGAGGTTGCAGTGAGCCAAGATCATGCCACTGCACTCCAGCCTGGATGACAGAGCAAGACTCTGTCTCCAAAAAAAAAAAAAAGAAAGAAAGAAAAAAAATTAGCCGGTCTTATAACCTGCTCTATAAATAAACAAAATAAATAAATAAATAAGTAAAAAATCTAACATTCTTTGTACACTATTAATAACTTAGGAGCTGTGTAGAATATGCCACTCAGTAGCCTAAAATCTTAAATTATTAGGGCATAGGGGCTAGATTATGAGTACAAATACAGAGCAGAAGATACATTAATTCTTGTCAATCATTTTAAGGGTCCTATCTTCATTTCCTGAAGATTTTCTAAAGGTCATGAATTCTATTTTTAAGAACATTAAAGTAGGAGATATGTAGACAAGGAGAAGGTATTCCCAGAATATGAAATTGTATTGAAGGAAGAAAAGGAACAAGTTGAAAATAAAAATGTTGCAACACTTCTCACTTTTTTATTATCAAGATAAATTATATACACACACAAATAATTTTAAAGAGCATAATCATCATTAATATCTTAAGTTATAGTTCATGTCTAAAGGGAGTAGATGGAGAAGGATATACACAGTGTGAAGAAAAAGACATGATAAAGTCAAAGAAAAAATGGCAGAGAACCTTAACTATATCACTTTTGTAAAGTTGAGCACACCATCCTTGGCTGATTATATAACAAATATGTATTTAAAAAAAACAGAAAAACCTAGAAAGTAGTGAGAAAATTATTTTAATATATTGTCTGATTTTGAAGAAATACTGTTAGGGAGACATAAAACACTGAAGATTAGCTATAATTCTGATACTGGTTATAGGTTAGATTTTTAATTACACCTCCATTTTTTGGCTAAAAAAATGAGAGAAAGTTATTAACTTACAGGAAGTTCAGAGGTGGGGTTGTTCTGGGGTGAATTTCATGGCTTACCAATGTCAGGACTCTCCATTCATTTTTCTGTAATGCAAGAGCTCCAAGCATCATTTCTCATGAGACAGCATTCAAAAAGCCAAAGACCAGGCCCTATCTTTAGTCCTTTCTATAAGACCAAGGGAAACTTTCCATGGATCCTTCCAGCAGACTTATACCCAGATTTCATTGCCAAGGTTGCATCACATGTGCATGCCTAAACAAATGACAAGGGAAATGGAATGATATGAACAGTTTAGACTAACCTTGATTTGTTTTTATGGTGATGAGAAAGAGAAATGTGCAAAACTGCTTATCATTACTTTCTGCATGAGCAGCTCTATTACTGTGTATGTTTTGTCTTCAAATTATATTTGTTCAAGCAGTGTTTCACTTTTTAAATATATATATGCACATGCATAGCCCAGATCACATCACCTTACTTAAAAATTTTGGCTCTATTGAAATGTTAGATATATAAATGAAGTAATAAGTATTATGTAACCCTGAAAATGTAGCAAGTTTGATATAATTATTGTTGCTCATGGAATGAATAAGCATGTTTTCCTATAGACAATAAGTAATCCTAGCTTAGAATACAGTCTCTGGAGATATTCCTCAGTTCAAATCCTTGCTTTGTCACTGTCCCACTTACAACTGGTATGATTGATCAAGTTATTTAACACCTCTAGACCTCAATGTCTTCATTGTCAAATCATATGGTAATAATACCTAGCTTTTGAGGTTGTGTGAGTATTCAATGAAGTGATGTCAGAAAGCACCTTAGATCCATATGTGACACATTATAAGTCTGTCCAGTAAATGTTATATAGATTTTATATAATTATATAGGTTTTATATTTGTTTCATTTATAGATTGATATAATTATATAGATTTTATGTAGATTTGTATTAAGGCAAAGCGGGCAATTACAATACTTAAATAGTGAATTAGGCCTGGCAAACCTCATTAAGTAATGTTTACTACATGTCCTATCTTTGTTCAGTTCTAGCCATTGAGTTGAACCATACGAAATGTTGCTTTTGTAGGTCAAAATGATGAAACATTAGCAATTTTGTGTGTTTCAACCTAACATATTAGCTGCGTTCTAGGAGTAAAATAGAAATGTTCCTCATTTCACATTCCTATCACTCACTACTCCTTTCCTTTTTGACTTTGGACATTTGGGAACTCAAAAGAAACCTTGCATTCCAAATAGCAATAATTGTATCAGATATATTTACTGAAATGTTTATTTATAGATCTTGTCATTTGGGTCTCATTTCAAATATTTTCCCCTCAGAGATCCTTTCCTGACAACCCAGTCTGACCCAGATGCCCACCACCACCATTCATCCTCTTGTATGGTTACCCTGTTTTATATTTTTCCCAGCTTTATCACTAGGAGTATAATATTAAATATTGTTCACAGATTTATTTTCCATCCCTACTACCAGAATTTAAGCTTCTTAAGAGCAGGGATTTTATTCCTGTCTTATAGCACCTAAAACAGTATATGGCCCATAGTAGCCCAGGCACTATTGAAAGAATGAATGAGTGAATGAATGAGTAATAGCTAACCCCTTTTGTTACTAACTTCCTTTCAATTTTATTATTTATAGAGCTAAAGTTATTTTATCCAACATATGACATAAAACAAATCAAAACATCGCAGAATTCCTCATTTTTGGTATTTTGTCAAGGAAAAGCCAGGACTACATGTGTTCAGCATACCCTCTTTATGCTGGAGACCACAAAGCTGGGATGCTGATAACTAGAATTACTGCTCCTCACATTATGGCTGTTTTATGGTCACATTCTCTATGATTGAAACCATTTCCTCCTGTTTCACTGCCATTTCAAAAATGAAGGCCACAAAAATATGACATCTGAAATAACTAGTTCATTGTCATAAATCAGTTAGAAACCAGATCTTCCAGCTCTCTTAGGCAGTTGTTCTTCCCACCAAAATCCACTGCCTGTAGAAGGAAGGAAAACTCAAATCACTGCCAGTGCTTGGTTAACACTCCTAGTCGTCCATTACCTAGCTTCATCTTAATTAGTTTGTAAAAAGTGTTGAAACTGCAACTTGTACTTTGGCAAATAACCAGTAGCCCTGCATCAGCCAGGAAAATAATCTCAAAAGTGTTAGTAAGTAATGACATCAGATGTAAATGGCAAAAGAAGGAATTCTAAATGCTGTCAAGTCACAACAGCAGAAGATGTGGCCAGAAGAGAGCTAATGCTCACACAAAACAATGTCAACCCCTCACTAGCATAGGTAAGGCAAGTTATGATTTATGTTATGTTATTTTTTTTTACTGAGAGAGATTATTAGATTCAGCCACACTGTTATCTGCTATTATTTTCACACATCAAAAAAAAGCAAATCACTTCTCTTCAGCTCAATAATAGCATATTATTCATTTCTCCATGGAGTACCTTCTAGCTTATTGTATAAAAACCTATCATTCTCTTTTTACCTTGCTCACCCTTGCCAGAGAAGGCCGAAGGTCACAAATGCCTCATTTTTGTCCCTCAGCATAAACAATTTACCTCCTATGGTTGGTTACCAACTACCAGAAGATGGTAGATTATGATTTAATATGATTGCACCATAAAAATATCTTGGAGATTTTTTAATTACCCTATTTTTGTTGTGTAATTCAAAAGTAATAACTTGCTTATTGCAAAATAAATAAAAAGTACAGTGATGAAAGTGCAAAGCCACCTTCTCTTTTCTTTACTCTCCAAAGTTAACTACTGTCGAAAGTTAAGGTTTTAAAAATCAATTCTGGCATGAATTTATTTTCCTTATATATCTCTATCTTGTAACTCAGTGTGAGTTAGGGATATGAAGGATGGTTTAGTTGATTATCAGTTAGAGTTCCTCTAAAACTTTTTTGATATGGCGTTAGTTTATAATGTAAGCAACAGTCCTGTGAAATAACTTACGTAGCACCTTAGAATCCAGCCCAATCCCAAAATTTATTACTCTAGAAAATGTAGCAGTTGACCTTTTCAAAAACAATAGGAGAAATATGAGAAGAAAGAAATGGCATTGGCTGTATATGCACACTCACTCATACACTGCCCCCCCCACAAACACACCCCCCCACACACACACCCCGACTCATACATCAGAAGTTCTCTTGCCTACTTGCCTAATGCCTTGATGCCTTATGGATTTTGCTGAGCTTTCTTTATGAAGATCTTCCAGTACTTTCAGTTTATACCAAAGCTCTGTGATGAAAGAGCCAAGCCAGAGCCAATTAGAAAAAAAATTAGCAAGTCCAGCCTTCAAAAGGCAGAAAGCAGAACTTGGATATGGGCTTCATAGCCACTGAGTCTGGTGACCAGTTTACCTACGGATTTTAGCTTCAAGTTATAAAACACTGAACTTTCTACTAAACAATCTCTCCTATTTCCAGTGTTCTCACTAGTTTCATACTACTAGCCACTCAGACTTTCTTATGCCGTGCCGTAGGTACATCTTGGCCTAATATTTGGTCTTAATAACATAATCTATTACACTCTAAAATTTGTCCTTTAATGGGAAAATATTCCCACTACTATGTCATTCAATAAGGAAAAAGTGCCCATTATTATATTTTTAAGTGGAAAATTTGATCTTAAAAAATTAATAGTTAAACCTCATACTTGAAAACTTAGAGCAGCTTCTTGTCTCAAGAATGACAATTTTGTATATTTTTGTTTTTATTACAAACACAAAATATGCCAATAAAATCAACTTTCTGGGTTATTTCACAGACATTTTTGGAATACTTGAAAATAAGAGTTATAGTTGTGTAAATCACTGATTGACTTCAGAGCTTTTAGAGCCACAAACTCTTTAACATTCTTACTCTTAGATTTTCTGACATTTCAATATCTAGATTTAGCCAGCTAAAATGCAAACTAAGTCTCTGTATCGTACATATGGTTTGCTGTATCAATATATAATTCAGTTAATTCCAAACATGCATTCATGCATTCAACATGCATTTGTTTATTTTTCTACACACAGGGTACCATGTTAAGAGCCTGTCTAGCTCTTCCATAAGTCTACTTACAACAGAAATGTGTAAATTATTTTTAATAAATGAGATTTTTTCTTTCTGATAACATGAAACACAGAGAGTAATTCCAAATATGCAACATCTTTGTTACCTTATACCAGTAATTTTCCCTAGTAACCAGTTTATAATTTTATAAAAATTATTCATTGAGAGATGGTGCAAGATATTTTATTTTTATGTTAATTACTTATCACTTATGCAAAATTTATAAGACTAGTTAAAATCAGATGAGATCACTTAAAGAGCTATTTCTGATTCAGCTTATTCCTTAAACATCATGGTTGAGGAATATGCATTCTGGTTACCCAGTTGTACTGATTAACACAAATCAGATGTCTAAAAATCAATGAACTGAACTTCATATTATACTGACCATAGATTAATGTTTCTTTTTATAATTGAGAAGGCACTTCTTAATGTTACACTATAATCATTGTAGAATTTTATTATTGGAAAAGCCTATTAATATAGGGAATATTAGCAGAGCATTAAATACAGAAAATTGTATTTTGAATGTCTATTTTAGGGAAATTTGAACCTTAAAATTTTAAATAGTTTTTCATTTCCTTCCACATTTGAAATCCCTAATCTTCCATGATTTTGAATCTGTTACTTTTACTGCACTATTTCTCTTTTGATAAATCATCCGTAGAATGTATTTACTTAATGCCTAAGATCTATTCACTTAAGACCTCCGAATTTTCTCATCTATGACTTTATTGGCTATTTTCGTTATAATTTTTTTTTAATTTTTGTTGTTGTGGCCCCTCCACTGCTCCATGACTGAATTTAGTTTATTCTGTAACTTACGAAATGGACACTGTAAAGCATACACCTTGAGATTCTTGGTGAGAGAAAATAGCCCATAACTTTGATGTCACTAAACTTAAACTGTACACATTTTTTTCCTATCATCTCTAATGTTTTCTCCTGTTCTTTAGCAATGCCAACACACATGGGTTCACATGCCTTTTCTTAAAAAAAGAAAAGAAAAGAAAACACACGGGGAGGAGGGACAGCTGGAATCAGTGTGGCTTTAATATAATACATAAGCAAAATCTGACAATAAGCCCCACCCCTCACTTTGAATTCTGTTATCTTTTTAAAATCCTATGTAGTTGCTGGGCTGCCTTCTCTTTATTTAGCATCTTGGGTTCTTAGATTCATGATGTGCTTTTATTGACTTAATTAAAAGGATTTTGCCTCAGCACTAGAGGTAGGCAAGATGTTTATCATTACAAAAGTAATTCCGTAGAAATACTGAATAGCTTTGCTGAATAAGTAACTGAAAAGGTGCCTTAACTGAATGCTTCTTTAAATTTTTAAGCATCTTTTTTTAATGTGTCAGTGGTATCTCTCTGGCAAATGGTAAATCACTGATTTACTATTAAAGATGCTTAAATTTGTAAGCATCTTTTTTTAATGTGTCAGTGGTATCTCTCTGGCAAATAGTACAGTACCTATTTTAAAATGTTTTATGTTAAGAAAAAGGGTTCATTTAAGAGATGAATTGTTTTTAACTGGGCTTGGCATGGAAAATGAGTCATGCTGTATGTAAATATGCATATAGCCCTCTCACCATAGAACTTAGAGTTTTGAGGCACTTATCTTCACTTTCTACCCAAAAGAGAAACTTTTGCATATTTTAAAAATTGTTATTGAGCCTCTGCTTGAATATTTTAAAGACTCGGAACTCCCGCCTCCAAAAGCAGGCATTTCATGTTGAAGAGCCTTACTTACAGAGTTCTTCCTTGTATTGATACAAAAACAAATTTCTGCCAAACTTTCTACTCATTGTGGATCTTAAAATTGCAAATTAGAAAAATGCAGAGCAAGCATTTGAAAGCCTATCATGTGGAAAGATGGACAAGATAGTCTTTGAAGTTCCAGAGAACATAGTAGATAAAGGGCACAAGGAGGCTGATTTTAGATTGATATGGAAAAAAAATCCAGTTTTTGCAGGTTTATAACTTACGAGTTTAGTGGGCTCCTCATTACTCGAAGTGTTTAGGAAGAGGCTGAATAACCAGCTACCAGCCAGGAATTCCCAAGTTAGCTGGAAAGTTCAACCTGATGGTTTCTTCCAATTCTAAAGTTTTATAGTTCTCTTCAGCATAATGGTCTTGCCCTTTGCTCTCACCATATGCCTTGCACATTGTATATATCTCCAAAACTCTAAAATGGAATTGTGTTATCAAACATAATTTGTGTTGTCTCTTCTTGAGGTGTCTTTATGCCTGTGACACATGAGTTCTAGATAACTCATCATCCTGGCTACCCTCATCTGGACTCCTTGTTTCTTTATAGAGTCCCCATGCTAAGTGTATTGGAACTATTACAGTGATCTAGACACTATACTTTTGTTAACATGATTACATTAGTTTTAACCTGCTCACTGTTGGCTCATATAATGCTTTAATGTTATCAAGTGATAAGCATTCCACTTACTTTATTTTTTAATCTAAGTGCAGCTATTTATATTTATTTCTGTTAAATTTTTAATGTCTCATGTTTCACCCAAAGTATTTGACTCTGTTACAAAGTTTAGAATCTCAGTTTTATCATGTATGATATTACTCATTTCTCTTATCATTTAATAATCCTCCAAAATTCTAAGCACCCTTTCTGTGTTTTTAACTGATTCATCAAGGAAAGTACATTTTTTAAGAAAACATTTTAAGGAAGAAAAGACCAAGGACAGAGATTTACAGCATTAAATTTTAAACTTTTTGTGTTAATTTTATTCAGTCATTCAAAGTCTTTATATAGATCCACCTAATAGTAATGTCATTCAGCCCATATTACAGTATCTTTATTCATAGGGTATCAGGTAAAATTTCATCTTATGTAAGACACACTGCCCAGGGTTTTCCTCTTCCCTTCCAACTTAGAGATACTGTCCCCAAAAGAAGTCATTTTAAAATGCTTCATTTTTTTATTAAATTCATATTGGTTTGTCAAACGAAATTAAAAAACAAAACGCCACCCACTCATCATCTATTTTTACAAATTTATATTTATATCAGGTTTATCAATATGTTCATTGGAGAACTCATGCTTTGTTTGTTTGGATAAGAGGGCTCTTAAGATTTAAGCATTAAGTCTTATGGAATGCTGACAGTAGCCCTAAGATAATTTCCAAAAAGTTTATTCACTTGCTAAGATTATAACCTTCTAGTTTAAAGGAACCACAGAGTGGTTCTTAGTAGTCCCTTGTCTCCAGAAGCATTTATGTTTTAATGCCCTAGTTTGAAGACTTTTTCTCTTGCAGGAAAAGCCTAAATTGTCATTGAAGGCATTATAGTTCTACTTTTTATCATTGATATTTTCTTAATTTTTCTTTACAAAAGCTTTGTATCTTCAGTTTTTTCATAAGCTTCAGCTGAACATTTGCCTTTGTGGAGCTCTTCTTACAAACAATTGGTATTATTTTCTACTTGTTCATTTCTCGTAGCCTCTTATTCTATATTTTATAGAAATCCTCCTTAAACTAAGGCTTGTTCTAAAGAAGTTCCTTGTAACTACCTTGACTTCATCTGCATCTCCTTTCCCTCCCTCATTGGGACAGTTTACGTTTGTATTACTGGAATTTAATTTTTTAAAAGTACTGATCATTAAAACTTTCCATTTGTCTTTGTAAAGTTTTAAAATCATATCTTTAATAATCTAAGGTCCATATCCAGCTATGTGTTCTTTCTCCTCACCACTAGAAGAAAAAACAAAAGCAAAATTACATAATGTGTTTCTTTTAGTTCTCTTTGTGCCATAAAAGTTCTTCCCTGTTGTTCAGCATTAGATCCCAAATAGATTCCAAATATTTCTTTGTATTTCTGAAACATGAAACCATCAGGGTTTAAATGCATGCAGTAATTACTTACATGTATTGATCTCATTTTCAATGCATTAAATCCTATAATTAGTATATTGATGGCTTGACCAGAAAATATTGAAGTTCAGGTTATATTATTTTATATTTTTTCATCTTCAGAAGATTTTATAGAAATTGATTCAACTTTTAGCCTACAAATAATAGGAAACATGACACTATAAAAATTAGGTGACTTCATTAGGACAATTTACAATATTTTTAAGCCTGTGTTCTTGCATGCCTCAGTCAATACCAGAATATGTTTGTATAGAGTATTGGAACCCTACAGACCTGGTTGGACTTTTACAGATCTAGTAAGAGTAAGAAAATAAGAGTACCATAGATTTCTAATAGTTTGTTTTTGTTAGATCCAAGTCCTAACCCTGATCAGCCATATTCTTTAGTCAACTGTATTCAGTGGCTCCTAAGAATTATCATTTCTATACTATGCCCCAGTTTACATTCTTTATAAATAATAGCTTCAAATTACAGAAACAAGTTGCATTCAGACTTCTTCATTTTAAGCCCTTTTACCTAAAGTAATAATGACTTGGTAGTATAAAACTGTACTACCAATTTCTGCTCTAAAGAGCTTATAGAAATTGGGGTGATATTTGAGTATTTGTTTATTAGATTATCTTGCTGTAATCTATCTAGTGCAAGATACTTGCTGCCTGTCTGTAAAAGAAAAGTATGTTTGTTGAAGGTAATCTCTTCCATTATATTTTTAGAAAATACATAGTAACATTTCAGGATGTATGGTTTAATGAAGAGTGGTGTTGCACCACATTGTTGATGCTCCTTGATATTTTCACACATAGCCAGTGATATACCTCTCCCAACTGAATAATTAACATAGCTGATTGTAAAAATAAACAAACTTGATTTAGCCCTTCAAAATTTATTTGCCTGTAATTCACTGAGCTTATACGTATTAAACAAAACATATAATAGGTACTTCATTGTCATGGAACCCAAACTAAATAAGTATTAAATAAAACTCATTCACGGATTTATACCTTACAAAATACTGCATATTGTCAGAAGAAGAAAGGCATAGGTGTCCAAAAATTGGTTTCTAATTAATTATAATATGGATAATTTTTTTAAAAATTGAATAACTTTTTTACAATTCCAGCCAAAATTTAGCATGTCCTCCATTATATGGAGCAGTGAATTTAAAAATTACTTTCATGGTTTTAGAGTTTGAGACAGCCAAATTACACAAATGATTCACTGTTTAAACATCAATAATATTTCCACTGGTGGCATAAAATCAAGCTTCAATTTCTAAAATGTGTATGGAAATCCTATGCATTACTGATATTTAGAACTACCTTTTTGGTATATTGAGATGATTGATATTAATCAGGAGCCCTAAATCAGTTGATAAACTATTTTCACAAAATGCAGAGATATTCTATTTTACTTTGTGCCTTAAATTTTAAAGAAAGAAAGAAAACAAAGGAAAAAGACATAATTTAGTTTGTTTTACTTGACAGTCAGCAAAAGTCCACTAAGCAGGGTGTGGCTATCATCCCAAAGGTGAATAATAACAGCAATCATAAACTGGACTGATCATATATCTGAACAATGCCTAAAATCTCAAGAACCATTTATTGTACTTGCAATTGAGTGTAGTGTTTAAAATGATGAGAATTTTGCCTACAAAATCATAATTCCTGTGGATAAAGAATGGGCACAAACTGCTATTTTTCTCTAATATAAAAAGAAATAGGCTACCTCTAAGTTTGTTTTTTTGTTTTTTTGTTTTTTTTTGAGACGGAGTCTCACTCTGTTGCCCAGGTTGGAGTGCGGTGGCGCGATCACAGCTCACTGCAACCTTCACCTCCCGGGTTCAAGCAATTTCCGGCTAATTTCTGTGTTTTTGGTAGAGATGGGGTTTCACCATGTTGGCCAAGCTGGTTTCGAACTCCTGACCTCAAGTGATCCTCCCAAAGTGTTAGGATTACAGGCATGAGCCACTGCATCTGCCCACCCCTAAGTTTTCTATCATGATTGTTCCAAAAGGTAGAATTATGATGTATTAATTTATCTGCCTAACCAAACTTTTATTCTATTCATTGCACAGTTTCTAAAATCAGAGATTATCTTAAATTGACAATATCTGACATATTTCTATATTATCCCCCAATAGCTCATAATTCAGGTGGTTGTAACCCAATTAAATGATAGAAGCCATGAGGCTTGACTGAGTAAGGTAGAATACTAATTCTTATTTTTTCATTGTCTCTAATGAAATGACTGACTTTTTAGAAAAGCCATTTAATTTACCCACTAATATTATAAGGCATCAGATATTTTTAGAGAATGCTTTTTTAGAATTTAAACTGACTCAGTTTTCAAAAAAAGATTATTAAAATAAATGCACATCGTATTCTAAAAGTAAAAATAAAATAATTCAACTATTTGGGTAAAATTTGGTGACTCTTTTTCTGTTAAATTTTCAATATTTGATGGAAATGAACATATAATACATGTAACATGGCATTTTAAAATGTTAAAACAGTAACTAATGGTTATGTCACAATCATATTTATTTTGCCTGATCCATGTGGTACAGAAACCTAGCCATTCAAAATCTGTTTAAAGGACAAAGTTTTACACATAGCAATAAAGCTGTATCAAGCAATTTGGCTGCAACCCCTTCCAACATTTCCCCAAAGTAGCAGGGTGGTGAGGTTTTTTATAGTAGTTCCATCAATCTGCTTCTATCAACAGAGAAGGACCTTTAGAGAGTATATTTTTAAGTTATATTTATAATTAAAATCTCATCCTGAGTCTAAGATTTTGTCTTACCTCATCTACTCCTAACATTAATGACATATGAATATCTTGACAATGTAGGTCATTCAAAGAAAACACCCTTTAGCAGTGGTTACACTATCATTTCATATAAGGCCAAAATCATTTTTCCTTGACATAGCAAGCAGTGCTAGAAATAGCATTCTTTGACCTCAGTGACTTATCTTCCTAAGATTTCCCCCTCTGCTACATAGTTCACCCCAAAAACTTTAAGTAGATCTTCTCACTTCAATTGAAAACCTAGTGAGGTATAAAGCATTTTACATAGTTGTTTAATAGAAGTCTATTCAGTGTTCAGCTTGTACCCGCAAATACTGAGATTTTGAATTAAGATGTATTTGGGCAATTTAATTAATTCAAATAATATTTATGGAGGCAACACAGTGTCCTGAGTACCCACTCTGCTAAGTGCTGGAAGAAACAAAGATTTTAAAATTACAGAATCAATAAATTCATCATTTAATGGGAGAGAAAAACATACAAATGTAACTGTACAGTATATTAGATGTTTTGAGAAATGAACACATTAAGTTCTATGAAAGCACTTAAGAGGTCTTGATTATCTCTACCTTGTGAAATCAGACAAGACCTCACAGAGGATGTGACATTCAAGCTGGATGAATAAGGTTTCACCAGGAGAAAAAGAAAAGGAGGGTACATTCTAGGTGGTAAAAAAAAAAAAAAAAAAAAAAATGGCATCAGCAAAGGTAGACAGGAAGAAAAACAAAGAATAATTTAGAGAAATATGGTATTTAGTGTAGATGAGTACAGATGAGACAAAGATTTATGTTAGAAATGAATTAAAAAGGTCCTAACATACCATGTTTAGAAGTTTGGATTGTATCACAAAGAACATGATAGAGAGCTTCGGTAGGTCACTCTGGCCAATATAGATGTATTAATGTGGGAGAATACAGGTGATAGGGATACCAATTAGAAAACTAATTCAACAATCCAGATGAGAGATATGATACCCTCCCTTGACAAATGTGGAGGCAAAATGTTACCTTCTCAGAGGAAGATCTAACAGATAGAAAGTAGGTCTTGAAGAGTAAAATGGAAACTTGGAGCTCTCCTAATGAAGAATTGGATATTGGGCTAACCAGGCACTAATAAGAGGTCTGCCAAGTAGCCCTGAATGGCCTGAAGTCAGAAAACACAAATTTAGAATGGTGACAATCAGTGTGCATATACAGTTTTTTCTAGCAATGCCCAGTGGCCAGGCAGGAGTAAGAAAGCACATATTGGAACAAGTACATGTAATACATATCCAAGAGGGAATTGAGGGGTCTAGTCAGAGGGGTCCAAATTGGATAAGGAAATGAATTCAGGAGGGAGCTGGTTCTTAATAAGATCAAAGACTAGACATTATATCATGAAAGAGATGGAAAGAGAGGAAACTATATTCAGGGAAAGCTGTAATATTTAGGAAGTGACATGGCTTACCATGATGACAAGCTCAAATGTGTGTTGATTTTGGATTAGACAGCAAGAATTCAACACAGAGGGCACTTATTACAAAGCAACTCTTCAATATGACTCTTTTACGTTTGCATCTTGAAGAAAAAACTTTGGAACATTTTGCACGTGAGCGTGTATTAGTCTGCTTTCACACTGCTGATAAAGACATACATAAGGCCGGGCGCGGTGGCTCACACCTGTAATCCCAGCACTTTAGGAGGCCAAGGCAGGTGGATAATGAGGTCAGGAGATCGAGACCATCCTGGCTAACATGGTGAAACCCTGTCTCTACTAAAAATACAAAAAAAAAAAAATTAGCCTGGCATGGTGGCAGGTGCCTGTAGTCCCAGCTATTCAGGAGGCTGAGGCAGGAGAATGGTGTGAACCCGGGAGGCGGAGCTGGCAGTGAGCCGAGATCGTGCCACTGCACTCCAGCCTGGGCGACTGAGCAAGACTCCATCTCAAAAAAAAAGACATACCTGAGACTGGGAAGAAAAAGAGGTTTAATGGACTTACAGTGCCACATGGCTGGGGAGGCCTCACAGTCATGGCAGAAGGCGAGGAGGAGCAAGTCATGTCTTACATGGATGGCCTCAGGCAAAGAGAGAGAGCTTGTGGAGGGAAACTCCCATTTTTAAAACAGTCAGATGTTGTGAGACTTATTCACTATCATAAGACCAGCACAGGAAAGACCCACCCCCATGATTCAGTTATCTCCTGTTGGGTCCCTCCCACAACCCATGGGAATAATGGGAGCTACAAGATGAGATTTGGGTGGGGACACAAAACATATTATTCCACCCCTGGCCCCTCCCAAATCCCATGTCCTCACATTTCAAAACCAATCCTGCCTTCCCAACAGTCCCCCAAAGTCTTATCTCATTTCAGCATTAACTCAAAAGTCCACAGTCCAAAGTCTCATCCGAGACAAGGCAAGTCCCTTCCATCTATGAGCCTGTAAAATCAAAAGCAAGTTAGTTACCTCCTAGATACACTGGGGGGTACAGGCATTGGATAAATGCAGCCATTCCAAATGGGAGAAATTGGCCAAAACAAAGGAGCTACAGGCCCCATGCAAGTCCAAAATCCAGCAGGGCAGTAAAATCTTAAAGCTCCAAAATGATCTCCTTTGACTCCATGTCTCACATACAGGTCACACTGATACAAGAGGTGGGTTTCCATGGTCTTGGGCAGCTCTGCTCCTGTGGCTTTGCAGGGTACAACCTCTCTCGGCTGCTTTCACAGGCTGGCATTGAGTGTCTGCAGCTTTTCCAGGCTCACTGTGCAAGCTGTCAGTGGATCTACCATTCTGGGGTCTGGAGGATGGTGGCCCTCATCTCACAGCTCCACTAGGTGGCTCCCCAGTAGGGACTCTGTGTGGGGGCTCTGACCCCACATTTCCCTTCTGCACCGCCCTAGCAGAGGTTCTCCATGAGAACCCCGTCCCTGCAGCAAACTTCTGCCTGCATCCAGGCGTTTCCATACATCTGAAATCTAGGCAGAGGTTCCCACACCTCAATTCTTGACTTCTGTGCACCCACAGGCTGAACACCACAGGAAGCTGCCAAGGCTTGGGGCTTCCACCCTCTGAAGCCATGCACCAAGCTGTACCTTGGCCCCTTTTAGTTATGGCTGGAGTGGCTGGGACACAGGGCGCCACACCTGTAGACTGCACAACAGCAGAGAGACCCTGGGCCCAGCCCACGAAA
The DNA here is from genome assembly GCF_000001405.40 of Homo sapiens. NCBI lineage: Eukaryota > Metazoa > Chordata > Mammalia > Primates > Hominidae > Homo > Homo sapiens. The sequence continues at coordinate 21,628,745 of NC_000023.11, forward strand.
CCACTTTTTCCTCCTAAATCTCTGGGCCTGTGATGGAAGGGACTGCTGCAAAGGTCTCTGACATACCCTGGAGATATTTTCCCCATTGTCTTGGTGATTAACATTCAGTTCCTTGTTACTTATGCAAATTTCTGCAGCCAGCTTGAATTTCTCCTCAGAAAATGGGATTTTCTTTTCTATCACTTATCAGGCTGCAAATTTTCCAAACTTTTATGCTCTGTTTCCCTTTTAAAACTGAATGCCTTTAACAGCACCCAAGTGACTTCTTGAATGCTTTGCTGCTTAGAAATTCTTCCACCAGATACCCTAAATCATCTCTCAAGTTCAAAGTTCCACAATTCTCTAGGGCAGGGGCAAAATGCCCACCAGTCTCTTTGCTAAAACATAATAAGAGTCACCTTTGCTCCAGTTCCCCACAAGTTCCTCATCTCCGTCTGAGACCACCTCAGCCTGGATTTCATTGTCCATATCATTATTAGCATTTTGGTCAAAGCCATTCAACAAGTCTCTAGGGAGTGTCAAACTTCCCCACATTTTCCTGTCTTCTGAGCCCTCCAGACTGTTTCAGCCTCTCCCTGTTAACCAGTTCCAAAGTCACTTACACATTTTCAGGTATCTTTTCAGCCGTGCCCCACTCTGTTGGTACCAGTTTACTGTATTAGTTCATTTTCACACTGCTGATAAAGACATACCCAAGACTGGGCAATTTACAAAAGAAAAAGCTTTAATTGGACTTACAGTTCCACATAGCTGGGGAAGCTTCACAATCATGGTGGAAGGCAAGGAGGAGCAAGTCACATCTTACTTGGATGGGGTCAGGCAAAGAGAGAGAGCTTGTGCAGGGAAACTCCCATTTTTAAAACTATCAGATCTCATGAGTCTTACAAGAACAGCATGGGAAAGACCCACCCCCATGATTCAATTATCTCCCACGGGGTCCCTCCCACAACTCGTGGGAATTATGGGTGCTACAAGATGAGATTTGGATGGGCCAAACCATATCAATGTGTAAAGTAAGTTATCTAATGGCAAGAGGGAAACACCCATTGATAGGGAAAATAAATCCCATTTATATTAACAGTATTTATGTATTACATTTCAGTTGTTTAGTGAAGTATATTCAATGACCATATAATGAATTATGAAGAAGTGAAAACTGAAGCTATTTTAACTTGCTATTTCCATTCTAAAGCAAATCTCAACTCATTTCAGTCAGGTTTACATCATTAACTGATCAGTCTTTGAATAAAATAATTTTAAATTTGATATCAAGGGCATTCTGAATAGAATGACTGAATTATATTTATTTGTCCTTTTACTTTCACTGCTGTCTCAGGAAGACTCTTCTTATGTTTTCTATAGATGATACCTCTCTGTTAAAGTCAAAGACATTTTAGTGATTTATCTTTTTTATAAAGATATGCCACATAGTCTGGATTTGAAATGCAGTCTGCAAAGCCAGGCATGCCCATAAATCTGAATCTTTTATTCTTTTCTCATATAGAAAAAGAAGATATTTTTACACATGGATAAAAATACTAAAGTAGAATTGCCTTTCTCAAGGTAAAGCCAAAACACCTATAGTGTGATGCAGTTTGTTTAAATTTTATAGGTTTGTTGAACACATTAATCTATTACAAATAATAGCTAACATTTCTAATGAGTACTTACTATGTGTCAGGCACTATTCTAAGGTCTTTACGTAATATAAGTCATTTAATCCTTACAACAACCCTGTAAGGGAAATACTATTATTATCCTTATCTTCTAAGTGAGGAAACTGAGTTTAAATAGCATAATCCAGGACTCCCAGCTATTTAATAACAGACCTAAGATTCAGACAGACATTGTGACAGCAGAGTGAACACTCTTAATTGCATATTGCCCCTCAGACTTATAATTTTAATACAGGTTAAAATTTAGCAAAATATTTTTCACTATATATGTATATAATACACACACACACATACATATATATATATATTGACCTACATAAAAGGAATTAAAATTTTTAGGTTTTATTACAGCAGCACCATTAATATGGTTAATCAAGTAAAGCAAAAATGTTGTTCTGATCTTTCAATCACATTTACAAAAATTTACCTTTTATTAGTAGAAATTATAATTAGTGTACTTTCCAATTTTAACCAGTGTCCAAAAATCATGTACTGTGATGTGTATAAACAGTGAAACGAGTCCACCACTTGAGTCAAAACCCTTTCTTAGTATTTTAAGCTTTGACATGATTCCTTTTATAGCTAATTTTTAATATTGGGATTTTTTTTTAAAAAAAAAGAAAAACTGGCTGGGCCCAGTGGCTCATACCCAGCACTTCAGGAGGCCAAGGCAGGAGGATTGCTTGAGCCCAGGAGTTCGAGACCAGCCTGGGCAACATGGCAAAGCCCCAAGTCTACAAATACAAAAATTAGCCAGGCATGATGGTGTGCACCTGTAGTGCCAGCTACTCAGGAGGCTGAGGTAGGAGGATCACTTGAGGATGGGAGGTTGAGCCTCCTGTGAGCTGTGATCACACCACTGCACTCCAGCCTGGGCAACAGAACAAAACCCTGTCTCTAAATAAATAAATAAATAAATAAAATAATTCCCAAGAATTAAGTCTGGATACTGGTTTGAAAATTATTTCATATGGTGACTAATCAGAAGTTATTTCAATTTTTCCTTCGAAGTTCTACTTTATACATTTTGTGGAAACAATCCAAATATTTCTGCCTATTTATTTATCTATCATTTGGTGGAGATATAAAGCAGTAGATTTATGAGTAAAATTCAGAGATACCACTGATTTTACCAATTCCTACTCACAGATGCCAAGTCTGATATATTGTGTGTTTCTGTGTATTCTCTCATGATGAAACATTACTTTTAATCACCTCTTACAAATCGGAAGAGTAAATGCATGTAACCTGAAAAGAACTATTAAAGAATGCAACATTAATGCTTTAATCTATTTCCACCTTCTAATATCTCATGCAGTATGTAGAATAAAATAAAAACTCATAATTCTCACATTTCCTGCATCTTCTTTCAAGATATTGCATATAAAACTACTTCGTAAAGTAGAAAGTGAAATGCAAATGTTAGTACCATAATTATTATTACCGAGCTAACATGCTAAATTGGTTTGCCTTCAAAATGTTAACACCAAATTGAAGAGTAAAAGTTTTTCAGTGATAATTCTTAGGATTCCTTGAAAAAAGAATACTAATTAGAATATATGATATTTTGCAAAAACAGCAATACCTCCATTAAATTCCTAGCTCCTCTTTAAGAAAACCAGATTCAGAACTAGTGAATAACTTATTACTTTTATCCCATATGTTCTGGCTTTTGATTTTACATCTTAGTAATAAGTTGATATGGGTATCTGTAACCCACCCTTCTTAGCAGGTTGCCATGACAACCTGAGGTAAAGTACCAGTTCACTGGAGCTTCAGGCTTTGTCCACGCTAAATACAAAAGCTGCATTTGATTTCAGCTTGGCCGTTTCTGTTGGGAGCAATGTACCACAGTTCTTTCCACTTCCCTGGCTGACTTTTTCATCACCATGGAGACCAGATCTGCCCACACAACTAAGATGTGAAACCATTCCTCATATGGCTAAAACTAAGGCCTTGGTTCCCAAGGCCTTTTTTAAAGTATATTACTTTGTTAAAGAAGAGTTCCTGCTTCTGCTTTTAAAGTGTTTATTGATTTTCCACAAAGAGAAAACAAACTTTCTGGTGCTGAAGATTTAAAATAAGGAGAAAGAAAATGACATTTTCCTTGGTCAGTTTCTGGTTTTGTGTGTACTGTATTCATGGTGTGTACTCTGCATAGTCAATTACTAAGGAATAATGTTTCATTTCAAATTATATGACAATATTCCTAAATAGTAGTTCACACATTTAATGTTCACTTGATGGTGGGCTTAAAATGTGACTTTTAGTTTGAGATTTCCTAAATTTGTCACTAAATCCAATATTAGTATCTTTTAGATTAGTTCTGCACTTCCAATAAAATCAGTATGAGAAGTTATTCTAGAACCTTGATCATAAGTATGCATGGACTTAAGGAAGAACTAATGTAATTTATCACTACAAATCCAGTTATAGCATATCCAGATAGATCTGATGAATTAGCTATAGAAGATCATATAGCCCAATTTTTAATATATTCTTGCATATGTAAATTTGTAATGTTAGTATGTGTATATAGGTGTTCATGTGTATACACACTTATATAATATACACACACACACACACACACACACACACACACACATACAGATTAGTACCACAAATAGGGTCAAAGTTCCACAGAGTTCTTTGAAGATCACATTTGTTATGGAGATACTAAATACTTTACAGCTGCTATTATTTTTTTGCCATCCCCTCCCGGAAAATGGCATCAGTCAAAGGAGATGGTAGGAAGTCTTAAGTGGTGTTGGGAATCCCAAATTCACCCCTTGATTTGCACATTCCTCAAAGTGACTTAGGATGGCATCTCAACTTTCATGGTTGTGTTTTTTACCCTAGAGAAGGCAACATGGCCCTTGCTTAATAAAATACATATACTAAATAGGAATTCCAAAAAATTCTGACTTCAATAAAACATAGAATTGTTCTTATTTTTTAAAATATATTATGAATAAGCTAGCACCATAAAGGTGCCGTAAATTAGTTTACAGATGGGAAACAAATTTATTAACATAAATGAATTTTTTGTTTTGTTTACTAGCAAGAAGTTAGCAATCCGTTGCTATATTTGAATACAAATTATGTTGTAGGATACAGAGAACTTTCTGACATTTCAAACATTTGAATTTTGCAAGAGGAACTCACTGCAATGAAGTTCCTGTATCATTCCAGTTTTCTGTAATTACGCTGGAGAGTGTGAAATTCAACATGTGATACTAAATGTTAAACACAGATATAGCTGGGAACCTTTTGCAATGGCTATAAAGTCATTTGTATTTTTCCATAAGAACATTGAGAGTCAGCATATCTCTAACTCTTTAGTGGAACTTTCTGTAAAAGGGCAGTGCCATATAATTTTGTCAGAAGGGAAAAATGAAAATTAATATACAATAGGGCATTTTTAAAAAGGATATTCTTCATATGTTGTTAGATTCAATAGCTTTCCATCCCAAATCCAAGATGACTTTGCTGGTCCAAAATTTAACAACCAGCAATTTCCAAGACAGCTAAGATTGAATATGAAAACTCATTACTTGATTTTTAGTTAAGATGAACATTAATGCTAATTTGTTTACATCTATGCTATATTTCTTACAAACATGATTTTGTAGTGATTTTTACCAAATTAATGTTTTTCTTCTTGTCATGTACACAACATATTTTGAATGCCTAAAAATATAATAATTTGAATGTTGGAATAGGCAGATGACTTAACAATGGGGATTTTTGAGGATTGTTTATGATGTAATTATTGTAGATTAGAAAATAAAAGAATGTGAAAATACCATGGATTAAGGTGAGAGATTAGATTTATAACAAATTTGACATAAAGAAAAAATCTTAATGATAAATAACTGTCAAGATACAATTTTAGATTCTTACAAATGTTTCTTGAATTTTCTTCTTACCTTTCTTTGGCACTTGCCTTGCTGGGGAAGGTATCTTTCATTGTCCTTAAATTCAACTGGCAGTGCCCCTAAAGCAGCTCCTTCTTGCCAGAGTTGCTAATGAGCAAATGATCCCAAATGTCAGACTGGTGTGCCAAGGAGGTTATTAATAAGGCATTAACATTTAGAAGTTATTGATGGAGGAAAATCAATATTACCATCTTTATAATATTGCAAGCTCAGTTAGAAAGAGTAAGCAGAAGTTTATTTCAGGCTTCTACAATCATAAAGAATGTTACAGTATGGGAGGAAGTAATGTCTTTAGATTTTTAGCATAAGAATCAATTCTTATTCTGCTGTCAGTACCCCGCATTAGTACTGGAGCTAATGCTGAATGATATTCTTCTAATAAAAATAGCAGTAATCCTCCCAAAATCAAGATGGCAGTACTTTGAGGATAGAATATGAATTTAATATGAGAGTAAGAATAGGATGGACTAGACCTGTAGGACAAAAGTTCACAAAGATCTATGTTATATATATATACATACATATATTCATTTATTTTAGTGTGTGTATATATATACACTAAATTCATATTCTATCCTCAGAGTACTGCCATCTTGATTTTGGGAGGATTACTGTTATTTTTATTAGAAGAATATCATTCAGTATTAGCTCCAGTATCATGTCATTCCTCACGATTCAATTAGGTAATAAAAGAGGTACTGACTTGCAAAAGTAAGTGAAATGTTAAATTCTTTTCAGGAAGAATACAACAGATAGTTCTGCTTGTGTGTGGGGGAGTGCTGACAGCAGAATAAGAAAAGAATTGATTCTTATGCTAAAAATCTAAAGACATTATTTCCTCCCATACTGTAACATTCTTTATGATTGTAGAAGCCTGAAATAAACTTCTGCTTACTCTTTCTGAGCTTGCAATATTATAAAGATGGTAATATTGATTTTCCTCCTTCAATAACTTCTAAATGTTAATGCCTTGTTAGTAACCTCCTTGGCACACCAGTCTGAAATTTGATCTAAAATAAATGTGTGTGTGTGTGTGTGTGTGTGTGTGTGTATATATACACATATATATGTATATGTGTATATATATATACACCTATATATATGTATATGTGTATATATAAATATATGTATATGTGTATATATGTATATATGTATATGTGTATATATATGTATATATAAATATATGTATATGTGTATATATGTATATATGTATATATAAATGTGTGTGTGTATATGTATAGATCAAATTTTCAAGACTTAGGAAGCTGTGCCATTGGTTGCTTCCCAAAGAAGCTGAGCAGTAAAAGTATAATTTGCATAGCATTAAAATTTACTGACCACAGATCAAGTTAGCTGATCAGCATCATGGCAGAAGTATGTAAGGGCAAAGTCCTTTGTTTACTTGGAGTGGGTTCTGATGAAGTGAACATACTAAATGTATCTCCATAACCCCAACTCCCCAGGCACACATACCCTTATCTATTATTTCACCAGAATATCAATTTGGAAAATTCAAGTCGAGTGTGATGGACAAATTAAATAGCGTGGGTCATAGATGTATAATCAGTGTTCTGAAGACATTTTTACCACCCAGTCATATAAGTGAACCAAGATTCAGATAAGGTTGGAACTACTTTTCAGAGTACTTATCAGGTAGGAAAGAGAATGTCCTAATAGGGTTTGAAGGACCAAAAAGAACCTATTAAAGGAAATAGGCAAGAAAACTATGTTGATAGAGTTGATCCCAATTTGCCTTTTCATTTTGACAGACTAGATGTAGTCACAAATGAAGTGTTGAATGACTCACTTGTTCACCAGACTGGCAGTTCTCATCACTGAGTTACTTCACATTGATTATCATCCAGGCTGAATAAAATCTAATTACATCCTTTTAATACAAACATACAAGGTGGTGGTAGAAAATCCACATAAATTTAAAACCTGCACTGTTCATCTCTAAAGTATTTGGGAGTTAAAAAAAAAAAGTCTACTATTTTCTGTCGGGGGTTCATGTCTCAGACTTCACCTATGTTATCTCTGTAGGTATTTCAACTGGAACTGAGAAGTTTAAGGAGATTATTTTAAATTAAGTCATTATTCATCATAAAATGGATTTCAGAAGCAACCCAATCTGCCAATAGCTTGCTGTCCACCTACATTGCTGAAAGAAAACCTTACCCAGGAATGGTTATTTTTACTAAACTTGTCTCATTGGAGTTTAATGTGATTCTTCTATTAATAACCTCAAAATAACATCTCCTGAAATATTTAAAAATATGGATGGATTAGGATGGAGGAGTCAAATATCAAGTCAAATACAGTAGATAATTCTTAACTATAAAATTTTAAGATAGAAGTGGGAAGGAGGTATACAACTATATCATAATCTTTTTGAGGTGAGAGTGTTGTCTTTGTATATTTATTCCTAACCTTTGATATAGTATATATATATATACACCCATAGGCACCCATTAAACCTTTACTGAACGATATATTTCTATAAAAATTAATTATTTCCATTTTCCATTTTAAAATCTGAATGGCGACATTTGCAATGACAGTATCATGTGTCAAAATTCCATAGTACATTTTCCTGAAATATCTACAGACACTTCATTGAAAATAAACTGGTTGTAAATTAAAACAACATGTTAAGTACTTCTGTAACTATTAAATGTGAAAGATGTCTTCAGTTGTTTCGTAAAAACTTCACTCAAAGGGTACTTCAGATCTGCCTTAATTTCAGAAAGTTGTTTTTAATGCAGATTTTAGAAAGTCAGCATGTGTGATAGACTCCTGGATAAGTAATTAAGTCATAAATGGCACTCTAAGGTCATAATATAACAGTAGGTGGATTAAGATGAAATACTACTTTCATAAGGAAATACTCCATGTCTTGTGATTTATACACACAGGATGGAATTGTGATTTGGGAATTTAGAGGAACACTCAAATTATCTGGAAACAGTATTTTCTTACCTGTTTTGCCTATGGCTTAGGTTCATCAAATATTTTATTTTACCCGGAATTGTGAATTAAAGAACTCCATAAGTGCTGTAAGTATAAACACAAACTATATTATCTATCACTAGTTACCACTTTATTTAGAAAAATAATATTTTATCATGAAAATTTTGCTTCACATTCATAAAAATATTTTCCAACTCCTTCTCCCTATGGTATTAAAAAATAAAAAAAATCTTTAATATCCAGTCTTTTTGAAGTCAACCTTTTATGAGAAAATAGGCCCTCAAAATTTGGACAGATAATACTCAAACCACAATTAACAAGTCTCTGTTTTGGTCTGAACATTCTGAACCAAGGTATGAGCCCACTGTCTCCAATACTTACATAGAGAAAAGTAATTATCACTATCATTTCATGGTGTTGGATATCCTTGTTTTTGAAAAAGAAAAACTTAAATCTAAGCACATACATTTAGAAGAAGGGGAGGCTCCAAATAACTATGTTAAGTAAATAAGGTTTTTCAAAATAAACACAAAACAATTCTACTCTCCCAGGAGTAGAATTGTGTTACTCTTGATAGACTTGAATATCTGCTATTGATGACCTTTGTTATCCACAAATAGCTTAAGACAAGTAGTCCTTGGCTTTGCCCTTAAATTTGCCCTCAAGCATGCTGATTATGGAACTGAGTGAAATAGAATTGAGTTCTGTCTTAGAACTCAAACAGAATTAGGAATCTTTGTAAGTGCTCAACTGGCTTAAATACTTACTTCCATTTTAAAATATTTTCTTCTCTTTCATTCATTAAAGAAAATATTTATTTTCAACTGTTTTATATTTAGCCTTAATCATTTTCTTGAAGATGTTCGTACCTCTACCCTTATCCCCTCTATAATCTAATCCTCCTCAGGCATTTGATTGAAGTATCATCAGCTATTTTTAGCAGGTCACTAATGGAAGCCTGATTATATTTCTAAAACTTATGTTTCCAGAATTTCTATTTCTTCTTATTATTTGGGCGGTCAAGTTTTATTTGGGGCAATGTTTAAATTCATAAAGCAAAAAGAGAAAGAAACATCCTCCTCAAGATTTCCTATGCAAATTCAATCTGTGTCTCAAGGAACTTGCATGGATATGGAATCTCACTGGAATAAGTCATTCTACACATGATTCAACATGGCATTCCATCTGGGTTCATCATTCAGATCTCCAGGAGTATAGTAACAGGGAAACAAGATCTGTTTCTTCTTAACCTAAGCTGGTGGCCTCACAATTAGAAGTTTCAGTGATGAGTAGTAGCTTAATAAATATTTATTAAATAATACGCCAAACAGAAGCATTACTGATTTTCTTTGTGGTATCATAGATATGTTGCTCTCATTTCAAAATGTAATTGGCTAAAAGCTTGGTAAATAGTGAAATTTATTTTAACAGCAGCAGTAGGGAATATTTTTATAGTTAGAGTAACAGCCAAAAGAAAACAAAATAATCAAGAGTTATATAATTTATGTTTTTTCTGCCTTCTATTGTTTTTTCCATAGAGATGGGGTCTCACTATGTTGCCCAGGCTCGTCTCAAACTGCTGGCCTCAAGTGATCCTCCTGTCTCGGCCTCCCAAAGTGCTGGGATTACAGGCATGAGCCACTGTGCCCAGCATGCCTTTTTCTAAAGAACATGCAATTTCCATTTGTTCTTTTAGAAAAGAGGAATAAAATTAGTCTGTATAATAATTTTAACTGGTTTGACTATTTTGACTTTGTATCAGGATAAATGAAGTTGTCCACTACAAAGGAGAAGGGTAGTAATTGAGAATTGAACACAAAGAAAGAGAAAGCCCAGTGAAAACCTAAAGGGAGAGAAAAGGAAAGAGTGTTGAGAATCAGAATGGGACTTGTAAAAAGTTAAAGACACATAAACATGAGATTCACAGAAGTCCAAGATAGAAGGACAGTATCTTGAAGTAGGTTTTTGTGTTTTAGAGATTTCATCTAGATTATACGGGCAGCCCTTTGTGCACTTGCTTCTGACCCACCTGGCTCGCCAGTACACGTATACTTAAGATTCGTAATGCACATGCCAAGACATATAGTGGAGTTGAGTGTAGGAGTGCCGTTGTAGTTTCTTGTTTGCCTCAAATATAAATAGGCACTATTTAACACTACATAAAAAGTATAGTTCTAAAAAATTTATTTAAAATTTACCAAGGCCTCTTTCATTTTGCCATAATCTCAGTAGACCAAGATATTTCCATCAGATTCCTCAGCAAAAATCCTGAAATTGTTTAAGCTGTGTGATACAATGTCAGACTGGTGATGGGATTAAAAATAAAATGCTATGTGAAGTCCCCAAACTCAGGGCTTCTGACTTAGAAACTACTTGTATATGCAGTGCAAAAATTGCTGTTACTCCAACCAGCCCTAGCCAGTGTGATTGACCTAAAGCAAGAGGTCTCAAACTGCAGTGGGCACAAGAATCACCTGGATTGCTTGTTTAAAATGCAGATTCCTGAGTTCCATACCCAGAAATTCTGATTCAATAGATGAGGTGTAGGGCCCAGAAATCTGTGTTTAACAAGCACCTCCACCCCCATCCTGAGATTCAGTAGTCACTAGTACTGTGAGCACTAGTAGTTGAAGAGATACCGTGCCCTAGGGAGTTATCTTCTCTTATGCTAACTAACTGGTAGCTAGTTGTAGCCATTTTGAAATAGTACTTCTCCCTCCACCATCCCTTAGGAGCTAAACTGAGGAGATGTTTCCAGTCTCTTGCAATAGAATTCGGCAATTGTGACTCGATTACCAGGGCTCTAGTTCAGTTTAGTGTGGGTTAAGTGGGCATTAAGGAATGTGTATTAGAAATTAAAAGGTTCATGTAACCTTATCTCTGTGGGGAAACAAAGGATGTGTTTAGGATAACTACAAAATGTTTGAATTGCTTAGATAAATTAAGAACAGTTTAAACTTAGAAATGACCTTGTGCCCAAGGTTGGATTCCCTCTGATTTTGCTGTGTGAAATTCCATGACCTTGTGAAACAAAGTGGTAGAAGCTAAAGCTAGCATTCCAGTATTATAATATTCTAAAAACTGAGGTATTGTGTTTTGTTTCGTTTGACCTGTATATGAAGATTATTCAGTTTCCACCCCCATTTCTGCAAAAAGAGTATAATATTACAGACAAAAATTAGTTCCGCTGATTTCTGAACTATGCTATATCTTGTTTGCTAGATATCAGTGTTATAGGCAAGATGTGTCCCTCCCCATTTTCTAAGGGAGGACATAATGAACAACATGCTTTCTCTATTCTCTCTCCCAACTTGTTCCTTCTTTTCTCAATATGACTCAAAAGATACTACAAGATGTTGCAGATAAAAATCTGCACTAGGCTAGAGATTTAAAATATTGCTGATTTGTTCCTGCTGACAATATTTATTAGATTCCTCAAGATCCAAAATAAAATGACCTAAAAGAGGGTACAGTTTGTTTTATCCAAATTGTTATTAGTTTCTCAGGTCATTCAGAAACATCCATCTCTTCCAGTTTCTTAACTCCTTGGCATGTGGCTTATGCTCAGGTGTAAAGTCACCCTTTCATCACATTCACTCTGTCTTAGCTTTTCGTTTCTTGGCATTTTGTGTTGTTAAGCATGCGGCCTCCTCATTGGAGCAATACTAGCTAGGCTGTTCCACTGTCTCACTGATTAGGACATGGTAGCATATATATCAGGTCAATCAAATACCCTTCTGGTCAGAAGACTAGAGAGGTTTTCTTCATGCTTCTTGATTAGATGAATTTGAGGAAAGATCTCGTATAGAAATAATTTTAATTTTCTCAAAAGAAATGGTAATTTTACATGTATATGGAGAATATTTTAACATAAACTATTCTGATTAAAATTATAGATGTACATATACAAGTATAGTGGTGGGAAAATATTTTTCTGCACTGTGTGTTATTGTGTATATTTGGGAGATTAACATTTCCAAACAACCAAAGTTTAAAGCAAAAGGTGTCCCATTTATGGCCAAGTAGACTTGCATGCCAACAGAAAGACATTGTATTAAAACCATATGCAATTCTAGCCATATTTTTCTACTTTCTCTTCATGGGTATTGCATGATGGTATTTCTAATACAAATACTAATATGCTTTGGAAATAATGGCACTCGCAGGTCTTTCATCATATTGTATCACTGCTTTATCATATTAGGCTAATACACTGCGAGAGTTGGTAGAACCTCTCCATGCCAAATCGGATCCACTTCTGTTGGCACTCAACCCATTGGACTCACAGATTGATAAGCTAATGTTTAGAGAATTTAGATCGGAGAGAGTCGGTACGGCGCAGACTCAACATCAACCTCTTGCAAGCAACTAAAATGGCCTCGTCCTTGCTGTTTATAACAGAAAACAGACTTGTAAAAAGCTTAGATCATCAAGTGTTTTGGATTGGGGGCCTCCCAAAGGGATATAAGAGGGGCAGGCCACTCTTAAGAAGAATGCGAGCTTTCTACATTGGGACTAGCATAAGATCAAAGCCAATCAAGATGGAGCACAGTAACAGAAAACTGCGGTTTCTGTGGGAGAACAGAAGGGGAAAGGGTCTTAACTGGGAAAGGGCTCTGTGTGGTAACACCTCAGTTGTGTTCTCCTGACACCAGGAAAAGAGAGGGATCAGCTTCAATAACTAGAAAATTCTGGCTGTTTAATGGACTCTTTGGTGGCCTCTTTAAGGCAAAGCAGAGAAAGCAAATTATGTATTAAGTGTATTTTGCATTTTTAAAACTTGACGTGCTGTATTGTACTAAATTAAGTGTAATCTATTAAGGCAAGGTATACACAATTTGCTTTGAAACTTACTATGTTTATTCTATTATAAAGTGTATTCAGGTGCAACACAGAGACTGCTTTCGGTGACATTAATGAAGAAAATTTCTCATGCCAGGCTTTATTATAGAATCTTCAGCTAAAATCCTAACTTTCTCCTTATTTCTTGGCACTTGTATACAAGTGGTGTTGCCTCTTAGGGCAGGCATGAGCTATTCTTTTCTGTAAAATATTTTGAATCTATAGGCTGTGGGTTTCATTTTTGAAAAGTATTTTGTCTGGATGTCTTTCAAACTAGCTTCAGATATTATTTAATACTATGTAACTGGGTCCCCTATGGCTCAATCAATATTGCTTATTTTTCTTCTGTAGTGGATGTGAAATTTCCTTTAGTTGGATAAGATACACTGTAATAATTTTAATGCTAATTAATGATATTTCATACTGTGCAATGAACAGATAATTTAACACTGTATTTTGAAATGTTTTTTTCTTCCTGTCACCGCAGTGTGTGGTATTGCATAATGTGAATACCTGTAAAAATATAAATTACTTAAAAATAAAAATATGACCAATTGGTATCAGATCTTTTCAGATAGCTAAATAATTTGCTAAGTATGCCTGATAGTAAATATCTTTCTAAAAAGAAGTAATCAGTGCTTCTTTCTCACAAATGGAATTTGTGTCTGTGAATAAAATCACATTGATCTGCCTTACAATTGCCTCTGTGCTCTAACCATTTTAATGTGTTTTTTAAAACATATATATATAATGATGGTTCTGGTATATAGAAATCCATCAAAAAGCATTTTATTGGCTTTATTGGTATTTAATATTTATGGGATTGTCTTGGGTCATTCTCCCTGTTTAAGCCATAGTAAAATTTTGTGATCTAGAGAATTTGGTGTTTTTTTTTTCATTAAGGAATATAGTGACTCCACATTAATTTTCAAAAATAATCATCTCTTAGCTTTGGTTTTAAACTGTCTCCTTTATGAATTCCTGCCTGAGAGCCAGCACTTTGACTTCCATATTCCTAGTGGTTAAATTTTCTAAATTCTGTGGGTAAACCTAAACTGTCATTTATATTTTTGATTGTCCTTCAAAGAACCTTCCCTTCTTTGGGGCAATAAATCAATGCTAAGGACACCAAGGTTTTGCCATCTGAACTACTTGTCGTAAATACTGTAGTGCCCTGAAAATTCAACCACTGTCATGTATTTTTATCATTAAACTGCATAATTTAACAGAAATTACATGTTCAGAGAAAGAAGTATAGAATAAACTTTAGCTCTATCTCTTTTGTCACATCTTTATGGAGCAATATTTAGTGTTGTAAGGAAGGAATTGACAGACACAAGTACTTGATTTCAGTGAAGCACATTATCATTATTACAAGGATGGGCTTTACATGTTCTTTAAAAATACAGTTAGCAAATGTTGGTGGAGTCACTCAAACTGTTCTTTTAAGAGAAGGGGTTTTTTCTCACTAAAATAGACTTCTTTACTCAGAGAAATTATTTCCCAATAGTAATGTTTGTGTATTGTTACTTTGCCTAAAAGAAAATAAATAACTTACCCCTAAATATGAAACTAGTAGTTGATTACAGATGGAGGACTAAAAGCCAGCTTTTAAAATCTTATGCTTTTTTTTTGATATAACAAACTGCCTTCCCCAAACCCAGTTTTATAATGCTAGGCATAGCTGATTGACTTACATAAAAGCATGAATTAAGAGAGCTAGTATTTAATTACAAACATTCAAATTATAGTATAAACCCCTGAATACTTAATCATCCTTATCATAAAACCTCCAAAGACATTAAGTCCATTAAAAGTTTGTCACCTTACATATAAATAAATTATTCATTATGGCTTGCTAGTAAATTCATATTCATGGAAAATATTCGGGTGTTCTCAATGCAAATGTTAGTTGCCTTTTGTGACAAGAATAGTGTTTCACATACTTGATATCATTAGCCCGGAAGCCTTAAAGCACTCTGCAGCTGTACAAGAATGAATGTCTCTCAAATCTGACTATGTCCAGTCTTCTCTACCATTTGTGATTTAGTCTTTCCCAACCTTCTGGGCTCATTACACAGCTGTATTGCAGAAGGAACAACTGTTTCCACAAGGATATCATTGTCCAATTTTACAAGATCACAGATCCCTTCCGAAATATGTACCAGAACTCGTTATCCATCATTGGCTTCATTCTTCAAGAGCCCAATTGGTTTACTTATTTGTTTTGTTTTCATTTTTTATGCTCCTTCAACATTGTCATTGCAGGGATGTGAAAATGGGGTGGATACTAGAGTAAAATTTTAGGTTGCCAAGTTTCATGAACAATATGATACAATAGATTGTCCTAATAATTACACAGTCACCTGTTAGGGAACCCTTTTTGGAGTAGTTCATATATAAAGAAAACCATCACTCTGTTTGAATGTGTTGGGTTGCATGAGGCACTGTGCCAGGTAGAAGAAGGGGAAATGCAAATATGAGTGGGACAAATTCTACTCGTGGAAAAGTCACAGTCTAAGTCTCTGAAGTAGGGCACACAAGGGTCCATTAAGGTACAGGAAGAAAAAGCATTGGAATTTTTCCTTGGGTTTTATCTCTCATCCTTTTGAATTTCTTTCTGTGTATGTTTTATAACTTCTATCTATTACTATAGAGTAATACATGTATATAAGTTTCTGTTCGATAAAACGGAAGTGTTTTAACTAATAAGAGTGTGCAATCAGAAAAAGTTTGGAAACCACTGAGCCTGAATGTAAGAAATACGTCAACCAAAGACTTTTTGGTATTTGAGAAATGCATTATGATCTTCTAATAAGCAATGTGCAAGAGATTCCAACAAACTGGTATTTTTCATTAGCTATTCTTTTCTTTGGGCTTTCAGTTATCACTTACTACCTAGAGGTCATAGGCAACCTGAAAAAGACAAATAATGATGCTCACTACATTCCTAGATTCACAATATTTCATAGTGGAGCAGAATATGAAAGGGACAATAAAGAGGATCTTCTTTCACCCCGTCAAGTATGACACAGCCATAAATGACCCTCCCTCGGCACAGAATACAAGTTAATTCATCAATAACTTAATTATGATCCTCAAATCCATCAATCAATGAAATTTTATGTAGGAAAGAAAATTTTATATGCACTCTTTGCTTCAATAAAATTGGAATTCAAAAGTATGTAATCTGACACAGGACTAATTTACATGTTGTAAACGTAAATATAATTTGGGGGGAAATTTATTTCTGCATAGGCCCAGGTTTCCTGAATAAATTAGATACAGATTAAAATTTCATTATAGCAGTGATACAGTTCCTCATTAGGAATCACAGAAGGTTCCTATATATGTCCTGTGATTTGAATGTGGTCTCTACACTTTGCCAACTTTCAGAAAACATTCATTCAAATTGCAAAAGAGCTGGTTTTCAGCCAGTGTTCCAGTGGCTGAACTGGCACATTGAAAGAAAGTCAATCAGGAAGCAGACCTCACCAAGTGCTTGCCTCCTCTTCCAAAGCAAGCCTCTTCTAAAGGAAGAAAAAGCAAGGGTTGAAAAAAGAGAGAAGCCTGAAGAGAAGTGAGAAGGAGATGAAGAAGAGGGCAAAAAGAGAAGAAAATAAAGGTGCTTTCATATTTTCAGTTGCAACAGTAGCCCCAATTGACTTAATTGGTATTCATCTGAGAAAAATCAAGGAAACCAATTGAAAATTATAAAAGAAAATAAAGGTCTGTTTTTGTCTTGAATGTTGAGTTCTGTGTTGTTTTGACTGTTGAGCACAGTGAATCAGATTTATAATGTGACTCTGCCCCTCACCAACCGCCCTTTTGAAAATGAAAAGACTCTTTGTCTAGTCTTAAAATGTTAAGTAATTGGTGGCATTTTGTGGTAGCCTGGCATCTCAGTCCCTCGTCCTTACTCATCCCACTACTGTGTCTTGTGTAGTGTATGTGTATGATGTGTAGGGGATGGGGGCAGGGGGTGGCTTATTATCTCTGATAGGAGCCACACTATCCCATTACTATACTTGGAAATGTTTCTGTGTTCCGTCTCATTGTGATTGCTTGTTCAAGTGTGCTGCCCAGAGATAAATCCATACTCAATTCTTTTTACAGCTGTCAAACCAGATTCTTTGTAGAATTATGTTGTCTTTTGATTGAATGCTTTTCTCCCCCGTAAGAGCAAGAAGGGGGAGAAACTTTCAGTTTTTATTGTTTAATACCTATGTATGTCATTTTATATATTGAATCTTCATTCATCCTTCTTAAAGTAAAACTACATTGAAATTTTATAAAATCAGTTATCTGCCCCAGTATTTCACAAGCTTTAAGAACTGAGGGAAAACTGGGTCAAAATGTTTTTTTAAACAAAATATATGTACCCTTCTACAATGTTAGGTAATATGGAGGAAGGTTCTTTTAAAATAAAAATTACTATGTAAAAATACTCTGCCTCCCTTAAATCCTAAAACTAAAATCTGAATCCCTTTTTCCTTCACCTTCTTTCTAGAACCAAAAAACTAATAATACATTAGGCCACCTGATACCTTAACTACTATAATTCACATCTGTTAGGCCTCGCATTTTCTACCCCACCCTCTACTCTATGAAATTACATCTGGCTTTAGATGCAGTATTGCCTTGAGGAAAAAAAGAATACGATAACTACTATATAATTCCTCAGGGTTCTTTCCTGGCCTATGATTTTCTGAAATAGACTTATGCTGTTTAAATGTGTCCTTGTTTTTACAACTCCATTTAGTTATTCTAAATGATCATATGATTTTGTGCCTTCCTCAAGCCAAATCATTCTCAGTTAAGATTCCCTATCTTGCTTCCATTTTGTTCATAACCCACAAAGCAGTTTCTCCTTTTTACAGTCTTCCATCCCCCATCCCTCAAAATCCTCTAGGTGTTGAATATATTCAGCGATGGGCCAACAGAGAATTTAAAAGCTGTTATTTAAAGTGATTTTTGTATTTTTAGATTATAGTTCTAACTTAGATATATGGTTAAGAAGTTAAAATTTATCACAGAGGACTTAGTGATAGCATGTGCTGATGATAACAAGGAATTTTCTAATAGAAGGACTCAATGACTATACCTACCATTGGTTGTTAACTTCAGTAGCAGAGCCAAAAGTTGAATGTGGAATTTAAATAAAGCTGCTTTTTAATCCTAAAAATGACCTTTTTAGGTTAAGGTACTGTACATTTTGGGTTTTTTGATAGTTTTAGATACAGTCATTTTGAAAAATTTTTTGAATGCTGCATTTTAAGGGCGTCTCACATTCATTGGCATCTACTGCTAAATACACATTTCAAAAGACAACTGAAAAAAATTGGCAGTATAGAATTCTTGTTAAAATCGTGGATTCTGGGGTCAGACTGCCCACATGGAATTCTAGCTCCGCCACTTACTAAGTGTGACTTTGAGCAAGATACTGCCCTGCTATAAATGAAGATAAAATAGATCTGCTCTTAGTATTGTTGTGAGGATTAAATGAGATCATAAAGATTAAGCATTTACCC
Source organism: Homo sapiens (assembly GCF_000001405.40). NCBI lineage: Eukaryota > Metazoa > Chordata > Mammalia > Primates > Hominidae > Homo > Homo sapiens. The sequence continues at coordinate 21,647,702 of NC_000023.11, forward strand.
TGCTGCCTGGCACATCTAAATGTTAAATGGTATCATTACCAATTAAGGAATCTTTTTTTGAAACTGTCAGAAAGCCTAAAATATTCACATGGACCATTGTGGAATGAACAACATTCCATATTTACTCTTTGGGCCAATATAATTATTTAAATATGATTCTGGCTATCTATTTAAAAAAAGATGATATAGCCCTACTCCAATCTACCACTCCAAGCAAAATCCTAGTTCATCTTTGTTTATCATTGTTGAGAAAGATACGACATTAGTGTTCAGGCAATTATAAAAAACAAGATGGGAGTTTTATTTGTTCAGCTATGTCTAAGACCCTTATTGAGCCAGTCTCTCATTTTTTTCTCAAAAATATTTAACTGGAGTATTTTCTCCTCAGGTCTTACAAATACTAAGTAGCTTCTCTTAGCACGTGCCATATTTTCCCTCTATATTTGCATATAAACATATTCCCATGTTTCATTTTAATTAAAATATTGATAATTTATGATCAGTTACTATATTTACAATGTACAAGGCATTACTATGGCAGTCACATGAAACCTAGTAATCCTCTATGGCACAATTGGAAGATTTTTACAATCAAATATACTCCATTGAATGCCATTCAATCTTATGAAATCTGGAAAAATGTAAAAATCAGTTCATTCAGTATTGCTAAACCAGGCGAGCTCTATTAATCAGCATTTCTATGCTTATCAGCATAATGATAAGGGATGTTTATTAATGTTTTAAAATATAATGTGCAGGATTGTTTCCATGTTGTGTGCCTTTTGTATTCTAATTCTTTGAACTTGCTGGACTCAAGATATATATGGCAATTTGCTATCAAGAGTATATTTGGTTAATCAAATAATCCTATTATTTGATCATTCTAAAACAATTAGCTGCCTGTAGCTAATGTTACCCAATATAACTAGCAGCTGTGGGTTTTTGTTGTTGTTTTTTAATATAATAGTGTTCTCATGGTCATTCATTATCCTGTTTTTCAGATAGTTTTGATATTTTAATAAATTTTCCATGTGTCAAATAACTATATTGCAATGAATTCATTTCTCTTTCTCTCTCTCTCTCTCTCTCTTTCTTTTTTTTTTTTTTTTTTTTTTTTTGGATGTTGCAGGTGAAAGCAGAGAAGAAAAGTTAGGAGACTCATTGCAAGATTTATACAGGGCACTGGAGCAGGCCAGTCTGTCACCACTAGGAGAACATCGTATTTCAACCAAGATGGAATACAAGCTATCATTTATAAAAAGATGTAATGATCCTGTAATGAATGAAAAACTACACCGGCTGAGAATTCTCAAAAGCACTTTAAAGGTAAGACAAGAAATGGAAGGACAAATTTCTTTGAAGAGATTCATTCTTAAAGTGGATTACCAGATACTGTAGGTTAAGAAATACAAATTGGGGGCTGGGGAGAAGAAGAGGCAAGCAGTAAGAACTTGAAGCTGAGCTATTTCTATGTCATAATAACTATATTGGTAAAGAGGAGATCATCTTAACTTTTCATTAATGTCTCAAAGCACTGATTAAATGTTATTTTACTCAGTTCTAGGAGAAAACAGGATGTGATTTAAATTGTTTTCTAAAAATGCAGGGCTGGTGTTATTCCTCAGTCTATAGATTTTCTAAGATAAAAATACCATGTAGTGTAATTATTAGCATTACTAAAAGAACACAGCATGCATGCAGAATACAATAGTGGGTGCTAAAAGAGTTTGAGATATTTCGTGATTGTTTCCCGCATGAACTGCAGTGCATTTGGGATGAAGCCACGGTGATTTGTGTTCCATGTAGAAATTTTATAATTGTTCTGTTTACGTTATCAGTTCCCAACTTACATATTACCCTCCTATTATACATTTCTGTAAGTGTTTACATTGCCTCCAGTCTCCTTATTATATGCCCCCAGGTTGGGGAGGAGGTGGTGAGGACAGGAGAGCAGAGAGGCAGAAAGTTGGAAAAGGAGGCAGACAAGTGAGCCCTGCTCACTGTGTGTGGGGGAGTGTGGGAGATTGAAGGAGAGGGCCCACCGCACAAGCCACCTGAGCAGGCCCTGTGCCCTTATAAAACAAAAACAGAAGACATTTATGCAGCCAACAAACATGAAAAAAAGCTCATCATCACTGGTCATTAGAGAAATGCAAATCAAAACCACAATGAGATACCATCTCACGCCAGTTAGAATGGCGATCATTAAAAAGTCAGGAAACAACAGATACTGGAGAGGATGTGGAGAAATAGGAACTCTTTTACACTGCTGGTGGGAGTGTAAATTAGTTCAACCATTGTGGAATACAGTGTGGCGATTCCTCAAGGATCTAGAACCAGAAATACCATTTGACCCAGCCATCCCATTACTGGGTATATACCCAAAGGATTATAAATCATTCTACTATAAAGACACATGTACATGTATGTTTATTGTGGCACTGTTCACAATAGCAAAGACTTGGAACCAACCCAAATGCCCATCAATGATAGACTGGATAAAGAAAATGTGGCACATATACACCATGGAATACTATGCAGCCATAAAAAAGGATGAGTTCATGTCCTTTGCAGGGGCATAGATGAAGCTGGAAACCATCATCCTCAGCAAACTAACACAAGAACAGAAAACCAAACACCACATGTTCTCACTCATAAGTGGGAGTTGAACAGTGAGAACACATGGACACAGGGAGGGGGAACATAACACACTGGGGCCTGTCGGGGGGTGGGGGGCTAGGGGAGGGATAGCATTAGGAGAACTACCTAATGTAGATGATGGGTTGATGGGTGCAGCAAACCACCATGGCACGTGTATACATATGTAACAAACGTGCACATTCTACACATGTATCCCAGACTTAAAGTATAATTAAAAAAAAAAAGAACTATCATACAGAGTATGTGCTGTAGTAATTTCAGGAAACAGAAGGTCAGAGGGCTCCTTTGGGAAATATTTCAGATCCATAGCATGCTGCTGAGGTTTTGTAATTTTGAAATATAGGTGAGTACCAAAGAGACAGACAAACTAGAAAATGACCTGAAAAAATTTCAGATAGCAAGCAGCAAAGTTTTCAGACTCCATTAGCTTTTAATTGGTAGTCATGCAAATACTACTGCAAATCCAGGGGACAATTTAATGGACTTTTGGGAAGAGCAGAATTTTTAGAGAGTGCTGTTAATAGTCGTAAGAATAGTTGCAGTGACTAATCCTACTCCAAAGATATCATCACCCTCCCACCTTATAGAGCCTCTCCACTTCCCCCATTCAGTTCTAAACTGCCTGGTTTAGAAGGCAGGCAGGCATTTTGAAGCAGGTTAGATTCATGGATCTTAAAGACCTGTTTCTCTCCTTCTATCTCACAGCCCCTTTTCCCTGTCTTTTATGCTCTGTAGAGTCCCCCAGGGTATTTTCTTCCAGTGACAAAATATATGGCTACTGCCAATGTTCAGTTCACTAAGTATTGATGAATCACCAGGTACATGAATGCTCCACTCGATTCTCTGGGACCAAGAAAGATAACGAAAAGTCACTGTAAAAAATGTCCCTCATTGGTACAAATGAACTACAGAACCCTATGGTTTTTGGCATGGAAAATTAATAGGGAATGAATTCCTTCATTAGGGAAGCATAGCTGGCCAAGCAACCCTGGATGTGTCTATTTCCTGGAATTTTAACAGTCCCCCTCACCAAGCACAGATCTCAGATCCCACCACAGGCAACTCACAACATCCTCAGTCCCAGCCCTCTTCCATATTCTGGTCTGTGAGGCCAGACCAACTTCTTAACCACCTTACTGTTTTCTTTGCCTCCCAACTCTGGCTGGCCCAGAGGTGTATGCCTTACTTCCTGCAGAACATTTTCTACACTTCCCTAAGCTTTACTTGGGTCAGGACTGAGCTGCTCAGACTTTCTTAACCCCTACTTCTCCATCCCACCTTCCACCTGGGAAATTCTCATCTTCCCCAGGTGATAGTTTTAACTTGGTGAGTTATACCAAAATGAAGCTCAGTCTTCAGCTGAGACCCAGCTTCCAACATGGAAGGGAGAGCCATTCTCCATTACAGGCCCCCAGTGCTACAGAAAGGGAGCCATAACATTCACACAGCAAGAATTATGTATTTGTGGTAACAGGGGGGCCATGCTCAGTCTCATTCAAGTATGAGAAGCTTACCATAAAGCAGGAGAAATAGAACACATGCAAAAGTAACTCAAGAAATAGAATATGACAAATGTACTCAGTGGCACTGATGGAGTAGTAAAGGGGCATAAATGAGGGAGAAAACTTTTCTGAGTGTTTAAGCACAGCTTGAAGAAATGAGAGGCTTTTGAACTGGATCTTAAAGAACGAAAAAGGTTTCCATAGCAGAGATGGGCAAAAGGACAGGCAAAGAGAAAAAGCAAACCACACAGTGGGCAAAAGGAGGCGTTCCTCGGGTGTAGAAAAAAGTACACTAGGACGTGAGTCTAAAGAGCTGGGTGGGTGTGAGTATCCAAAGCCATCTCCTATGGGCTTCTTAAATGTTTTGCCTATTAACTTTTTATTTTAAACTTGAATAAAACTTTGTCCCTGTCTTAATTGTTGAATCCTTTTTCTTTTCAGGCCAGAGAAGGGGAAGTAGCCATTATCGATAAAGTCCTAGACAATCCAGACTTGACATCTAAAGAATTCCAACAATGGAAGCAGATGTACCTCGACCTTTTCTTGGATATCTGTCAAAATACCACCTCAAATGACCCACTGAGTATTTCTTCTGAAGTAGATGTAATCACTTCCTCTCTAGCACACACTCATTCATACATTGAAACGCATGTCTAAATGTATTCTGCCTTCAGACCATCTAGTACCTGCTGGTACTCTGAACAAGTATATAAGGTAGTTTTTATATCAATGTGTGGAACACTTGACAAGCTATACTTTAATGTTACCAAACTATATGAAACAAACCATATATGGTCACAATACCACTATCTTTAATGAGCATTTGTATATTTTATATGCAACAGTGCTCAGCTTATGTTTACCATGTGCAAAATCAACTGTCTTTAATGACTTAAAATTAACTTTTGCAAACAATTCTAAATACAGGTGGTCTTCAAGTAGTAAAACCACAAAAGGCAGTTTTCTATCTATGGTCATCTTTTCTCCCTTTAAGTTAATTTTATATAAACAAGACTTCAAAAGTAAATCACATTTTTTCAGGTGCAGACATCCTTGTGGGTGGGAAAGAATTTAAACCTTTTTTATATTTATTAAAATGTTCTAAGAATTTTCTTAAACATTGCACAAAGTTTAATGCTGTAGTTTTATTTTTGTGAAATGTAGATGCGCATACAAGAGCTAAGCAAAATAGAAGAGCATCGACATAAGAAAAGTTCAGGTATCTAATATTCGTCTTAATAGTCTATTAACTTGTGAAAGCTAAGTTAATGGAAATATTATTCCAAATCTATGAGAACACTTGGTGTATCAGGGCAAAGCTTTGTAAGATGTTTTTGTAACTAAGACCAAAATTGAAGATAGAGCTGCTTTATTTTCTTGGTTTAAATCTTCCTTTATTTTTGTAGTGATGAGATGCTGATTGTGTACAGAAGAATTTGAGAGGGGATTTTTAAAAACTGACTTAACACACCCAGAAAGGCAGCTAACAGCTATATATATATATAAATTTCAGCCCAAACTCATGTTTTTAAACTCCAACTCTTAAAAGACAACAAGGTATAAACTGAAATGAATCAACTTTCCACTTAGTTTCCAATTTTCCCCTAGTCCACTAATTAAACTTAGGTAATTATACTTCAGGTAGGGAAGTACAATATGTTTAGTTTCAGGCTGATGTGTGTTATAAAAAACAACACTGAAAAATAAAAATGTACTTCCCTTCTAAGGAGCAAGCAGGTGATGGTCATTCAAAGAGATGTCACATTGAATTATGAGAGAAACAATTTAGAGGTTTTTTTCCTGGCTTCATGAATTGTTCTATAGAGTGGATGAAGTCTAAGGAAAAGTCCTCTTCATATATTTCCATTTATAAGCGTCTTGTTTTTGAAAGTGATCACAGCATGAAAATGACTGTGCTGCTTTTTAGTGTCTGGCTGCATAATGTACAAGTCACAATTTGCTGTTTTTTTCAGGAGGAGAAAGGGAACCTCCTTTACTATTCTATATCCTAAAATCTACTTCTAATCAGCTTTATACTGTTGCCTGTACAGCTCAGTGAATGTACTTTCATCTTTAAGAGTTCAGATATATGCCAGTGAATATTTTTGCTGTAGAGGAGAAAGTAAAAACTCCACAGCGGGGATCTTTTTCTTTGCTTTTGAAACCACCATTGAATCACTATCGTTTTGCAGACTTTGCACAACTGTACAGGAGAGTGGCCTTTCTACAGCACATTTTCAGTAATCCTATATTTAGTCAAAATGGATGAGAAATCATGTATTAATGTTTGTATGGAATTTTGGGTCCAGTGTAATATTTTTATCATTTAAAAAGAACTCTATTTGTAAAAACATTTATTTACTGCATGGATATTGACGCACATTAAATTTGTGGGATTTTGTATATGTAAAAAAAAAAAAAAAAAAAAAACAAAAAACCTCTTGTCCTAAAATGAAGTGTGCTTGTTAACAGGTGTTTAGACTTATTGATGTTTACTAGACCAAATGTGTATGTTCACTTAAAAATATATGTACCTGATGGATGTGTCATGTTTACAGTGGCCAGGTTGTGGCCTGTAAACAGCAAGCAGTTGACGGGAAGACTAGCTCTGTTGCTACTAAGCAGCTTTTACTTTTGTAAAGTCAGCTCTGTTGTTTTAAATGGTAAAAATTAAACTAATGAATTTGACAAGACTCGTGGCTAGCCTAGCATGAAAGAGACCTTTTAACACTATATAATATCTGTACATTTTATTGCATTCGTTTCAAATCTAGGAGAGAGGCAGCACTGTAAACTGAAGTCAAATAAATTCAGCTCTTAATGAATCCTTATAAAGCACCTACTTTATTCATGCAAAGTCCTTACCACATTTCTTTGTGACCTAATTATACAGCCACCACCCCCCACCCTAGTTTCGAGTTCTAACTTTGCTGCCTCATTGGTGATACAAGCCAAAAGCAGCACCTGTTCAGTATATACAAGTGTCTTATCTAAGACCCTGAAAAATCAAGCTCGTTTCCCATTTACCTGAGACGAAGTTTAAAACTTTACCTATTCCTCTTTCCTTTCTCTGTGATTCTTTTGGGGGAAGTGGGGGTAACCACCAAAAATTGATTTTTTTTTACAAATATAATCTACAGTATGTCTGCAGAATGAACATTTAAAAGAGTATGAAAGAAATCAGTTTTTGTTTTGTTTTGGTTAGACATTCCACTTAACCAGAGGATCCTGATTATTATGGCTAAGGGTTGATGAAATGTGACTTAAAACCAGTGAGCTGTCTAAAGTCAGGGCAAAAGCAGCCTAGGGTGACACCGGTGACAGAAAAATTTAAGGATACTTTCTAGATTAAAAAAAAGTGCTTAGAGATTTTTTTTTTCCTTCTCAGTTCCATATTTATATCAAACCATCAGAGCAGAACTGTAACCATGGCTCCGGATCATAAAATCATAGTTCTCCTTACAATGATTTCATGGTATTTAACCAAGGCACTCTCCTTTCACTATTTATTCAGATAATGCCATCTCCTAGGACTTAATTACAGCCTTTATAGCCAACAATTTTCTGAGTTTTGTATAAACTTCCTGTGGTACATTTTTTGGCCTTTTTTTTTTTTTTTTTTTTTTGGCACATAAGTAATCACTGTTTTGCACCTAGGGAAACACTTTAACTGTAAGAGGGAAAATAAGGTCATATTTTATTTGTGAAAGTCCTTCTCTAGCCTTGCGTGAGCCTTTCTAAAAATTTTCTTTCACCAGCTCACTGAAGTTGATTCATATAGCCTTCTATTTGACCCCCCGCCCCGCTGTCTCCCATTCTCAGCTCAAGGAGAAATGTTTCTCTTTGCTCAAGGCCTTGTTTGCCTGTTAACCTTCAGAAGCCACTCTGCTCCCAGAATCCCTTTCTTAGAAAAAGCCCATCCGTTGCTCTGTAAGACTAACCAAGCGCGACTTTCTCCTCCATTGCGGAAGGAAACCGGACTGACCCATTCAGCCCAGCACCAAATCTAGCGCCTCTCCAACCTCTCCCTCCCTCTCGTCGTCCCCACCCTCGGCCAGCTGCAGCACTGCGCACCGCAGGCCGCTCCAGGCCCAGGGCAACGCGCAGCCGATGTCCTCCCAACGGTCCAGGTCGAGGTCGTAGCCCACTACGTTGCGGGTAGGCACCTGGCGCGAGTCCCGCCACTTGAGGCCGCCCAGCAGCAACGCTGTCTCCTCGACCACGGCCAGCCCATAGCAGAAGCGGTCGTAGGGCAGCGGCCGCAACCGAGTCCACTGGTCGGCGCCGGGGTCGTAGCGCTCGATCTCAGAGAAGGGCTCGTATCGCCCCAGAAAAGCAAACACAGCGCCGCGCAGCACTGCCATGTGGTGCCCGAAACGTGCGGTGCCCATGGGTGCCTTCTTGCTCCAAACCTGCTCCTCAGGGCCCAGGACGTATAAGTCCCGGAGGCTGCTCGCTCCGCCCTCGCCTCTCCCTGCCTTGCCCCCCGAGATGTACACAACACCGCGGTCCCCGACGGCCCCCGCGTGACCGTGCAGAGCCCGCGGTAGTGCCCCAGCCGCCGTCCAGCGGTCCCGACGCAGGTCGTACATCTCCACCGAGGCCAGCACCTCACCGCCCGCACCCAGGCCCCCGACGGCCAGGAGCCTCTCGCCCACCGCGCCGCACCAGAAGTGGGCCCGCGCTTCCCGCATGGCGGGCACTTCCGTCCAAGCGTGGAAGCGCGGGTCGTAACGGTGCACTTGGGCCGTGACCACCCGCGAGTCGTCGGCCAGGGGAGAGGATGCACTGCCGGAAGGGCTCTCCCCACCCAGGACAAACAGGAAGTTGCCCGCGGTGCACACGCTGTGCCCCAGCAGTGGTGTGGGTAGCTGCGTAAGGCTGCGCCAGCGGTGATTGTACACATCGAAGGCCACCACGTTCTGGGTGAGCTCCCACTCCTCCTCCTCCTCCTCTTCCTCCAACTCTTCCTCTTCTTCCTCGGGCTCTGGGGCGGCGACCTGGCCCCTAGCTGCCCTCTGCGGGGCCGCGACCTCCTCAATCACCACCTCCCGTGCCCTGCGCCCCCCCACCAACAAGATGCGGGTCTGGGGGCTCCGGATGCTGGTCTGCTCGCCCTGCATGAGCGGCTGGCGGGAGGGCGTCGTGTGGTAGTTGAGGGCCTGGATGATGAGGCCCTTGACCCGGGCGGGCAGCACGAGGCCAGAGCCCGAGTACACGCGCCGCAGTACGTCGGCGGGAACCAGGCCAAAGCGGACACGCTCCAGCAACTCTGTACAGTGTGCCAGGCGCTCAGTTGTGGGCTCCTGCCGCAACCAAGCTAACGCCAGGCCCAGTAGCCGGGCCTCGGGCACCCGCGCCACGTCGGGGGCACCCAGTACAGCCCTCAGCGATGTAGGGTTGAGCTCCAGGAGTCCCGCGGGGCCCGCGCCCCGCGCCAGCAGCTCCTGCAAGTGGCTCACGATGCAGCGCTCGGCCGCGTCCAGCGTGTGAGCCAGGCCAAAGCGCGCTGCCACGTTGGCGGCGAAGCAGCAGTTCTCTGGAGCCAGCTGGCGCTCCAAGTAGCGCCCACAGAGCCCCAGGGCCTCAGTGACCTGCAGGTAGCTGGCGGCCTCCAGAGTGTCCTCTACAGTGTCCATGGAAAGCGACAGCCAGGCAGTGTAGATGAAGTCCAGCAGGCGCTGCAGGCCGGCTGCCGATGGCACGTGCAGGTGGATCACGCGCGCCCGGGATTCCTGGGTGTGGCTCTTGAACAGGGCCCTGAAGTAGTCACTGGAGCACGCCAGGAGCGACCTGTGCGCCGGGAATTCGCTGCCCTCGGTCTCCAGTGTCACGTCGCACAGGAAGCCCTCGGCGCGCAGGGCCTGGTAGCCGGTGAGCAGCGCGCCGCCATGAGCTTTGCAGTAAGACAGGAAGTAACTCATTCTACCCAGGGCTGGAAGCAGCCTGGTGGGACCAGAGGCCTGCTGGGCAGGGCCGGAGGCATCCCGGGGCACAACACTCCCGGGACCCCCGCGTAAGCCACAGAGCCCCTAGCAGGGGCCCATTTCTGCCTGCTCAGTTTAAAGCCCAGGGCTCCTTCATCCAGACCTGCAGATCGCCCAGTGCCCCTCTCAGAGCAAATCCAGTCTGGAAACGGTTTTCGGAGGCCCCTAGTAACGGAGGGCGCGGAATTTGGAGGCTTCCCGGGAGTGTGGGGCTTGGTTTCCACGACTGCCGAGGCTTCCAGCGCGTTGCCCGAAGTCCCCTCCCCGGCCCAATGTGGAGAGCCCACACCTGCACGCCAGGGGCGGCGGTGGCTGCACACCATCACCTGGAAGAACCGAGTTGCCGGTGGACTCCGGGGGTGCTGGATGTCCGACGGCGCAGATGCGGCGTCCCGGGAGTGCAGGGCGAGGACTCTGACCTCTCCGGGGTGGACGAGGAGGACGGGTTCTGCGGGCACCCGCGAAGGCCGGGGACAACTGGTCACGGGGCAGTGGGGGGGTGAGCTTGTTCCGCGCGGAGGATCAACTCAAAGCCTAGGGGATTAGGGAGGGGAGGGCGCAGGTCAGAGCGGCGGGTCAGAGGCGTGATTGGGCGCCGCACATAACATGCCGGTAGCTCACAGCGACAGGAATAGCGCGCCGCCTCGGCCTCCCGGGCGCGCCCCGCCCCGTGCCCTGACTGCTGGCCGCGAACCGAGGGCACGGGCGCGGGTGAAGCGGCCCGGGCCAAGGGCTTGACTCCAGTGACCCTACTGGCCACCAGTGTCACCAGAGGGTCCCAGGAACCCGGTTGGGGTTGCGGGAGCCGGAGTTCACTGGAGAGGCACGAGTCGCCGGAGCCCCTCGACCCGGTAGTGTCGGCGGAGGGGCGTCCGGCTGGGCAGGAGGAGTGTAGACCTCCCGGTGTCCCTGTGTCTGGGAAAGAAGCCCTGGCTCAACTTTCTGCTTTGAAGAGGCCCTAATTAATCCAGCGGGAGCGAGGATTAAGCTGCGACTTTGCGCGCTGACACCCAGTAGGCCGCTGCGCGCTGAAGAGGCACTGGCGGGAACCACGCCCGGGCGAATCCCAAGCTCCCCGCCAGCGGCGCTAGGTAACGTGTCCCTCACCTGGACTCACCCTTGAGAGATTCTGGGCCTACTCTGAGCCCTTCCTGAGGCAGCTCGCGTCTCCCAGGCTGGCTCGTTTCACCTTTGTTCCCACGCCCGTTCCCAGACCTCACCTGAGTTTTCCCTTCCTATTCTTGGACCCTGCCCCGACCCATCCCTTTGCAGCATGAACAAGGAAACTGTGGTTGACTTGGATTTTCTGCCACTCATTGTACACTTCCTTTGGGGAAAAAAAAAAAAAGTCATTCCTTCCAATTTCTCTCCCCGATTTTCCACGCTCTGATCTAATTACTGGCTGCTACATCCTCGATGTTATCCCGGGATAATGAGCCGTACGGTTGCAAGCTCGGTAAAGCTGGAATTTCGTAGGGCCCTTCCTCATAAAGTTATTTTTTACAAGAAACGCCCCAGCATGGAAATGACTAAAACCAGCCTGATCTTGAGACTTTAGGAAAGCATCTCTCCATCTCCATCCTGTTCTTAAATAACTAAATGATTAATATAACTGGTCTTTTTCTTTCTTTCTATTTATTTTATTTATTTATTTATTTATTTATTTATTTATTTATTTATTTATTTTTTGCCAATTTGGAGACTTCTTTTGCTTTCATCTGGGATTGATTTTTCTATTTTCTAGTGCAACCCCTCTGGCAGCCTTTTTTAGGTGAGCCTTTTGAGGGCATCTGTAATAACTCGTATTTCTGACAGCTGGGGTTGTATTTCATAGGGAAAAACAGTTCAAGGAAGGATAAAATTATGTCATTTCCTACCTGGCATGCCATTAGTACTTACAAGGTCTCCAATTAGAAGTAATTCTTTAAATGCATAAAAGTATTAGTAAAATGATTTTGCTGTCAAAGATGAAACTGCATTATGACTTAAATTAGCCAAATTATAAAGTGCAGGCAGGGGCTCCAGTTGGGCTTCCTTAAACTCCAGAGGCTAAAAATACTCCAATTTGAATTCCTAATGTTAGAGCTAAAGCTGGGTTGGGAGGGCAGGTGCTGGATTTGTGGGGATTTGGGGGTTTTAGCATTAAAATTATTGATTCACAAGTAAAATACCAGTTTGGTTCACTTTGCACAGATCTACATTTTGAATTCAAATGGCCTTTACCCAACCCAATAGAATTTTGCTAGAAGGGATTTTTGAGATCATTTAGTCAAACTTTGTCCCTTTTCTCTGAAATCTTGTTTTTCTTTTTAAACAAATGTGACAAACAAGCCCCAGTGAGAGTACGGTTTGTCTGGATGACTTGGATATTAAGTTACCAAGTCTGTACTAGAATCAAGGGCTCCCTCCCCACTATATTATGTGAGCTTATGTATGATAAAAATAAAATTGTGCAACACACAGTTTATTTAAGCCAAATAGGGTGATAAAGTACACTTATCCCCTTTTCAACTTAAAGCTGTTTAAGTAGGTCTTTTAAACAGCATATATTTAATCCAGAAATTGTATCTTATCCCATCTGATCTGTCCATCACCATGCTTCCAGATTGAATCCAAAATGTTACACTTACTTGAGAATAAAGATGCCGTGAGAGACTTTAAACTCTTAACATCAAAAATCCAGTTTTACATAACAAGTATGTGTTTATTGCTGGCCCAACATGCTACCTTAACATATTTTGCCATTGAAGGTTTAATGAACTGTGTTAACTGAATATGTTTTCATATTAGGTGTGTTTATAAGACCTTCTTTAGAAAATGTAACTGTCAGTCTATCTAAAAAAACATTGTCCTTTGAGTAATATATATGAAAAATATAAGTATTTTAATTTCTGTGCAATTTTTTATTTTTAATTTTTGTGGGTACATGGTAGGTGTATATATTTATGGAGTACATGAGATGTTTTGATACATACATGCACTGTGAAATAAGCACATAATGAAGAATGGGATATCCATCCCTTAAGCATTTATCCATTGAGTTGCCAACAATCCAATTGTACTCTTCATTTTAAAATGCACACTTCTTATTGACTATAGTCACCCTGTTGTGTTATCAAATAGTAGGTCTTATTCATTCGGTTTTTTAATCCACTAACCATCCTCACCTCCCCAGCCCCCACTACCCTTCCCAGCCTCTGGTAACCATCCTTCTACTCTCTGTGTCCATGAGTTCAATTGTTTTGATTTGTGCAATATTAAGTATGCTAAATAAAATTTCAGTGTGTGCTTTTTAAAGTTGTTGTAGATGTGTATCTTAAGTTGGTGTCAGTCTGTTTCGGCTGCTATTACAAAACACCGTAGTCTGGGTAATTTATAAACAATAGAAATTTATTGCTTACAGTTCCAGAGGCTGATAAGTCCAATATCAAATTGCCAGCAGATTTAGTGTCTAGTGAGGGCTCTCGCCTTCATAGGTGGTGCCTTCTGACTGTGTACTCACGTAGCAGAGGGGTGAGGAGCTAACAAACTCCCTCAGGGCTCTTTTGTAATGACACTCCTCACCTCCCAAAAGTCACACTTCTTAATACTATCATATTGGAGATTAAGTTTCAACATATGAATTTCAGGAGGACGTATACATTCAGACCATAGCGATTTGGGTTCCCTAGAAGCACGCTTTGTGACCCAACCTGAAGGAATGTTGATAGACAGATCTAACAGGGTGAAGTCATTATGTTGAAAATGATCTACTTATGAATTGCCTTCCCTTTTAGGCTATAAATTCCAGAGGGCAGGGACTGTTTCTTGGTCTTTGTATCTGCAGCCTCTGTCATGGTCTTTGGCATAAGTAATGTTGAGTCGAACAGATACAGGAAAGGAGTAAAGGGTTATTTAAAGGAACTTGATAGGGATAATTACTTCCTTATCTCTTGTTCTCCTTTCCCTCACACAGCTAGGATTTAGGACACATCCTGGTAAGGCCATGAGCTTACATCCCTAGAAATCAAGTGGATGACCATGGGTGGCCCCCAACTAAGGAGTCCAGGTGGACTCAACTCCTTTGAGAAAGCCTTACTATCTCGTGCAGCCCTGCAACTCCAGTCTAACCTCACATGCCTCTCAGCACCCAGTCACACGTACTGCTACTCCTCCTACCCAAATGCAGGGCCCCAGATGCCCCAGGTGCCCATCTTGCCCCAGTACACCCTCTATGCCCCAATTTATATGGCTGGGCTTCTGTTGAAGGCCCAGCTACTCACCCCAGAATATCTATTGAGACCCTGCAATTTGCCCTGAACCCCCTACCCCTCGTCAGGACAGTGAATTGCTGTCCCTGATCCCTTCATGCATCTTCACGTCCTGTGACAGACCCTAGAACTAAAGTCTTCCAAGCACTCACCTCACTTCCCACATCAAAACGGCTATGCTCATCAGCCACAGCACTCCACTTTTCTCCAACTGGCCCTCCCTAGCTAAATCTAAATTACAGAGTTCTTGCCACCTCTAAAATAATTGTATGTGTTTATAGAAATCCAAAATTATGAACTTCCATGTATAATGGCCATTTAATTTTTTTTACAAATTTAATGTGCTCTTTTTGTTAATAGATTTATCAAGATATAATTCCATATCATACAATTCATCCATTTAAATTGAACAGTGGTTCTTAGTATATTCGGAGTTGTGCAACCATCACCACAGTCTAATTTTAGAATATTTTCATGACCTCAAAAACAAACTTCGTACCCTTTATCTGTCACCTCCCTATATCACCAATCCCCGAAGCTGTAAGCAACTGCTAATCTACTTTTTATCTCTATAGATTCTCCATATCTCATATAAATGAAATCATACAATATGTGGTCTTTTGTGACTGCTTTCACTTGGCATAATGTTTTCAAGATTCATCCATTGTAATGCACTTTTGAGGAAGAAAAACGCTTTGTATAAGGATAATATTGGAAACCTTTTCTCAAAACCATAAAACTCTGAAATTCGCCTGTTTGATATTTAGGATACAGTGTTTTGGCAGGTTAATGCTTTCTCATCTGTCATTACTGGCTCCTTTCAATCCAACTATACTTCTTCCCAACACATGACTTCTGGCAACCTCTATGGAGAGCCTATTATTAGAAATTGACACATAGTAAGTTTATTGTGAAAACACGATTACAAACAATAATAGACATGCAGTAGAAAAAAAATCTATGTTATCTGCACCTCCTTCTGAGACCATTTTTTGAGTATGCGAAATGTATTTTTGTGATATGCAATTCAAATGAAAGGATTTCAAGGGCTGGAGTGTGTGTATGTGTGCATGTGTGTGTGTGTTTTATTATGAGTGATTTTGACATTCTGGCTCAGCTGACAGTTTAAGGAGCAGTGTGGTGAATGGGGAAGAACTGGGCTTTGGAGTCAGACAGACTTGGTCTCCAACTCCAGATCTACCCTCATGAGACCTTAAAACAAGTAACTTAAATTCTGTGTCATTTTATTATTTTTAAAAGGAGAATACATTCATAGCACCTACATTCGTAGCACTGTTAAAATAAGATTATAATATATTTGACTGCTCCTGGCACACAGTATACACAAGAGATGCGAGTTTTTCCTTTTCCTTCCCTTGACTAAAGCCTTCTGAAAATTCATGCTACCAGAGCCCAAGCAGTCAGGAATTGTAATAGAGGAGTGGGTTGTCAGTGATCCTCCTATAGCATCACCTGGAAACCTGCTATGAAACATAGATTCTCAGCCTCATCTCAAACCTGCCAAATCAGAAACTCTGGAAGTGGGACGCAGTAATCTGTTTTAACAAGCACTCTCCATGATTCTGATGCATGAGAAAGTTTGAGAACCACTGTCATAGAGGATTATTAATAATTTCTGCTGCATTCTAAATTCACCATTCTCGGTGACAACTTCTGGCTGCGATGTCAGTGTTTTTCAAAAAAGGAAGGAAGTCTACTAGTTCCAAAAGATCAGAAGTCAGAGACCTAGAGGGGAAAAACTAGTGGCCACTGCCCCTTGTTATATGACTTAGTAATATACTGTGGTCTCTTTTGCCCTTCTCACTCCTGCAAGATGACAGTGGATCACTGAGGCATGAGATGATGACTTGGTAAGCAACACATTTTCCCAAACAACATTTGATTGAATATTCAAATCAGAAGGTACTTGTATCCCCCCTTTTCCATCTGGATGCCACATTTTCAGAGGCTCTTGGATGAATTGGGGAATACCTGAAGAGGCCAGCCAAAGGAGGTGGGAATTGGAAACATTCTTCCTCATTTAGGGAGGAGGTAAAGAATCTGGAGATTTTAGGCTAAGAGAAAAAGCCCCTCCGGGGGTTAAATGATCATTATTTTCAACCTTCTGAAGGGCAAAAAGAAGCAGAGGTGGTCTCGTGGCTACAGAGGGCAGACCTGGGACCAGTTAGTAGAAGTTACAAAGAGTAATGTCGTCACGGGATAAATCAGGACCTCTTGCCAATTTAGAATCTTGAAAGAAAAGGTACAAGTAGAAGAAATAGAACATGACTGGCCATAAGAAGAATTACCTAAGGCTTGCAGAAGAGAGGGAACTTGTCCAAGGTGCCATGGTTTAGCAGACCCCATTGGAGCCCCGCCCATAACCCTTTGATCCATTTGTCATTTGGGGGCCCACCGATCTCAGTGGCTTTTGCTCCAAGCAGCCAGCACGTGCATCGCTTTGTGGGCAGACCCTTCTGTTCTGCTGGAGTCCACCTTGCCTGTGCATGTGAAGAGAAGCAAAAGCACCTGCAAATGTACTTCTCCAGGGGGACCTCCCTTAACCAACGATTGACAGGCAGGGTGGCAGCAGGTATACAAACACCCTAGCTCCCTTTCCAGGTGTGACCCACACCATTTCCAGAGCTCCCCTATGGGATTGAGCCAAAATTATCTTCTGTGGGAGCATGCTTGGTGTCATACATTGGCTTGATCCCCTTCCCTTCCCTTCCCTGTCTCACATTGCCACCCGCTTCCTATCAATCTTTTCCAGGAACACTTCCTACTAAGTCACTTTCACACGAATCCTCACCTCAGAAGGAACCCCTGCCTTGCTAAACACCACCCAAGCCTCTCAGCCGGCAGTTTCAGGTGGATGGTGGGGCACAGGGTGGGCATGACACATACTACATCCACAAAGGGCCATCTGTCATTTGCTTGCAGACATGCATAAAACAAAATTGATATATTGTGTAGGTAGACATGTAAGCCCAGTGGCACACCTGGTCCCAGAAATCAAGACAACAAGACTGGGTGTCTTGACCTTCACCCCTCTGGTCTTTCAGGACTGATGTGGAAGCCAAAATGAACTCCAGAGTCCTTTCAAACCCAACATGCCACAGTTGAGTGCCACTGCTCCCTTAAGTTCCATCTGCAACTAGCATCTAAATGTGAACTTTACCTGAAGTCTTTGCTTTATGGGATTGACTGTGTTCTTTGTTACTTCCTCCCCGGCCCGTCCCCAAGGCTGACCACTGCCCACTACACCCACCCCCCTACCCCCAGCTTTTCTCCACACCTCACATGGCTTGAAGCTGTGTTCAGCTGCTTTCTTCCAATATTTCTCTCTCCTTCTTACATGGGATGACCTCATGTTCATTTCTACATTCTACAACAGCTCACACGCTCAGTCCTACTTTCATGTGTTTTTGTGCATGTGGCTTGCCAGGGCTTGGCTGCCACTGAGCTTTGTACCTGATAGTTTCCAAAGGGGCAGTCGGTGACTTTGATAACATTCTTAATAAGAGAGATTCAAACCATTTGTCAGTTCCCTGTGGATGTGTGTTTCTGACAGTGTGACTGGGGACCACCAGCATTTGAATCTGCAGAACTTGTTAAGATGCAGGTTCCTGGGCCCCACCCTAGACCAACTGGCTCAGAATCTCCAGGTGTGGCAGGAGTGGGAAGTGGCTGAATCTTTAACAAGCTTCCCAGGTGTTTCTCACTCCAAAGCAGCGCTACTCAGTGTGTGTGGTCAGCCAACCAGCAGCATCAGCATCACCTGGGAACATTTTAGAACTGCAAATTATCAGCCCTCACCCCAAACCTGCTGAATCAGAAACACTGGGGATGGGGTCCAGCCATCTGTACTTTATCAAGCCCTCCAGGGGATTGTGATGTGCACTAAGGTTTGAGAAACGTTTCTCTAAAGTTTAAGAACCACTTATGTAGAATTTCAATCCATTCATTCAAAAAATATGTCTATTGTGTTCCAGGTGCTATGGTTTATCAGACCTCATTCTGCTAGGCTCTGATGGTACCATGATGAGCAAATCAGTCAGGGGTCCTGCCCTTGAAGAGCTTAAGCTTTAATGGATTCCATATCATGTTGCTGCTTCAGTATGTCTTCTAGGTTCTCAAGACAATCCAGCCTTTATGGTTCCTTTCATGAGGTCTTTGCCGCTTCTACTTCAGTAGACAATAAACTATCTAAGTAGAAGACTCCAATGCCAGTTCCCAAGTGACTGCTGTTAAGTTCCAGACCTCGGACCTGGCTGATGGGTTTCTTAGAGAGGGGTGGAACATACGATGTCAGCCAGTCTCACCCTGCACCAGTTCCCCAAATCAGCCCACAGTGAAGTGGCTTGGCTGTTAGTATCATATCCCACAAAGAGTCAGCTGTCATCCACTTACAGATGTGTACAACGAACCAAGCCCATGACTTTTGATAGTTGGACTTTCTTTGGAAAGGCACAGCACCACTCTGACATCAATATCAGAGTCTCTTATGCATCTTTCAAATGGCTGCATAGTACAAACCAAGTCATACAATGGGAAGTGGCTCGGATATGTCATCTGAGCACAGAAATATAATCATGGAACAGCCTTGGAGTGTTAGTAAATGTCTTCGATCACTCACCTGTTTAAGGAGTTGCAAAGGCTGGGACTTCAAATGCTTTTTTTCAACGAACACTCTTCAATAGAGATATTATACTCCTTCCTGAACTGTCCCTGTGTCTGACACATGACGAATATGTCAACTGTGCCAATTGCTTCTGCTATTTTCAGAACCCCTTTCTAATGATGCTGGTCAGTGACTAATCGGGAAAAATTCTAACCAAGGTCTTGCCAACAGGGGAGAGATTATGGAATAGTTTGCTCTCAACTGCTTATAGAATTCTTAAAGATATTTATAATATTAACAGCCTCAAAATCTTGTGCCACTTGTCCAGGGTTTTATTTCTTAAGAAATATTCTCCAAAAGTGTCTATTAAGAGTTACCTGTACAATCATGAGCAAGAAATGGTCATTAAAAAGTAACAGCCCAAGTGACTGTTTTCTGATCAATATTTCATGTCACTCAGGAAGTCTCAGTTTGACCTCCAAGCAGGAGACACTTTCCACTAAAGCAGCCAGATTTGCCCTGCCCTGTCACCCTACAAAGAGCATTTTGCCACCAGAATATGAGGACACTGGGCAAGAGCTTCCAAAGCCTGTCCATTGTAGGAGGACCACTCACCATCGTTCCAAGAGTCAATGAACATAACAGCCACCTAGCTGGCCCCAAACCCTCCAGCTTCCTTTAATAGTTCAGTTAAAATGGCACCAGCTCCCTTCTCATAGATGGCAGCAAAACCCAGTATTGCCCCAAGAATGCTGAGGAAATGTGGGGGCTTACATTTTTCCCGATAACTCCCTGCTCTAATTCTGGCTTCTGCTGACACCTCCATCTCCCTCATGTTTTGCTTCTTAGGATTATTCCCTACTCTTCACTCTGCACTCAGCCACCCATGCAGCACAGTCCCAAGCCTTTATTCTCCCCCTTGATTTCTCATACAACCTGTGAAGGACTAAGAAAGCTTTTACTGAAGACTTGGGTGGGATGGGCACAGTAAAGCAGCAAAGTGTAGAGTAGCAGATAAAACCAATAACCAATAATTCCTGTTTTAAAACGTGTCGGCTTGTCCTCCCCAGGGCCACCGTGTCATGTTGCTGGCCCTGGCCCTGTCTCCTCCCCTTCTCCTCTTTTGCCCCGCCCACCACTACTACCCTCCTCTCCCAGACTGGTCCCACAGAAACCCAAAATACATACAATTTCATTGTTCAGAGCACTTCAGCCTCCTCTCTTCCTAAGCAGTTTTGCCTGGCCAGTCCTGACTCGTGTGTGTGTGTGTGTGTGTGTGTGTGTGTGTGCGCGCAATACATTTTAAAAATTAGCATTTTAACAATTTGTAGATGTACATTGGCATTAAGTACATTCACATGGTTGTATAACCATCACCATCATCCATCTCCAGAATGTTTTCATTATCCCAAACAGAAACTCTGTATCCATTAAACAATAACTCCCCATTCCCTTTCCCCATCGCCCTTGGTAACCATCATTCTACTTTCTGTTTCTATGAATTTGATTATTCCAGTTACCTCATATAAGTGGAATCATATTTGTCTTTGTATATCTGGCTTATTTCATTCAGCATAATGTCTCAAGATTCATCCATGTAGTTAAATGTGTCAGCACTTCCTTTTTAAGACTGAATAATATTCCATTGTCTGTATATGCCGCCTTTTGTCCATTCATTTGTCAATTGACATTTGGGTTGTTTCCACCTTTTCCCTATTGTGAATAATGCTGCTATGAGCATTGGTGTACAAATATCTATTTCAGTCCCTGCTTTCAGTTCTGTTGTGTATATACCCAGAAGTGGAATTGCTGGATATTGTGGTAATTCCATGTTTAATTTTTTAAAGAACTGCCATACTGTTTTCTACATCGTCTACACCATTTTACATTCCCACCAGCAGTGCACAGTTTCTCCACATCCGTGCCATCACTTGTTGTCTGTTTTATTTTTTATTTTTGTAATAGCTATCGTAATGGGTGTGAGGTGGTATCTTGTTGTTTCAATTTGCATTTCCCTAATGATTAGTGATATGAACATTTCATGTGCTCAGTGACCATTTGTGTATCTTCTCTGGAGAAATGTTTATTCAAGTCCTTTGCCCATTTTTTGAATTGGACTGTTTGGTTCTTTTGTGGTTGAGTTGTAGGAGTTCTTTATATTTTCTTGATATTAATCCCTTATCAAATATGTGATTAGCTAATATTTTCTCCCATTCTGTGGGTTGCCCTTTCGCTATATTGGTAGTGTCCTTTGAAAAACACAAGTTTTTAATTTTGATGAATTCCAATTTATTATTTCTTATGTTGCTGGTGCTTTGGGTGTCATACCAAGAATTCATTGCCAAATCTAATGTCATGAACCTTTTCCCCTGTTTTCTCATGAGTTGTATAGTTTTAGCTCTTATGCTAATTAGGTCTTTGATCCATTTTGGGTTAATTTTTTTTTTTTTTTTTTTTTTGAGACAGGGTCTCACTGTGTTACCCAAGCTGGAAGGCAATGGCACAATCACAGCTCACTGCGTCCTCGACCTCCCGGGTTCAAGTGATCCTCCTGCCTCAGCCCCCAAAGTGCTGGTATTACAGGGGTGAGCCACCCTGCCCAGCCTTGAGTTAATTTTTATATATGGTATAAGGTAAGAGTCCATCTTCATTCTTTTGCAGGTTGATATCCAGTTTCCTCAGTACCATTTTTTTATTATTATTATTTTTAATTATACTTTAAGTTTTAGGGTACATGTGCACAACATGCAGGTTAGTTATATATGTATACATGTGCCATGTTGGTGTGCTGCACCCAGTAACTCATCATTTAACATTAGGTATATCTCCAAATGCTATCCCTCCCCTCTACCCCCACCCCACAACAGGCCCTGGTGTGCGATGTTCCCTCCCTGTGTCCATGTGTTCTCATTGTTCAATTCCCACCTATGAGTGAGAACATGCGGTGTTTGGTTTTTTGTCCTTGCGATGGTTTGCTGAGAATGATGGTTTCCAGCTTCATCCATGTCCCTACAAAGGACATGAACTCACCCATCAAAAAGTGGGTGAAGGATATGAACAGACACTTCTCGAAAGAAGACATTTATGCAGCCAAATGACACCTGAAAAAATGCTCGTCATCACTGGCCATCAGAGAAATGCAAATCCTCAGTACCATTTTTTGAAAATAGTGTCTTTTCTCCCATTGAATGGTCTTGGCACGCTTCTCAAAGATCATTTGACAGTATATCTGAAAGTTTACTTCTGGGCTATCTATTCCAATCATCTGTATGTCTGTCTTTATGCCAGTACCACCCTGTTTTGATTACTCTAGCTTTGTAGTAAGTTTTTAAATCAGGAAGTGTGAGTCCTCCAACATTCTTCTTCTTCAAAATTGTTTGGCCTATTAGAGGTCCCTAGATTCCTATGAATTTTAAGATGCAATTTTCTATTTCTGCAAACAAATATCATTAGGATTTTACTAGGGATTACATTGAATTTGTCAATTGTTTTGGGTAGGATAGACATCTTAACAATATTAAATCTTCTAATCCATAAACATGAGATTCCTTTCCATTTATTTATGTCTTTAATTTCTTATTTTTATACATGATAGTTTTTAATATACATCTGAGCTAAAGACCAAACACTGACAGTAGGTGAAAAACAAATAGTAAGTTTGTTAGCCTACACTTAAACCTCAAACAAAAGAGATGACTTTTTGTTTATCTAACAAGTTCTGCATTGATTACACACCATAAGTAATAGTATATAAAAACACATTTGTATTTAGTAAGAATATTTTATTTCTTGGGTCATATATTTCAACTAGGTGGTCTAGTATAGTTGGTACTTTCGAAGTTTAACTACATTAGAAGAAAGTGTGGTGTGAAATATAAGTACACTGTTGTTGGAACTGAACTATAAAGCCGGAAGTAGACGTACTTGCTTCATGAGGTTGTAATTCTTAAGTCTATCTTATTTCATTTCATTTTACATTTTATTTTACTTTAGATTCAGGAAGTATATGTGCTTATTTGTTGCATGGGTATAATGCATATTGGTGGAGATTGGGCTTCTAGTGTACCCATTACCCAAATAGTGAACATTGTACCAGATGGGTTATTTTTTACCCCACACCCCCCTTCCACCCTCCCCTCTTTTGGAGTCCCCAGTGTCTATTATTTGCATCTTTATGTCCCTGTGCACCCATTGTTTAGCTCCCGCTTATAAGTGAGAGCATGCAGTATTTGGTTTTCTGTTCCTACGTTAGTTTGCTTAGGAGAATGGCCTCCAGCTCCATCCATGTTGCTGCATAAGATATGATTTCATGCTTTTTATGGCAGCCTAATATTCCGTGGTGAGTATATATATATATATATATATATATATATATATATATATATAATGTTTTATTTATCCAGTCAACTGTTCATGGATACTTAGGTTGGTTCCCTGACTTTGTTATTTTGAATATATGAGGGTAGTTGTCTTTTTTATATAACGATTTATTTTCCTATGGGTAGATACCCAGTAGTGGGATCATTGGGTCACCTGGTATTTCTATTGAATTATTTCAGAAATCGCCACACTATTTTCCACAGAGGTTGAATTAATTTACATTCCCACCAACAGTGTATAAGCATTCCATTTTCTCTGCATCCACCCCAATATTTGTTGTTTTCTGACTTTTTAATAATAGCCATTCTGTATTTATGTCTTTAATTTCTTTTTAGCAGTGTTTTTTTAGTTTTCAGTGAACAAGTCTTTTACCTCCTTGGAAAAGTTAATTCCTAAGTATTTTATTATTTTTGATGCTACTGGAAATTGAATTATTTTAATTTCCTTTTGGGATTGTTCATTGTTAGTATATAGAAATGCAACTGATTTTTACCTGTAGATTTCGTAATGATTTGTGACCATTAATTGGAGGGTGCACCCAAAGCTATGGTGGCCTAGTAATAACACTTTTGTTTCAGTGTACACACTAAGAATTGTGCAAGAAAATCAAACATCTTCCTGTCCTTATGGGTTTGGAACCACATTTCTTATAATTCACTCATTGCATAATAATATATAATAAAAAATTGATAGCATTTTTCTAACATACACCTATTTTCCTTGTAAATAAGCTATGTTGTTAATTTTCCCAATTTCTTTTCAAGGATATAGAAATTTCAAAATTTTGACTAAAACAAAAAGGAATAACAAAGAAAGCAAAAATACCTGAAGTCTTTCCATTTCTGTATCAACCACCATTAACACCATAGTAAACTACATATTCATATAGGTTTATAATAAGTAATTTTGCAAGGGTGGGATCATGCCACATGTGCTATTTTTAAGCCAAATTTTTCACTTAATTATGTCTTATGGAGGTATTTCCAAATAAACAAATATGGATATATGATAGATATCCTTTCTGATGTCTGTATAGTGTTTTATATAGATATAAAAAAGTTAACAAATCCTCTTCTAATGCATATTCAGATTACTTCCACATGTGCACTCCTATAAACCAAGGTACAATGAACATCATTGTACAAACCTCTTTGCCCTCCTGTGTGTTCAGCTCCTGAGGATATATATGTATATTCAAGTACATATATATGTACTTGAATATGCAAATAAAAATCTGGAAGAGAGTAAGGCTGAATATTATCAGTAATCATAACTGGGTGAATGGTAGGTAATTTTGCTCTCATCTATATTTTTTATTTTCATAGGACTATACTTTCTCATATATTTTAATGTTCATAGAGTTATAGGTAATTTTATCATCACAATTTTAATTTTTCATGGAAATATTATCAAAATAAAAGGTTTTTAGAAGCAAAAATACTGGGTACACAGAAACGAAACCAATTAATCACATATAAATACGTTATTAAGGTTTATTGGGATTATGCCAACTATTGAAAAATTGAAAAAGATAACCATGTTTCTCATAGATTAAAGTGTTTTACAAAACTTTTCTTTTTGCTGTTGGATACACCTGGAAAAACAACAGAAACACATATATTTCCATTTCTTAAAATTAAATACTTTGACATTTATATACTTAAAGCACTGGTGGCCAAAAACTGATGATCACCTATCTTCAAATGCCATACTGTTGAGTTACCCATATCCTAGGAATCTTTACTATAACCCCTAAATGTGAAGAAAGTAGAATGACCTGCCTTGTTTTTTTGCCTGTCACTGAGTAGAGTGGAAATGAATGCTGGGGAGAAATGAGAGAATTGGGGAAAGTGACCATTAGGGCTCAGTCTTTCTCTGATAGAAATAATGACTCGAAGGTCATATGCTGAATTAAGGGAAACAATAGGAATCCCAAGGATATCCTCCATAAGAACAAACCCACACCCCCAGCATGGTAACTGATCAAATGTACTCCTGCAATTAAATCAAGAATTCCACTTAGAAGAAAACATAGCACCAATAATATGAGGAAATTCTTCACAATTGCTTCAGGCTATAGAAAGACTTAACGAGAGCATGCGTTTAATAAGATAAGAGCTCAAAGATGAGATGATGAAACAGCAGAATGGAATGAAAAGAGAGATGGCAGCTTTAAGGGAAACATTAAGGATCAAACTAATATCATTTCAATACTAATACCTAAAGTAGAAACAGCAATGAAGAAATGGATAGCTAAAAACCTAATTATGGCCATAAGAGAAATACTTGGGTAATCACAGAAATATAGAATAAAGGATAAGAGATGAAGACAATTTTTAAAAATTGAATATATGTGGAAGACACATAATGATGATCCAAGATAAGGATAATTGATGTCTCTGAAATGAAGAAGCCCACTAATGACAGAAGGTATGTTTATCAGTATTATATAAGAAAATCCCCCAAAAATGAATAAATTTTCTGATTTAAAGGTTATACTTCATTCTAGGGAAATATGACACAAAACATTCGATGTTGAGACATATTCACTTTTTAAGTTTTTCAATTTTGAAATAAAAAAAATAATTGTCCAGGAAAACAACAAAAAGCATCTATGGGGGGAAATAATAAGGCTACCTCAGACTTGCTCATACTCATTAACCAGCAATTCTATACCTAGGAATGTAATCTAAGTAAATAATCAGATGAGTATATCAGATTTATATACAATGATGTTTACTGTAATATTTATAAACACTTTTTCAAATATTATGTGATATTCAAGAAAGATTCAAATAGCAAAATACTAGATGACCTTTAAAATTGGTTTTAGAGGAAGTTTTAGTGACATAGGAAACTATTCATAATATATTATTGTCAAGTGAAAGAATCAGATTACAAAAGCGTAATTACAATATTATTCTGGTGAAATCTGCACACATATAGAAAAAGTCGGGAGGAAAATACTGAAAAGATATGCATTAAAATGAAACAATGGTTATATCTGGGGAAACGTTCAAGGGTTATGTTTTTCTTTGTGCTTTTTTACATATAACATATTCTTTATAATGACATGTATTATTTTTATATTGTGGAAAAAAATGACAAGAATTATTTAAAATATAATAAATAATAACAAAGATCTTACCTTGATATTACTGTAACAAAACAGAAAGGTTTAAAATGTAGAGTTATGGCATTTGGGAACAGTTACTTTGACTACACTTTTAGAAGACTTAGCTGATCATATTTATGAGCAACTAGCCCTGGGGATGTGCTGGAAAAAAAAGAAAGAAAAAGAAGAAGAAAGAAAGGAAGAAAGAAGAAAGAAAGAAAGAAGGAAAGAAAGGAAGGAAGGAAGGAAGGAAGGAAGGAAGGAAGGAAGGAAGGAAGGAAGGAAGGAAGGAAGGAAGAAAGAAAAAGAAAGAAAGAAAAAGAAAAGCAAGCAAGCAGGAAGGCAGGAAGGCAAGAAGGCAAGAGGTCAAGAAAGCAAGCTAGCTTCAGGTGGGGTAATCATTAACCAGCTTTATTTGTATCACGTCTCAGATGAAACGTCAGTATGATTGTAAATTTGAGCAAGCTATGTTAGATGGGAACATGGACCATCACTGTATACTTGTATAAGCAAAATTTACCTCATGGTGTGAATAAATGTATCTGTAAGAAAGTTTCTGACCATTGTATAAAGAGGTCAGCACACTAGTGATACATGGTGCATGTAAAAAATAGCATCTATTGAGGGGTCAATAAGCAGATGAGTGATGAAGCAAATGCAGTCCCCACAAACTCGCATTATCCCACTGCTGACTGTAGGCAGCATTCCAGTAGAGAGAGCACACCCTTCCCCTCCCTGTCATCCTCTGCATACTATAGTTCTAGGGTCAGGAGGCTACAGAATATTGATGCCAGTATGTAACATAGTGAACGCTTCCTGGTTGGAAGAATGGCCTTGTTAGAAAGGGGAAGTCTTCAGATCCAGTAGTTGGTATCAGCCCATCTGTTACTTGAGCTAACTCAGACATACTGAGCCAGATTTTCCCCAAGCTCCCAAAAGTAGGGAGGAAATCAGCTCCCAGAGCCATCCGAATGGGTGTTGCATCACTAGTTTTTGATACATTTAGCACAGAGACCAAGTTCCCCAAAATTGCTAAATATCTGGATTGTTCCAATAAGTTTCCACCACCAAATAGGAAATAAGAGCTATTCCCCAACTTGGAAACTCATCACTCAAGATTTCCCACAGGACGTTGCCCAAATGACAGCTTGTCCAAGTCCTCCCTTCCATTTGCAGCGGGAAGCAACTTCTCATCCTCTAGTATCCAGCTAGAGGTTCTTCCAGCTCCAACGTTCCGATTGGATGTCACCAGTGATGGCTTCTGAGACTCACCCCAGCTCCTTGGTGGCCTCTCCTGGCAATATATTAAAATTTCAAACCATTTTAGTCTTGGTTATGATAAAATTATTGCTAAGCCACACCCTTTGATCTGCTATCATGAATCTGCTGTTTCTTTGATTTGGGCACTGAGATTTTACAAAATAACTTTCTATTTGTTTAATGCATTTCATGTATTTGTTAACTGATTTACTCTTCTATAGGGAAGCAATGTGTTAAACTGGAAATATGCATAAGGGGTTCTTTATCAAGATTGTCATGCTCTAAAATATATTTAAGACAAAAGCCCTATCACAGATCGCAGTGGCCTTCCAAAAATAGCACAGACTTGGGTTTTTTCTTCTCACAAGAATTCCTTTTATGATAAGCTTAACATTTCTTCAAAGAAAATGTTACAATACCAGAAACTTCCCAGTTGACATTTACTTAGTTTTTACAAGAAGAATATTTAAAATTTACACAAGGCTTACATCTGAACATCTTCAAGTTTTGTAGGTATAAACCTCAAAGGGTGACTCTAAAAACAAAACTTAAAGCCACTGCATTTTCACATGTAAATAGGAGCGTGTCCATATGACTGGTTCTAAGTCAATATGCTCACATCCTTGGAGCTTCACAGGGCTCTCACCCCAGGTGGCCACCTGCTTTTCAAGGGAAGCATATTCAGCAAGCATGCGATTCATCAATGAGAAGGGACTCATGTTAGCAATCAATTATTTACACCCTTGTCCCATAAAACTTACCTATAGACTCCCTCAGGAATTTTGCATGAGTGGTTTAAAACAGGCTGTGCCATACACTCATTCTCAACCTTTTTCATTTTAAGGATCATTTTACAACGTAAAAATATTGAACAACCTCTCCCTTAATAGTGATTCTTCTCTTCACAATTGTCTTGTAGGAGAAAAAGCTCCAAAAGACCAAAAACTCCTATGTCCTCGGTAACACAGATAACTGGTTTTGAAAATTTAAAACACACACACACACACACACACACACACACACACACACACACACGAAACTGTAAAGGATAAAATAAAAATTGCCCACATTTACACATTCAGAACAAAGCACTGATAATATCTTGGCATATTTGCTTCCGGGATTTTCTTCTCTCTCTGTGTCTCTCTCTCTTCTTTTTCTTTCTTTCTTTCCTCTCTCATCTTTCCTTCTCTTTTTTTTTTTACAGAAAAATTAGTCTTATCAGCATAGTGCATGCTTATGTGAGGAATTCAAATAGTTTAGAAAAGTACAAATTTAAGAAAGCTGACAATCACCCACAAAATACCATCCAGAAGCGACTATCACTGACATTAAGAGAGATCAAGACAATTGCGTAGGCTTATGCAACAAGATAAGTAGATAAACATACAGATACAGATAGGAAGACTTTTAAGAAAATGCTATATCTTAATTAAAATGGGGATAAAATAGCTAAATCTTATTCATTTAAAATGTTACTTTTAATTGTACTTTAATATCACAGAAAAAAGAAATTAAAGTGAAACAGAAGAATTCATAATCAATATTTCTTCACCACGAGGTATTATTTTCTAAAAGATTCTTCTAAAAAATTATTAAGTGGTTGGAGTTGGAATTCTTTAACTGCCTGTTCCAGTTTTAGACAGTCCTGACTCCCTGCTATGAGCAGTGAGGACGTTAATACTTTCACACTACCTCACACCTCTCTTTCCTCCTTTTTCCAGTGTTTGATGGTTGTATTCTACTCTTCACATTGGCCATTTAGTTGGCCTTCACATTCTTACCTGTAGTGACTGGATAGGTGAGAAGTCTTGCAAATGACCCTTCCTGAACTCCTCCTAAGGCCTTCCTGATGTTCTTGGTGGTCCTGCCCCCAGGCCTCCACTTCCCACTTTCTCCAGTGTGTCACTGCAGCCCCCAGTACCAGTCACCCCAGCATTACTTTACTAGCCCTTCATGTGCTGGTGGTAGACTGAGACAGTTTCCTTAAGATGAGAGGAACTTATTTCCCTTACATTTTCTCCCTGTATCATTTGTTTCTAAACCAACTAGGTAAAGCATCCCTCTAGATTTCTGGAGACCCTTTAGGCAAGCCACAGCCTCTTTCTCTTCTGTCATCTTTCATAACTCACAGCTGTGGGGTTTGTCTCTTTAAATAAAAATAGGATCATAAGAGAAGGAAACATGGCTTAGGAAAAGAATGTGGAATATTTCAGAGGGTAAAAGTAAGCAGTTCACCTAATAAAGAAAATTCCTGATGAAGTATAAAGCCCTTCATCGGGAAATTATAGGTAAGTGCTAGTTAACAGGAAAATATGTAAATTTCTAATGCAGCAGAGGGTAGTGGAAAGATGGTGGGAAGATCAGTGACAATACTTTTAAACTTCATATTTTATATTTACATGTAGCAAAAACTAAAGCAAGACATCCTTCTATCCTGCCCCATGCTTCCCTGCACATATGATCCTGGGCTGAATAAAATTGAGCTCCTAACCTAGTGTCTTTTTTGTGATGATTGGCTTATTAAAATGTATGTTTAAGAAATATCTGTCCTCAAAAATATTTGGCCATCACCGTTTCTTCAAGGTACTCACTTTTTAGGTCAAGGAAGAATGATCCAGAGATACCTTGAATCACAGTAAGCCCAGACTTGTTTTCCATCTCACTGAGAATAGCCCATTTTTGGACTGCCCCTGACACTCCGTCAGAACAATGTCCTTGGTGTAGTTGGCTGCCTTCTAAGATGCCATCAATAATTCCTGCTTCCTGGTAGTCACACCCTTGGGCAATCCCCTCCCTTCAAGTGTGGGTGGACCTAGTGATTTACTTCTAACCCATAAAATATGGCAAAGGTGAAGGGATGTCACTGTCATGATTAGTTTGCAAATAATCGTGACTTGTGTCTTGCTAGCAGCCTCTATCTATTGACTTCTCAGCTTGCATGTTTTAATGAAGCAAGCAGCTTTGTGGGAGAGGTCCACATGACACAGAACTAAGAGCAGCCTCAGCCAACAGCCAGCAGGGAATGAAATGCTGCCAACAACCACAGAATGAGCTTTAGATGTGTTCTTCCCCTGTCAAACATTCAGATGAGATGGCAGATCCTGGGCAGCCTCATGAAAGACCACGAAGCAGAGAGCCCATTTAAGCCATGTATAGACTTCTGATCCATAGAAACTGTGAGATAATAAATGTGTGTTGTTTAGAGCCACTAAGATGTGGGGTAATTTGTTACACAGCAAGCAATAACTTGAATAGATAACTAATACACTGTGCTGGCTTTACTGATTTTGAGAATTGCCGAGTAGTTCACCAAACAAGGTTCAATGACTTCATCTACCTGTCGGGATTTTAGAGGTAATGCTGCATAAGCTATATAGACTCCACCTAAGAGGTCAAGAGCCTTCTTATTTCTCAAAGCTCCCTGGATTGGGAGATGGGGAAAGTCTTCCAGTTGAGGGAAGTCTTCCAGTTACTATTGCTGTGTGACAGATTATTTCAAAACTTCACATCTCAATACAGTCACTTAATTGTGGATTCTGTGGAACAGGCATGCTAGAAGTACACAGCTGGAATTGCTTGTCTCTGTTACACAATGCCTGGGGCCTCAGGTGAGAAAACTCTGTGGCTGGTGGTAACTTGATGGCTGGAAACTGGAGGCATCTGGAGGCTTCTTGCCGACATGTCCAGAGCTTAGTGTTTATTGCCTGTCCGCTGGGACCTTAGTTGAAGTTGCCAAGTGGAGTACTTCAGGTGGCCTCTCCATGTGGTGGGCCTCTTCACAGCATGGCCATCTCAAGGTAGCCATACGTTTTATAATGTCAGCCCACGGCTCCAAAAGCAAGTGTCTCAACAGCAGGGCAGAAGCTGCTTCACAGCTTCTGACCTAGCCTCAGAAGTCACTCAGTGTCACTTTCACTGCTTTCAATTGTTTATAAGTGAGTCACAAGCCTGTGGGATATAAGTTATTGTGAAGCCATCTTTGGAAAATTAAACCTGTCAAAGGAAGTAAGAATGTCTCATAAAAGAAGGCAAAACCAAGGAATCCTTACCTCTGTCAACAACGTGAGAGACCATGAAGCAGAGGACAGTTAAGCCAGGCCAAGATTTCCAACTCACAGAAACTGTGAGATAATCAATTAGTGTTGTTTTAAGTCACTAAGATGTGGAGTAATTTATTTGCAGTGAGCAATAACTAATGCTAATACTTGGATTCGTGTGCACTAATACATGCCACCTTTAGGCAGTTCACCTTCATGGAGAATCACTGAGCCAAGACAAAGCATATGAAAATGTCAAGAGTAGTTATGAGGCGTTTACAAAAAGAAAGTGAAGTTAATGTGGATCAGATTTTCAATTCAATCGACTGTGACAAACCACCACCATTTAAAATTAAGGCTCTAGCTCAGTAATTTATATCCTGTTTCTTTTTACTCCAGACTCTTCTTACTATATTCTCAGTACAGTCCTTTTGGTTATTTCTGGCATATCTTCCTGAATTCAGTGTAAAATTCTCTGCAGATAAATGCCCACTTAAGGGCAATTAGCTTTAGATAGTAACATTTGGATGTTCTTGTTGCTTTAAGTTCTTGAAGTGATTGCCAAAAAAATATTTTGGTATATTTTTCTATTTTTTGGATTTAAGTTTTCAGTGCGCCTTTTGTCTTCAAACAATTCAGTTCTAATACGTGTTCTTATAACATTTATTTCAAATTCCCATCTTTCAAATGAGGAAAATAATACATCTCTTGACCATGTCAAGGGTATTAAAGATGATGCTTAAGGTACCATGCAACTGAAAAGTGCTATTAAATTCATTTTTATCAAGTTTGCTCTTGTGAGCCATTATCACATCACACTTTTACACAGGCTCTGGATTATCTGCTGCCACCCAAAGAACAGGAAGTTCAGGCTTATTTTGTGAATTTGTGAATCATTTGGTGCTCTTATCAACCAGAGTCTTTGGCTGCAAGCAACAGACACTCTGGCTCACCTAATGTGCAAGGAATGATTAAATGGCATCAGGTGGCTCATAAAATCCCCAGCAGAGCCAGAAAATGAGGCAAGGGAAGATAAGCAGCCAGAAAAAATGCCCCCAAATCACACCCCAGCACTGGAACCACATAGCCTCCATTAGTGCTGCCACTGGGCATCAACACACTGCACCACTAGCTGCTGGACACAACCATGAAGACCACCACACTTCTTAAAAAGAAATGGCTCATTCTAGGGATGGAGCAAGGAAAGATCGAGGTGGGCCTGGAGCATCCTGTGATGTAGAAAGCAAGGAAGTGCTCAAAGAACAATGGGGATACCTCAAAAGGACACAGGGTCTGCTGGAAGGGCTTCCTGCTGGTCAAATTTAGGACAATTTTTGGATCATAATGACTAATGGTAGTAATAGATTATAGCAAAAGGAAATCAATAAGTCCACAGTAATACTATATAAAAATGGGAAGAGAGAAAGCCCTTCTTTACAAGAGAATGTCAACTTAGACATATAGAACGAATGACAGAATTTGAAAATCCTCTTTTTCACATCTAACAATACAATCATTGATTCAGGTAAAAATCCTCAATGATTACACCAATGAGTAAGAGGTTGTTGGGGAACAAGGCATTCACACAATCTCAAAGTATCACCTCCACAGATTACTTATTAATTACAAAGGAGAAAAGATATCCTTACACTGGAGGGATCTGGTGGACCTCACCTTCAGCAAGTGATCAAACTTAGCACCTCCAGTAATGGGACAAACTGATAGCATGTGCCTCCTGATATTATGCAATGGAAAGAACACAGCATCACTTAGGTAGTATGCATGCACCAAAACTATTTAACCTAAATGTAATAGTGAAAGAATAATTAGACAAATCTGAAATGTCAGTGATCATGAAAAACAAATAAAGCCAGAGAGACTGTTCTAGATTAAAAGAGCCCCAAAAACCCATGACAATCACATGCAATTTGTGATCCTAGGTTTCATCCTAAAATTTAAAAAAGAATTAAATGATGTTTTGCTGAAAATTGGGGAAATTTGAATAGGAAATGTATGTTTGATAATATTGTAGCAACATTAAATTTATT
Organism: Homo sapiens; assembly: GCF_000001405.40. Taxonomy (NCBI): domain Eukaryota; kingdom Metazoa; phylum Chordata; class Mammalia; order Primates; family Hominidae; genus Homo; species Homo sapiens. The sequence continues at coordinate 21,681,569 of NC_000023.11, forward strand.
GGATTTGGCAATGGTCTTATGCATATGTAGGAGAATGTGTGTTTTTAACAGATGCATGCTGAGGCATTTAGCTATAATATGCCATGATGTTTTCTGCAGAAACAAAACAAAACGTGTGTGTGTGTGTGTGTGTGTGTCTGTGTGTGTGTGTGTGTGTGTGTGTGAGAGAGAGAGAGAGAGAGAGAGAGAGGTGGTTTGGGGAGGAGAGGGGCAAACATTAAGCAAATGTAGCAAGATGTTAAACAATTTGTGAATATAGTTATAATATATATGGCAATTTAACAGTGCCTCACATATTCTGTGTTATTTTTATTTTTATTAAATAAAATTGCAGAGAGGAAAGAATTATTCCTAGGTGAGCAGAAATCAGTAACTGTTTTCCTCCTTCCTCTCAGGAAGTATTTGACAAGTGTCGGCAAGGACTGAATATTACGCTTGCGGTATGCAGAGAGACATTGTGGGGATAAAAAGAAGTCAGAGAAGCTTCTAATAGCTGTGTGGTCTGTGTGGGCTGGCATGACTGACTGGTATCAAGATGGGCCCCCAAAATATAGCCAGTTTTCCCTACCAGTTTTCTCCAAGGGGCCTTTTGGTGAGTTCCAGGGTAATGAGGGAGGCTGGGGATAGAGAAAACTTGGTAGATTTAAACCCAATTATATAATAGTTACATTAAATTTTAATAAACTAGACATTCCAATGAAAAGTCAAAAGACAGACTGGATGAAAAAAACAACACCTAATTATGTACTGTTTATGAAGGACAAACTTTAAATAGAAAGGCACAGAAAAGTTAAAAATGAAAGGATGGAAAAGATATACTGAAAGATAAATTCCCTGGCTATATCAATGCCAAACACAGTAGACTTTAAAGGAAGAAGTATTATAAGAAATAAAGAGGACAATCCATAATGATAAAAGGATCAACTCAACAAGAAGGCCTAAGGATCCTAAATGTGAATGTGCCTCTAATAACATAGCTTCAAGGTGTATAAAGGAAAACTTGACGGCACTAAAAGTAGAGTTATATTCACAATCTTAGTTGGCCAAATTTAAACTTGTCTCATTAATTGGCAGAACAAGTACAAAAAGTCAGTAGAGATTTTTTATTTTATTTTATGTATTTTTTATTTTATTTTATTTTATATTATTTTATTTTATTTTATTTTATTTTATTTTTATGGCAGAGTCTCGCATGGCCCCCCGGGCTGAAGTGCAATGGCATGATCTCAGCTGACTGCAACCTCGGCCTCCCAGGTTCTCGCGATTCTCCTGCCTCAGCCTCCCGAGTAGCTGGGATTACAGGTGCACACAACCACACCCGGCTAATTTTTTGTATTTTTAGTAGAGACGGGGTTTCACTATGTTGGCCAGACTGGTCTTGAACTCCTGACCTCGTGATCCACCTGCCTCGAACATTTACAGAAATCACGTGAAACATTAACCAAAATAGAACAATATGCTGGGACATAAACCAATCTCAATAAATGAAGGGCAGAAATCATACATTGTAAATTCTCTGACTACAATGGATTAAGCGAGAAATTGGTAACAGAAATATAACCAGGAAAAATAAGCAAAAACTTACAGTTGACAAAAAGCATTTGGATCCCTGATGATTCTGCCATGGGCCAGAATAAGGCTGAAGCTGGCTGAGTGATACATGTGGGTCATCATTCTTCTTGCCTGAAAAATAAAAGTAGAGTTCCTGAGACGAGACTCGTGGGTAGCATGATGAGATATGTGCTCCCAGAGCCGCCTGCAAAGAGCAGACTCCCTACCTGGCACCATTAGGTAGCTTTCTGTTGTTACTATCTGGAAAGAATTGGGAGGAAAGTGATGAATGTCTTACCCATATAGAAGAGCCCTCTACATTCTGAAATATTTACAAATGAAGTGAGGTTTACTTCAAAACTTAATGGGAGGGAGGTCTAAATGGGGACATAGATGAAACAAGATAGGCCATGAATTGGTAATGATGAAGCAGAGTGTTGGGTGTGCAGGGAATCATTACACTCTTCTATTTGGTACATGTTTTACATTTTTCCATAATAAAAATATGTTTTAAAGAATGGGAAAAAGCAAAGAATTGATATGGCTACCTGTTTTCAACCATGGGGATGATATGTATCTTTTAAACACTGACCTGGGAAGAAGGCAAATGAGAAGGGACAGTTCCCTTCTTCCCTTTTCCACGTGCAGAAACATAACCCACAGGAGGATGATTGGAGAGCAATGGAAAGATATCCGCTGGTTCTAGATGAGAATGTATGGGTTGCACTGTGGATGAGATTGGTTTCTAATTGATTTAGAAATTGATTCCAGGGTCAGTGGTTTTAGAGGATGCACCAGAAATAACTTGCATAGTGAAGCTTTGTGTAATAATCACTCTTTTGACATTTTCTCCTTTCCAGTTTTTATTTTTAAGTGTATATAAAATTTCTCAGCCATAAACCTAATGTTTTTTTTCTTCTTGCATCTGGTGCTCATGGTACTTAAAAGGCCAATTTTCTATTTTTAGCTTTTGTGGGTTTGAGCAATACTTCCAAGTTCAAAGGATAAAGATTGCTCATTAACATTTTTTTAGAGGATGAGGTAATTTCACAAACCAGGCTATGAAGATCAGCGAAGTATGGAATCTGATGAAACTGAATATCAACTCTAGTAAGGGGGAGCAATTCAACAGAATTATACACAATTGTGGTGACATTGATATGATATATTTTATTAACCTCTTATGAACTGCATGAACTATTGGAGCATGTATATAACATATGGACCATGCCTTAATAAGCACAATGTTGGAGGCATTAGCCAAAAGCAAAATAATGGAGATTTCCCCACTTGTATTTGTGAAACCAAGAGATGCATTAAGCTTAGTGGCTGTATTAAAACAGTCTTCTATTTATTCATGCCCTCATCCATTTGATAAATGTTCATGAAGTCTCCATTAGTGGGCCAGCCGCTGTATTTTTCAAATTAATGTCCAATTTGCAAATGTCTCTGATACCCTTCCTTGGACCCTAAAAATATTAGTAAGGGGAGTAAAATTTCACCCATAAAAAAAACAATGTTAAGATTCAACTTAGAAGTGAAGCAATCTACTACATTTGCTGCCTGCTGTCCCAATTGAACTCCACAGTAGGTTCACTGGGAAGGATATATTGTAGGCTGCCGTTACAGAAATCACGACCTAAAAGTTCCACAAACTCTGAAATATGGCTAACAAGTCCCATCAGGATGCGTTTCTGGTGTATCATCTCTCCAAACTACCCACCCCCACCATCCGTAGCTTTCTATACTTCACTTGGATCACAGAATGTATTATTCTCTTCCTCAACCCCTAGACTTCACACATACTGCTTGCAATACTTTTCCCACTTTCTTCTTCTCATCTTCCCCTCTTCATCCTTCATCTGGGTAGCAGATCCTTAAAAACATCTTGACCCGTCACTTTTGATTATCAGAATAATTTCCACTCAGCTTAAATATTCAATCCTCTTTGTTCTAGAATTTCAATCTCAAGGTCAATTTAAAACTCATTCCTCTATTCCAGTGCAGACTTGGAATGGAGGATGGCACGTGGTCTGCTTTTTATACACATTCTCTTTCTCTCTGTTGAAGGGATTAACTTCTCCATGTGTTAGGGCAGATGAAGAGTGAAGGAAAACAGCAAATGTCCCTTTTCTTTACTGAAGAAGTTGGCATTCCTCTTATTAGATTTCCCCTGCTTCTCTTGCTAACACTGGCAGACCAACACAGATGCCCAATTTCATGAGGCTTCCAATACCTGAGTCTCATGGAGCACATACATGAGTCCTTCAGAGGACCAGATTGGGTCTTCCCCACTGCGTTTCTTTCCTACCCTTGGCTACTAGTCTTCACCTGGACCATGTTCACTCCCACCCATCACCTCCAGAAAGACAATCTACCCCTTAGCTTCTTTCTTCAGGGTATCCCTTTGGGAAGGAAATGTGTTACTAGCAACATGGCTCAAGCCCACTTACCTTCCCAGATGCCCACTCCATCCTCAGGAAGCTCTCAGATCCTCCTTATTCCAAATGGTGGGTAGACAGCTGGGTCTGCTGCCAGCTCCTTGCTTAGCCCTGTCACCTTTTGCCTGTTCTCATTGTCCTTGTTCAGGGAAGCCAGGGACAAGTTGACAAGTCCAATGACTAAGCTAAAATCCAACCAGAAGATGAAAGGTAAGTCCATCTTTACTGTCAACACTTGTGTACAAGTGATTCTCTTGGCTTCGATGCACAAAGAGGAGAGAAACTAGCCCCTCCTCTGAACACTGCACTAACCCAAAAGGCCTCTGACATCTCCCACTCTTGGTCATCTTATGCAGACTTGGGGGACAGGGTGGGTGTGAGCTGAAGCTCCTCAGCAAGCCCTGAGGTGGCTGTCCCTAACCTATGAAAACTCCTTGACTTTAGAATGTAGGGTGCTTGGTGTCTTGTCTTCAAAATGGACACTAGCAAGAATCTGTGCTATCAGGAAAAATCTCCCTGGACTTCATAAAGATAAGTGCCCTTCACAAGTGCTTCCAGAGCCCCTGTGCTGCTTAGATCTGAACCCCATTACATTGTGTGGCTCTTGCTTGCTGGATTATCCATTGCCCCCTGCATTAGCCACCCTTGGGCTTTCTGGCCCATCCTGGAGTCCAACTCAGTGCCCACCACATAGTGAATGCTGAAGAAGTATATTTTGACAAGATCAGCCAGGTAAGTTTAGTGTGAGAAGGTTTTAAGAAAAAGAAAATGGTTTTAAAGGATTTGAAAGAGAAGATTTATCTGTTTTCTTGAAAAGAATGGACGATATTCCAAATAAGGGAAATAACTTGATGTGGGCGAAGGATTACCCAGGTGCCGAGGCAAGAGACTGAAGGCACAAACTGTTTCAGTATAATAAAGAAAATAGTTAGAATAAGAATAGTTATAATACAAATTAGATATAGAGATGATCATGGCCATTATCAATAGTTAGTATAAACATTATAAATCATTCGCTTTTAATATGTATAAACATTATAAATCATTCGCTTTTAATAGTACTCTTTGTTGTATTACTAATATAACCAAAGAATAACTGGCGGGTATAGGGTCAGATGCTGAAGGGACATTGTGAGAATTGACCTAGAAGGCAAGAGGTGAGCCCTCTGTCACGACCACATAAGGGCCGCTTGAGGGCTCCTTGGTCAAGTGGTAACGTCAGTGCCTGGGAAGGCACCTGTTACTTAGCAGACCGCAAAAAGGAGTCTCCCTTTCCTTGGAGGAGTCAGGGAACACTCTGCTCCACCAGCTTCTTGTGGAAGGCTCGATATTATCCAGGCCTGCCCGCAGTCATCCGGAGGCCTAAACCCCTCTCTGTGGTGCCGTGCTTCAATGGTCACGCTCCTTGTCCACTTTCATGTTCCTCCCGTACTCCTGGTTCCTCTTTGAAGTTCTTAGAAGATAACGGTAGAAGAAATAGTGAAAGTCTTAAAGTCTTTGATCTTTCTGATAAGTACATAGAAGAAAACGCTGACGTATGCTGCCTTCCCTCTCTGCTTCGGCTACCTGAAAGGGAAGGGCCCCCTGTCCCATGATCACGTGAGTTGCTTGACCTTATCAATCACTTGGATGACTCACCCCCCTTACCTTGCCTCGTTGTCTTGTATGCAATAAATATCAGCGCACCCAGCTATTAGGGGCCACTACCGGTCTCCGCGTCTTGGTGGTGGTGGTCCCCTGGGCCCAGCTGTTTTTCCTTTATCTCTTTGTCTTGCGTCTTTATTTCTTAGGATCTCTTGTCTCCGCGCACGGGGAGAACACCCGCTAAGCCCCGTAGGGCTGGACTCTACACTTGAGAGGTAGGTGTACACGTAGGAAAATTCTGTGCCTATGAATAGAGTTAGATTGATTTAAATGGAACGAAATCGTGATCAAGCACTGTACCAATAAATGAAAAGTTGCTTTATAGACAATATAGTTTAATATATTAACTTGTGATTTTGTAGAATTATCTGCCTTTATTGTACATTTCCAGTGAACATTGAGTAAGCTGTCAATATCAAGACATATGGCCTCAATTGTTACAGTGGGACTAATTTCAGCTCACCTCCAGAGTTTTTAGAACAGAGTCTGCAGGCAGAGATAGACAAAGAGTATTGCATCATGTCATCTTATTCCTTGCAGCTATTGATGCAGTCAAGGTTTGCTGAACAATACAATCTCCTCTTTAAAGTTACTATTGATCCCTTCCAGTAACTCAATATGTGCTCAGCAAATTCTGAAATCATTTAGGGCTATAAAGATAATCATGGAATAAACAAAGTTTGAATGCCCTGACCGTAGTTTATAAATGCCTGATTAAAAGCAATACTGTTGTTGCCCTGTTCAGTGTTACATGTCTAGGGTCCTTTTGTAAGTGCTCCAGACCAAATGTAACTTACCTATAGTGGATAAGCATTTGTAAGTTACTCTTGCAGATATTTTCCCAGAGTTAAGGAAAACGTGTATGTTTTGAACTACATATAATTGAAACCGAAGGGTAAAGCTGATTTTCTGGATCACCTGTCACCACAAGAAATTCTCTTCTTGGATCACCATGCAGTTTGAGTCTTTTTGAACTTTATGTAATCAGTGGACTGTTTCATGACTGTTCTGAGAAATGGCAAGGCTTGAGTGTAGACTTGTTGGATTAATGGTGTCTGCTCTCGGAAGGTTGCCAAGTGGTGTTCCACTAGAAACAGAGTTTTCTGTTAGACCTGTCCTTGACTGGTTGTGGTTGATGGTGACCTGAAGAAATTGGGTTAATTGAAGAATCTGGTTCACATCATTTCTGTTTTCTAACTGCCGTTCTCTCTATAACACTTTTGGAGTGAGAATTTGAGCTAACATTCCATACAGCCTTGAGTTTTCCCTTGGTGTTTCCTTCAATCCTTTTTTCTTAAAAATCCTAAAAAAACTTTTACATAATTTTCCTAAGTATTTCATATCACCACTGCATAGTTTTTCCCATCTGGCCTATGTACACATTCTGTCATGAGGCAGTTACAAATGAGTCAAAGATGGGGCAGCTTTTTTTTTTTTTTTTTTTCGACAGAGTTTTGCTCTTGTTTTCCAGGCTGGAGTGCAGTGGCGTGATCTTGGCTCACCACAACCTCCACCTCCTGGATTCAAGCAATTCTCCTGCCTCAGCCTCCTGAGTAGCTGGGATTACAGGCATGTGCCACCACGCCCAGCTAATTTTGTATTTTTTTAGTAGAGATAGGGTTTCTCCATGTTGGTCAGGCTGGTCTCGAACTCCTGACCTCAGGTGATCCACCCGCTTTGGCCTCCCGAAGTGCTGGGATTACAGGCGTGAGCCACCACGCCTGGCCAATGGGGCAGCTTTTCAACCAGGCAGGCTCTTCATGCTGTGAAGGAATTCTTGACTGTTGCCTTGTAATCTGTCAACATTCATGCTATCTGAATCAAATCCATTCCTGAAAACACTTTGGATAGCAAATATTCATATAGAGGAAGTTTACATTCTAGTATTTTAAATGGCAAAAATAATGTATTCTCAGCTCATCCAAAAGCCACAACCAATTTTCTCAAATATTACTAAAATATTCTTAAACCCACATGTAACCATCCATCAAGGATTTAAACATAATGGAAAACACTTAAAACACCTACTGCTCTACCTAATTATTTGTGTGCAGTACTGGCCATTATATGGTGGAACAAGGATTTTCCATTTTTGGCATGCATCAGAATCAATTGAGGAGTTTGTTAAAGAGCAGATCCTGGGACCCAGAGTTTCAGAGAAAGGAGGTCTGGAGTAGGGACCAAGAGTTAGCATCTCTAACACATTCCTGCTGATGCTGATCCTGCTAGTTCAGGACACTGAGAGATGGACTGCTGTAGAGTGTATGAATTTCATCTTTCTTCTACATTCAGCGAGTATTACAAAACATAAATAACCGTAGTGGAAGTAATATGTTCAAGATACTACAAAGGATGAATGCAGATTATACTCAGAAGAATGAAATGAAATAATATGGCAATTTTCAAATAATGGTTATTGATTAATGGGAGAATTGCCCCAGCAGAGTTCGGTGACCACTGGAAGCTTCAGTCGCAGTTGGGGTTTGAGGGTAAGTAAAAGAATGAGTGGAACAGCAGATGCCTCACATCCTCCAAGTCCAAATGCAGAGAACTGAAAGGGAGCTTTATTGGCATGCAAGACTCTGGAAGTGGTGTGACCCTGAACCATCATCTGAAGTTATAGATGAAACAGTGTGAGGAGCACAAAAGCTCTCAAAACGGACATCTGTTTGTGTTCTCTTTGCTTAATATTATACACCGCTGATAGCATAAGACACAGCTTGTCATTGCATTTCTGGAATGTGGTTTTTCCTTTGATGTCATGATCATACTCACTTGCTATAGCAATGGTTTTGTGGGTATGATCTAGAATTTCTTCTGAAAATTCTGCATTGAGTATTCACAGCTTCTCTTCTTCCCTTTCCCCAAGTGATGATGAACTGAGTTCTACTTTCTGAATGAATTCTGCTTTCTTTTTTTATTTAATTTTTTTTCGAGACAGGGTCTTGCTCTGTGGCCCAGGCTGGAATTCAATGGAGCAATCTCGTCTCACTGTAGCCTCGACCTCCCAGGCTCAGGTGATCCTCCCACCTCAGCCTCTCAAGAAACTGGGACTACAGGCATGTGCCACCACACCCGGATAATTTTTTCTATTTTTTGTAGAGATGGGGTTTCACCATGTTGCCCAGGCTGGTCTTGAACTCCTGGCCTCAAGTGATCCATCTACCTTGGTCTCCCAAAGTGCTGGGATTACAGGCATGAGCCACTGCGCTTGGTTGAGTTCTACTTTGTGAGAAGACATTTTCACTTAACAATTGGGAATGCTGATCTGGATGTTGATGATGTACATCTAGACAACATGTATCCCTATCATGCAGTACCTGAGATGGGCCTGCAACACAATCTGCATCCTCTTACCTGGGTTCGCTTGCAACTTAAACAGATTTTCTGGCATTCACTTGCTGATTTGCAATAGCAGATTTTTATTTCAAATATTAAATCTGGAATAAAAATAATTGCAAGTTGTTATAGTGAGCAGTTAGGGAGTGAGAATTCAAATAATGAAGGATACCTGGATAAATAAAAACTTTACTGTCATAGGCCTGGGTACCTGGGCATATAGTGATCAACACAATAAATATGAAGCTGCCTTCATGACCTTATAGCTAGTGAGAGAGAGACAATAAACAGGCAAATGAATGAAATGTGTATTGGTACAAAATATGATACAGACTGAGAAAGGAAAATAAGAAGATGCTGTTAGAGACAATAACGTAGGAATGGGGAATGAGAGGGGACCCCCTCTGAGAAGGCAACATTTTGTCTCTGTTTATTTACGAAACATTTCGTCTTGAGTTTTCTACGGAAATGTTCAAAATACAAACAAGTACCAAGAAGAAAATAACCACCACCCACATTTCTACCTTCTGGAAATAACCTTAACATTTTGGCATTGCTTCTCCCAATCAAAGTTGTAATGGATACCTCAGAGTAGCCTGGCTCAATCTAGTTACTGTGGCTATGGAGTAAAGGGAAGTGATGGAAAGTATTTTTTAAAAATACCTATACTCAGGCCCTACTCTACACCAATTGAACCAGATCCTATGTGCATGGGTACTTTTTTTAACATGCCCAGGTGATTCCAGAGCACAGTGTTGTTGAGGTACTGCCTTAAGGACTTTCCCTTCCACTCATTTGGTCAGCTGAGGGCCAAGGGAGTCAGCTTTTATGTCTATAGAAGACCTAACCCTTCAGAGCTAGTGGGCAGAGGCTCCAAAGTACAAAGCACTTCCATAGAGAATGTGGGAAGAGCCATCCAGAGACAAATATCTCCAACTAGGGATGGAGGTCTCAGCTGCTGCTGCCCTCACTGGTGATACTGTGCTGCAGGTCATCTGGGAGATAGGAAGGTGCCAAAGTTTAGAAGGCAGACACTTCATTCTTTCTTTCATAAGCTTTATTAAAGATGTCCAATTTTATAGCCGAGAAAGAAAAATTTATTGATTCTACTTTCACAATGCAGCAGATTAAACGCTACCCATATGTCTTAGTCAGCTCAGGCTGCTATAACAAAATACCATAGACTAAGTGGCTTAAACAACAGACATTTATTTTTCAAAGTGCTGGAGGCTGGGAGTCTGAGATCAAGGTGCCAGTGACTCAGTTCCTGGTGAGAGCCCACTTCCTGGCTTGCAGATGGCTATCTTCTTGCTGTATCCTCACATGACAGAGAGAGGAAACTCTGGAGACTCTTCTTCTTGTAAGGGTCCTAATCCCATCATGGGGGCCCCACCCTCATGACCTCATCTAAACCTAATTACCTCCCAAAGGTACTAATACTGTCACACTGGAGGTTAGGGTTTCAATACGTGGATTTGGAGGAAGGGCACATTCAGTCCATGGCACCCTACAATGTCCTGAGAATCTGAATTGAAATTATTAGAAGTGGTAGGAAACCTTATCTCTGGAGTCTTTGGCTAAAAATTGCAGGGGATTGCTATGATAAGGAGAATGTCTCCCCAAAAATGTCCATGCCCTAATCCCTAGAACCTGTGAATACATTATATTACATGGCAAAAGGGGCTTTTCAGATGTGTTTGAGGCTGTGAGCCTTAAAATAGAGAGATTAGCCTAGATTATCTGGGGTCGGGATGGGGTGGCAATCTAATCACATGAGCCCTTAAAACCAGAGAAACTTCTCTGGCTGGGGGCAGAAGAGATGTGATGTGACAAAAACGGAAGTCAGAGACTTGAAGCATGAAAACGGCTCTATGCACCATCACCAGAACGAAGATGAAGGAGGCAACATGATGAGGAACAGCCTCAAGGAGATGAGAAAGGTTAGATTGCAGCCCGGGGGGAAGAAAAAAAAAAAACCAAACACCTCTACAACAGCAAAAAACTGAGTTCTACCAATAACCTGAGTGATCTCGGAAGTGGATTTTTTCCCCAGAGCCTCCAAAAAAGAGCTCAAGTCAGCTGCCACCTGGATTTCAGCCTCATAAGGCCTAGAACAGTGACGCCCACCTGGACTTCTCACCCACAGAACTATGAGATGATAAACTTGTCTTGTTTTAAACTGCCCAAATTTGTGGTGATTTTTAAGGTAGCAGTAGAAAACGAATATAACTGCCAAGGCAATTTTGAGCTATTACCCCACTGATAAACAATTTTAGTGACATTGACTTCGATTGTTAAACACAAACCATAAGCTGAGAGATGAGTGACCTGGCGAGTTTTGGTGGTCAATTTGCTCCTGGAACATTTACCCTGACTTGGATAATGTTGTTTTCTAAAAGGTCCTGAAACACTATAAAGGAAAATGTTGATGGATTTCAGAAATTATTGTGTCTGGCTAGCCATGTTTTAAAAATATGACAAAGCTATGAGTATTGCAAAAAAAAAAAAAGGTTGAAAGGAAATGCATGAATTTAGAAAAGAGATTTTACCATCATCAAGATAATTTTATCCTATAATAAACCTACAAGAACAGTAGGAACTTTGGGGCAATTTATCTTGTTCCTTGCTCGTGGATGTTGTGCTAAGCAGCTGGACACATCCCCAGTCTTTATGGTCTTCTCAATTTCTCAGCATCAGATTTCTAGCTGCTAGCCAGTGGTCCTGTTAGGAAATGCCTGCATTCTGAAATCACAACATGATGCTTTCAAAGACTTCCTTCTGGGCATATTTTATTAGCTCCAACAACAGAAACCAACTCTACTTACCTTAGAGAGAAAATGAATTTATGGCAATGTATCGAATAGCTCACAGAATTAACAGGAAGGTTAGAGAATCAGCTGTGAAAATGGGCAGGAAACAAAGGAAGCCAGGCAGTTGTATCCACTGCCAAAATTACATCATAGAAAGAGTCTATTAAAGAAGCTGCCTCTGAGCCATGGATGCTACCCCTGGCTCTGTCACCTTTGGATGCCAGCTACTGTGGATAAAGCTGCTAAGAATTCTAAACTGTTCCCTATTTCTTTCTCCAGATCTGAAATCCTGAGTGAAAGGATGCAATTTTTCTCAGCTTATATAATATGCAAAAAAAAAAAATCTAGGCCCGAAAGGGTGGGAAAATCACATATTTTAGTTTCTCTAGTAGGCGTCAGGACTCTTCTCACCTCCAAAACTTACACTGTGGATCATTCCCAGACATAGAAAAAGGTGCAACGTTTATTGAACTCTCTACCCCTTTGGCTGGTCAACACCCCTGAAGATTCATCTTCTCATATATGCAATGTTCCCACTTCAAATAATGCAAACTACCCTATTCCCAAATAAAATAATCCAATATTTCATCAGTTACTTTTTGTAGCTCCTCATCCAAGATGTCTGAAGGATACTATTTCTGTCACGATCCCTTCTCAACCACCAGCTCACTTATATACAATAGTGGTGTAAAGGAAGATGAAAGAAACAGAAATCACTCAAAATGTGAGAATATGTACATGGCACAGCAAGGAAGAAAATCTGAGTAGAGCCTGTAGTCCTAGTTTCTGCTCCTGATAATGAGTTCATTCTGACTTAGTTTCTTTTCACCCAGTTCATTGCAATTACCTTCAGTCCCATCTTGGCTGGCTGTGGTGATATGCTGGTAAATGTTTAACAATCAGATCTCTAGAAAAAAAAAGATTATATTAATTATAAATTTTATTAATGTAAAGGATATTTAGTGCAAAATTTACATCATAAAAAACATTTATAATGTTCTTTATTATAAATATTATAAATTCCATAGAGCCAGGTGACTGTCAAAGATCACTTTTGTTAATTTTTTTTCTCCAACCCATGGTTGCAATTCAACAATGATCTGACAAAACCAGACTGCAAATAAAGGCTTGCCTACTACCCAATTTGGCCAAAAAATTACTCATATTGTTAACTAATGAGTATAGTCATGACAAGGATATTGGTTGATAATTTTGTTTGCATTAACAAGTAAGATGAAACTAAAGAAATGAAGATATATGACCGAACTTCTTTTGTTCATCAATGATATGAGTTACTGCTTTACAGAATCAGATGAGTTTTCAAATATTGAAAGAATATTTCCTCAAATTTTTGTGCTGTCCACAATTTAATGGCTACAGATAGAACGTGGTTTTAAGTTTAACCTGCATTATTAACATTTTCTCCATTATTTCCTTTAGACAATCAACAAAACATATCATGATTTAATTAATTTTAAAAATACCAAAACTAGCTTTTTTTGTTTTTTGGAGACAGAGTCTCACTCTGTCACCCAGGCTGGAGTGCAGTGGCAGGATCTCGGCTCACTGCAACAACGTCCACCTCCCAGGCTCAAGTGATTCTACTGCCTCAGCCTCCTGAGTAGCTGGGATTATAGGCACCCGCCACCACGCCTGGCTAATTTTTGTATTTTTAGTAGAGGCGGGGTTTCACCATGTTGGCCATGGTTGGCCAGGCTGGCCTCGAACTCCTGACCTCAGGTGATCCACCTGCCTCAGCCTTCCAAAGTGCTGGGATTACAGGCCTGAGCCACCGTGCTCAGCCTAAAGCAAGCTTTTTGTATTAAAGCTTTACACCTTTTTCTTGTTGGACTTGAATTTCCATAGAATTTTATGCTAATAAGTATATAATTTTTATAGTTTTATTCGTACTCTATCATACTTCTCAGTGTGTGTGTTTATATATAAGTATCAACTGGAATTTTTTTCTTTTTTGTTTCTAGCTTTATTGAGGTATGGCTGACAAATAAGAATGGTATATATATGGTGTACATGTTTTGATAAACAGTGTGAAATGGTCATCACAATCAAGCTAATTAACATATCTGTCATCTGACATAATTACCATCATATTAACTGGAATTTAAAATTTCATCTCTAAGTGTTAAAAATATTCTTCTGAATTGAGTTATCACTACAGTTATTATTTGCACACAATTGTCAAAAACTGTGCAAGTATAAATGTTGATAAATAATCATTAAATATAAAAAGCAAATTGAAATTACATTTCTTAGTAATATGGATGGGCTGACTTTTAAAAATTAGCTCATGTATTCATAGATGAATAGGACTTATTGCTGGAATGAGGCAGGGTTCAGCAACAATTCAGCAATTTATTCCTATTTTTATCGTGCCAGTTCCAGGAATAGCCCTTAAATGGCTAGGCAGTTCCTGCTTCTAGACTCTTGGAAGGCAGGTGCCTTATTTTTATATTTTATTTTGATATGGCTTTGATATTGCCCTATTTTGATATTACTGGCACATTATTATAGACATAAGCACCGAGAAACCTTGCTTTTGCAAGTATGTATACAGGAAGGGAGGAGTTTTGCTATGCAAATATCACTCAATTTCTTGAACTCTTGCTGAGTATATGCTAAATGTTACATAATCTATCAACCAAAAATTATTTTTAATGATGTATCAGCTCCCAGCTCAAAGGTTTTTCAATTTTGTTGAAAACAAAGACTTAGAATTATATGACTTGAGATATTCTTTGCATCATTTAGTTTCTCCATTTATGAAGCACACCAAAAAGACATTACTAACCATACAACTATTAATTTTGCTTGTTCTTCTTTCTCCAACAGGCACCATTTTTTTTCTTTTTTTTTTTCTTTTTTTTTTTTTTTTTTTTTTTTGGTAGAGACAGGGTCTTACTATGTTGACCAGGTGGATCTTGAACTTCTGGCCTCAAGCAATCCTCCTGCCTCAACGTCCCAAACTGCTGGGATTATAAGCATGAGCCACCATACCTGGTCTCTCAACAGGCATGTTGTTTAGCCTGATGTACTTAGAGAAGTTAGCACAAGTTTTTTTCATTAAGTATTTGTCACTACATTATTATTTCTAAAGTACTTTCATTTCAACACATGCTTTAATTCTATTTTCATTAAAAGCTTGGAAGTGCAGCTTTAGCTCATTCAAGATGCCTGCCATATACTGCAATCTAAAAAAGCCCATCCTCATTGTCAAACCAATTAGTCAAATAAGAGTTGCCTCTCTGTCATGTGACATCTTATATTCTAGAGCCTCTCCTTGAGACTTGGGCTTCTTACAGCATGGTGGTCTCAGAGCAGTTTCTCTTCTTATAGGGTGGTGGTTTTCCAAGAGTCAGGAAACATAAACTGCCTGGCCAGTTAAGGGTTACACCTGGAACTGACACCATGTCATTTCTATCCTACTCTATTGATCAAAGCAATCATAGGGCCTTCTCAGATTCAAGAGGGTGGAGAAATAGACTCCACTGAGGGAGGGAGTCTCTGAGGGAGTCTCAAAGTCACATTCAGAACACCATCAAGATGGTAGATATCATTGCCACCATCTTTGGAAACTACAATCTGCCATAAACAGTTTCTGAGAATGTTTCAGTAATATTTAGAAACTGAGGAAACAACCTTGGGATGGGTTCAGTGTCCCACAGGCCCTACCGTTAGGTGGACTCCTGTCCAAACTCCATTTATCTTCTGTCCATCTGATTAATGGGTCACAGTAACTTTCTTGGTCCTCAGGAATTAGTGTGATCTCAGAGTCAGTGTCCAATAATCCCCCAAAGATGTACATTTTTCCCTTTCCCAGTGCACATTTACTAAGGTAAAATGAGTCTCGCAGTGGAGTCTCACTGATGAGGGCTGGAAGGGAGATCCAGAAAGAATTGAGGAAGTCTTTGCAGTGTTATTTCTTGGAGCACACAGCCTCCCTTTCACTCAAGGAGCCCTGGTCTGAAAGTTAGGGGACCAGGTTTTAGAAGTAGGCGAGAGGTCCCAACTTGGTATTTTTATTTTTTGGCATATGTCTAACCTCTGTTCACCAGATATGGAATGGTAGTGGTGGTGTTATAGAATCCAGATTAGGGGCTTAATAGACTATCTAGGATCCTCACACCTGGGGATCCCATGATCAGTCCATTACTGCCACAGATCCCTGTGGCTTCGACTCTTCTAATTTTCAGTCTAGGAACCATGATCATCTTGCTTCTGGAATTAAGTACTGCCTCCTCGTCTCTGTCATGTCAAGATACTCATAACACATTGACATCATGAAGCCTGTTTCTACATATTATCTCCTGGCAGTAATTCTGGTTGACAGAGGAGAGGCACTCCCCTCACCAATTTATTTCTCAAGGCCATGAGGAAAGGAATTGTCTTTTGGGGGTTCTCAAGTAACATCATCAGTGTAAATGTGGAAATGAATCAACTCAAACGTTACTATGTTCATAAGTCTTTAGAGTTACTGCAAATGAATTTCTTGCATCTCAACTTTATTTATAATAAGCCACAACTGAGTCCAGGTTTTAGCCAACCAACCAAGTAAACTATTAGAACTACTTTCAGCCTCAAGTTAGCCTACTGGATCAAGAATATCTGGTAAGTCGACCCATATTGATTAATTCAGCCCAATATAGAGTTTTTTCTATTTTTGGTCTAGCACCTCAGAATCCACTTCCACATATATTTCCCAGATTTTTATAGATTATAAATCACCAACATGCAATTATTTTGGCATGTAAGCCTTCTTCTTCTGTGGAGACTTGGTGATTGGCCCCCAGAACATGCTGATCTGATTCTAGAGGTGGGAGTAGAGCGTGAGAATTGGCTTTCTGTTGAGTTGCTCCTTTTGGTAAGAGGTCAGTTAAAATTCAGGGATTTATTATTGAGGAAGAAGGGAAGAATGCATACTGTGAGACGCCTAGATCTTTCTGCCACTTTTAAGATATTTTTACATTTTACTGTGGTGAAACTGCCTTCTACTTTTTCTATGTCCCCATCACCCCCAAACCACCATGGTATGGAAGCTGATCAACTGAAAAGACTTGCTCGCTCCCCTTCAAGCCCAGGGCTTCCCAGGACATCATATGACAATCTATTCAACCACATTTCCTATGCTGATAGTTTCATTTCCTAATTCTCTCTTGATGCCATTACCTCATTTGCCCTTATCACTGCAGAGCCTAGCAGGCGACCAAATCGTTGATATTGATTACATGTTCTGTTCAAGTCCTCTTTCTCTTTTGCTCTTTTTAT
Organism: Homo sapiens; assembly: GCF_000001405.40. Taxonomy (NCBI): domain Eukaryota; kingdom Metazoa; phylum Chordata; class Mammalia; order Primates; family Hominidae; genus Homo; species Homo sapiens. The sequence goes on from NC_000023.11 coordinate 21,698,637, forward strand.
CAATTTATTCAAGGATGCTTTCTTATTGAACTAATACTTAAGTCCCAAGTCGTGTATAGTTTTGTAATGACTTACACAAATAAGAGTGAGGGAAAGTCTGGTGTGCTTTTGAACCGTGGGATTTAACCATGAGGATATTTTATTGAAGCCTTCAAAAAATCCTAATAGATTAAAACATGCCGCTTTTACAAAGAGACATTTGGGTCTGATCAACTGTTTTCTTAGGGACACATCTATTTTTTAAAATAAAAACAAGCCTTTGTAATAACAGTAATCTTATATGTTAATAGTATATGAAATAGCTACTAAAACAACCATGTAATGTTGTTATGCAGAGAGATATTAGATTAGATGAATATAGATACATGGATAGATAAATATATGCCTCCCTGACTTTATCTCTGCATCATTATAATGAAAATGTAGTCTGGAAAATGTGCAGGAGGGGAGAGATATTTGTGGAATTATATGACAGAGGTTGTTCTTTAGAATTTCTATGTTTTAAATTATTTTCATCATCAATACTGCTTCCAAAATGGGAGCCCTGGTAGGCAAAAACAAGTATGCCACTTCCCTATCCAGTGGTTATTGGACCCCTCACCGATTTTTAGTGGGAAAATACCAGGAATAATTCATGTTGATTCACTTCCTGAATTAAAATAATGAGGTATGCTTAGCCAGTGACATCTTCAGTAGAAAATGTGTTCTGTGATCTGCTACAATAAGTATTTTATTTTGCCATTTATACATAGAAGCTGTAATGGGCCCTGTACTTCACCCATGTCCTCCTGGCTACTATGTTTCAGTGCACACAGCCCAGCTTCCAAACTGCCAACCACTGCATTCCTTTGTTAAGGGCTTCCCGTGTCCGACAAAACACACTTTGCCTGCCCTGTGTAACAGGTAGTCCTCAATAAAAGAAGGATGGGAGTTGGTACACAAATACCGCAGCTCCCTCACTCCTCAGCTGAGATCACTCTGAGGTGTATGTTCTATTCAGACTCCCAGAACTTCCCTGGTGAGATTAAGCCTGTTACCCATAGTCATATCTGACTTCACAGCCCCTCCCTTCAGTTGCCTTCCCTGCTTCATCTCACCTCCCCAGTTCCCTACTGGTGTTTCCTTTCCTGCCTAAACAAGCTACCTTCCCTTGAACCCTCATCTCAGAGTCTGGTACTGGGGAAAGCAAACTACGACAGAAGCCAAAAAGAAAAGAAAAGCTTATTGATGTGCTAACTACCCTGGACTTTGGCCTGAATCATAACTTCTGATTTAGATAGAGAAATCTGGATTATGGAAGATATTGAAATTAAGTCAAAATGGTTTGAATCATGACTTCAATCACTATGTAGTATAGATTAATTTTTAAATCATTGTTGGTCTTTTTTTATATAAAATAGTCCTCCATATACTCATCAAGTATAGTCCTCAATGTAGCCCTCAAAAATGCTTATCAAAACTCCAGTAGACTATTTTGGAAGTGTCTGGGCAAAGGAAAGTGCAGTATCCTTTCCTCCAATGGCACATGGCCGTGCGCTGCATCAGGGCTCATGGCCTATTGATTTTGCCGCGGGTTTAGTTTTGAAAACACATGCAACCATTTAAAGTGATTATTGCTCTTTCTAATATGGCAGCCAAGGTTAAAATGCAGATCAGTCTGAGCGAGAGACCAAGCTCTGGCCCATAAGAAGCTGCAAGCAGGCAGGAGGGCTGTGGCTATGCTCATGTCATTAGAGGAAGGAGAGCAAATGGGGATTAAGGAAGGGCTGGTGCCCGAGTCATCCCAGGGCAGTTCCAGATCACATGTGCATCAAGACTATGTGACATTTAGATGTCTCGGGTCACCCCAAGCCACCAGATTCTCTTCTAGTCCTTGCTGTACTTGGAAGTTCCCGCATGTACTCCTTACACATCAGAAGAAAATAGATGATGAGTGTTTGATTGTGCATGAAGCAGATAGATTTCCTCTGCTCAGCTAGACTGCAAAGAAGCCACCAAACCTTCGGTGACCCACCAAAGGGCTCTAGGAGTAAATCACTCTCCCTTCTCTCTTTCTGTCATTCTGTTTCTCTCCCTCCCTTTTTTCCCCCCTCGCCCTCCTACATGTCTTCCTCTTTACTATGTCTTAAGCAGCAAGCAAGCTCTGAAGCTTAAAAAACAGATGATCTTTTACATGTCTTTGTTTTGGTAAAGTCTTGTGACACCAGACTGCCCCTGAGTCATTCTTCACAGCTCCCACCTCCCTATGACCCATCCACCTCGTATTTGGGCATCTGTAAAGTTCCCAGCACATCTGTAATCAGATAGAATGCATCAGGCCCCCCGAGGAAGAGTCTGTTGTCCTAAAAATCTGATTTTCAGACCATAGCAAGTGATTTCAGCTTATTTACCGGGATCAAAATTTGGCAAATAACCATGATGTTTGAGGACCAGAGACTATTACATAATCATCCTTCAGTGGAGACAATGAGGTCACATGTTTACCCATCTAATCGATGATCAGGGACATGTTTCATTGCAGATAATGTGCTCACTGGCCCACAACTTAATTACTGAGTGTCTGAATCAACAAAGCTTTCAGATGTAGGTCTTGCCTAATGGTGCATCTGTTAAAGATCATTGCCTCAGTTTGGCCTCTAAAAGAAAGGTCTGGGGGATACAACAGGCCATTGCCAGTGCTGTTCTCAATGACCTCTCATTGAAAAACATGCCAGTTCCCACGGTTTATTTTCTAGCCAGCAATAGACATTATTGTGTATATGCAGGGCCAAGTAGAACCAATGATTCCAGGGTGACAGATATTGGTAAATCCTCTGGTGAAAGCATGCTCTCCGAGGAAATTAATGCCACACAACAGAGAGGGGGTGGCTCCCCTCCCAGGCTAGGAAAGAAAATGTGTCAATAAAAGTCTGGGGAAATAAGCAAGCAATAAGCAAAGTAGGACCAAAATGTTGGGTGTATTGGTTGGGGTCCTTGCAGTAGACCAGGATCTAACTACAGAGTTTGGAGTCCAATGGTGTCTTTTGAAGGGTCATTTCTCCTGGTTAATTCTTCCTTCTGAATTCCCTACCCTATGTGTGTGATTTTCCTGGATTCCAAATAGAGCTCCTACCCTCCTGCTCCTGGGCCATCACTATCACAACCATGATGCCTAGCAATGAATTCAAAATTTGGGAAAAAGAAAAGTTTGGAGTTTTTGTTTGTTTGTTTTTTCAAGATTTAAAGAGCCTTGGCCAGGCACAGTGGCTGACGCCTATAATCCCAGCACTTTGGGAGGTCGAGGCGGGTGGATCACTTGAGGTCAGGAGTTTGAGACCAACCTGGCTAATGTGGGGAAACTCTGTCTCTACTAAAATTACAAAAATTAGCTGGGCGTGCTGGTGCGTGCCTGTAGTCCTAGCTACTCAGGAGGCTGAGGCACAAGAATTACTTGAACCCGGGAGGCAGAGGTTTCAGTGAGCCGAGATCACACCACTGCACTCCAGCCTAGGAGCCTGGGTGACAGAGTGAGACTCCATCTGAAAAAAAAAAAATTAAGGAGTCTTGGTCCATGCACTATTATTATATCACTGGAGGCAGCTATGCTATCTCCTGTTTCCTCATCTGCAAATTTAAATAAATGCAACATGCCATTTTAAGGAAATTATAACAAAGTTGGATCCACCAGATGATTTTAGAATGCTAAGCGAAGGCCTAATTTCCAATACTAAGCAGAAATCCCATGCCCTCATGGGTGTCTGGCCTTCTACAAGTTGAGATGTCTCCTTTGGCTTCTTCTGATGCTCCTCTTCTCCCACTGAATGCAGGAAAACTCACCTCCATCAGAGTGAGGAGGGTAAGGATTGCCTGAGATCAAGAATCTGTGTGTTGTCAGGGCCAAAAGACACAGTATGAAACAAAGCAAAACAAAATCATAAATCAAGAACAAAGCCTTCCCTGTTTTTTGTTTTTGTTTTTGTTTTTCCTAAACCTTGCCATCAGCTATAAAGCAGCATGGATTGCGTGGGTGGATTGGATGTTGGTGTGTTCCAAATACTTCAGAAAAGAAATTCCTTCAGGATCCTGTCTTTTCTAGTGCACCATCAATGCGTGAACAATATTAAGCAGCAGGAATAGTTTCCCGAGAAGTCTAGACCCCCATTCTGTATGTCTAGAGACATGAGCTATCCCAACACTGGAGTAAAACCTGTCGGCACACCTCCTCTAACCATGGCCCTCCCAACAAACAATCAGATTTGAAAAATTCAATTTGAGAGTGCAGACCTGCTTTGGCTTTGCAGCTAATCTGCAGACATTTGAAGCCCAAGGGGAAAGCCTTCTTCCCTCTGGAATCTGCACTGTAATATATCCTCACTGAACCAGGGAAAGAGCTGGTCATAAAAAAGAGCCTTGTTATTTGATAGTGTGGTTTCTCCTAGTCGGTGGTGTCACTGAATTGTTTTGCTCAGAAGTCAAATGTTAAGGGATTGATTTTCCTCCTTTAATAAACAAGCACAGGGGTGAAGGATGTGAGGCCAAGCACATTCCACAATCTGAAAATGATTGCTTAATTGAGGTTGCTTTTCTTTCTCTGAAGAACACCTTTAGGTGATGATGTTAAGGCTGCAATCTTATTTTATGGCTGAATCCCCTCTTTTAATAATCGGCATATATATTTTTTTGACTTTGTGTGATTTGCCTTCAGTGTAAGAGCTAAACAAGTTTGGTCATTTGTGTAGAGAAAAAAAATGAGCTCAATACATGACCGCTAAGGATTTTCTTAGCCTGGCAACATCCTGGTGGGTTGCTTCCTCTCTTCGTGAGTGCTCTTTGTATGGCTTGCTGAATGAATACATGATTGCATATGAACATTATGATAATATATCCTCTCCTTTGGAAAAGCACAGAAATGTAATTAATGGTATGTGAGGCAAAGAACTAGCCATGGGCCACAGATGCATACATTCAGCAGCAGGTTAAAATCCCAAGACAGCATCAATTATCAAGTTAAATGCAGTTTCTATTTCAAGCTAGATTGCAAAGCAATGGGATAATGCCAGAGGCCCTCAGAAGGAACTAATTTTAATTGATCAACCCACAGTCCTTGAATCCAAATGAGCCCTGTTCTCATTGCCAAAGGGGGAACCCTAATTCTAGGTCAGCTCAAGAATGTAGAAGAGGGATTTCGCAGGATGGCACATTAAAATTAGTAGTGTTCCTTACATGGGCCTGATCATAATGGGAGACTTTTTGTAAATCCTCTAACTGCTCTAGTTAAAAATGAGGGATTCATTTGGGTAATTATCATCTCCCATGCCCTGGGCCTAACTTAGAAAACTACTGTGTCATTCAGCTATTCAGTAAGTAACCTTGGAAACAAAGCTAATTACCTTTCAGTCTGTGCTGTTGAAATGTAAAGATCATACAAAATGAGTGCTTGAGATAATTCTAGAGAGGCTTATGTGTTCCTAATGGCTTCTGCTCCAAACAGAGAAGCTTTCCAAGTGTCCCGCAGGTCCTGGACCCAGAGGGGCCTTCTTTCACTCATGCCTCAAGCACAACATAGGAAAATCCCATACATGGGGGAGGGGGAACAGAGAGGTATGGGTTGTCTTTTTTTTTTTAAGCAAGGTGATTTTCTGGATGAATGTGTTCTGTGTTCCCCCAGCACTTAGCCTATAGACTGACACATAGTAGGCATCCAGGAAATGTGGGTGGAGTGAAAGTTGTATTGCACTCAAAGACACTCTCCTTGTAGTAGAGTATGATTATCATACTATTTACAGTGTGCACACTAAAAACTGGGTATGGTACCTTATGCTTATTCACACCAGAGTTGTTTCTCTCCTAACGAATCTTCATCTATTTGTACTTTGTTTCTCCTTCATGGAAAAGTTGCATAATAATTGGTTGTTTATAAACCTATAAGATAAATAAGGCTGTTTCCGTGAGACATATGGGTTTTTAAAGAGCCACTTAGCATGTAATGTGTGAATTTTAAAAATTATAACTTCATTGAAAGCAAAGACTCTGTCTTTTCCTATATTATACTATATGTGCTATCTAATGAATGATAGAATGTGGAAGTTCCTAAATCCTATATATAGTGAATTTGAGCCTCAACAAAATATAATACATATTAAATTTAAAATTCAAAACATCCATTGAATTTGTCTAATGACTTTGGTATGTATTGTGCTGCAAATTTGCCTTGGAAGACATTAAAATTTGAAGACAATTTTTATAACATTATATCAGAACTTAATTTTGAAACTGAACATAGATAATTTACATTAAAACAAAGTGAACACTGAAGCAAATTTGGTAACCCCACCCAACTACTCTAATCAGTATAGAGTGAGACAGTCTGAGGCAATCTAGCGCCTATTTAGGACCTGTTTACCTCGTCTGCTGACAGATTATTAGGCTGGCATATTTTGTTCTGATTGATATTCCCCATGCCATATGTATATATTAGATGTAGATGACCAGATAAATCATAGTCTGGTGAAACACGTGGGACCTATGACCAGACAGGCACCTTTTCGGGAAAACTTAAACTCATCAGGCACTGCTGACTCTGTGGCCAGTCACAGGTGTAGGCAATGATAGCCCTGCTTTTGGAAGCTGATCTCTATGAAACAGAAAAGCGGGAGAGTAATTTACACTTGGGATATTTCAAAGTACATCTGATTTTTTACAATGGTTGGCTCTGAAGCAAGGATCAAAGTCACTCAGCCCGAGAAACGATGTGAGGTCTCTGCATACCAGGTAAGTGACATGCTTGCTTTTCAAACAGTGTGCTCTTGATAACCTTGTCCCTCAAATCTTCACACTGTGAAGTTGCCCGAGCCTTTCAGAAGATCATAAGATGCTAGAGGAGCCCAGGTGATTCTGTTTGGTCTATGATAGTGTTGGACATTGATTCAGTTGACATAGAGACTCTCCATTTTAGCAGCAGGAGACATGTTTCATCTTTGGATGGCTCTTCTCCTCTCTTGTTCTGTTTGCTCAGCTTTACTTCATTGTGCCTTATAATGAACTCTATTCCATCTGGGTGAGGGGAGTTTCTAACTTATAATGAACTGTATTCCATCTGGCCTCTGTAGATGTAAAATGCACTCACTGTAAAACTCCTCATCCTTGGAGGAAGAATATCAATGATATCCAATTCCTCAGGTGATATTTAACTTCATATGAGTGATCAGTCAGCCATGATTTTACCCATGGTACTCAATAATTCAGAATGAGAGGCCCCCACTTAGGCAATATGGGTTTCAGCTGACTCATATCTCATTTCTCTCCAGGTTTGGGGATATGTAGCTATCTGAAATATAAAAATTAATTTAGTCTAGATTCACATTTTACATTTAGTCAAATATTTATTTGAACTCATACAAAGTTTAGTGACATAATTTAAAAGGTGAAGAACTAAAACGCATTCCAAATATTGACCAAAATACTGTAGGAAGTAGCTTGGGAAACTTTTCATCAAAATCGTTAGGCACATTGCCATATCATTCTCCATAAAATCATATCCCTCCTCAAAACCACACCCTCCAGGTGTTGAATTTATGGGCTAATTTGTTCTGTGAGGTGCCAAAAATGAAGATAAAGTAAGAAATACAGCCAACTAGAAGGAAGAGATATAAATGTACAAACAGGCCATTTCTGCTAGAGTCTCAGGCATTCAGGAGGTTCACAATCATCATACAAATATATAAAATTTTAGTGAGCTATTGAATCCATCTTCTGCCTCTTTATTTCTTCACATCAATCCTGAAAAAGAAAAACCAAAGGAACCATGAGTTTTTTGCCTCCAGTGTCATTAAGGCATAATTGACAAATAAAAATGGTATATATTTACAGTATACAATGCAATGTTTTGATATATGCATACATACATTGTGAAATGATTAAGTCAACATAATTAGCATATCCATCACCTCACATACTTATTTTTGTGATGAGGACATTTAAGATCTCTTAGCAATTTTCAAGGATACATTATTAACTGTAGTCATGATGCTGTACAATAGATCCGATATGGTTTGGCTGTGTCCCCATCCAAAATCTCATCTTGAATTGTAATAATCCCCACATGTCAAGGGTGGGGCCAGATGGAGATAATTTCATCACGAGGGCGGTTCCCCCCATACTATTCTCATGATAGTGAGTGAGTTCTCATGAGATCTCATGATTTTATAATGGCTTTCCCCCGTTTTGCTCTGCACTTCTCTTTGCTGCTGCCATGTAAAGAAGGACGTGTTTGCTTCCCCTTCTGCCATGATTGTAAGTTTCTGAGGCCTTCCCAGCCCTGCAGAATTGTGAGTCAATTAAAACTCTTTCCTTTATAAGTTACCCAGTCTCAGACATTTCTTCATAGCAGCACGAGAACGGACTAATACGAGATCTCCAGAATATATTCCTCTTATGTATCTGAAATTCGGTCTATTCTTTAACCATCATCGCCCCATCCACATCACCCCCCACCCCAAGCCCCTGGCAACCACCATTTGACTCTCTGCCTCTATGAGTTTAATGTTTTTAGATGCCACATATAAGTAAGATCATGCCATATTTGTCTATGACTGTCTTATTTGACTTAGCATAATGTCCTCCAGGTTCATCATTAGTATAATTTTCATGAGATATGTTAGGGACAGCTTATAAATCAATATGATAGGAATAAGTCAACATTGAAGACCCCATTTTCACTTGAAAACTTCATCTCTCAATTCCATGAATGTAAATGAACTATGGGTAGATGCTGTGGCCATCAACTTTGGCTCTAGTGATTTAAGTAATTCTAAACTAAATTAAGATAGCTTCTCCTGAAGGATTAGAGTATATTGTTAGTCTTATGATTATGGCTTGTATGACCAGTGATCCCTGAGGTAAATTTGCATTCATGGCTCCTGTTCTTCACCTCTCCCTACTACCATGTAACTTTGTAGTTTTCTACCACTGTGGGTGGGGTATAATTCCTCATGCCTGAGTTTGGCCACACATCTTGCTTTGGCCAACAGAATGAGGCAGAAATGATGGTGTACCAGTTTTGAGCCTATGCCTCAAAAGGTATCACGTTTTTGCTTACTCTTGTATTTCTGCTGTTGCCATAACAAGGGTGTGGCCAGGTTAGCCTTCTGATCCCAGAAGAAGGACAAGAAATATGTGGAGCAGGGCCACCCCCGCTAAAGCACCCTAACCAGGCCCCATGTAGAGCAGAGCCCCCAGATGACCTGCAGACACATCAGTGAGTCCAGCCAAGATCAGCTGAGCCCAACCTATATCAGCTGAGGCCAAAACACATGAGTTAGAATAAGAAATGATCTTGTTTTAAACATTGAATTTGGGGTGTGATTTGGTATGCAGCAATAGCTAATTGATATGGTGCCACTTCTTTTCAAAGCTCTTGTAATGCAGGGATTCTTGAACACTATTTACACATTTGTTTTCCATTAGTCTTTGGTGTCATTCCTTGTGTGTTTTACTTATGTGAGTGAGCTGAATCTTTTCTTAAAAATGGAATGCTCACCTTTTGTATTGCCAATGGCTGGAGAAAGAAAACTACATACACAAGGATATTCCCCCTGCTGGGGCAGAAACTCTGGTTTGGCACCCTCCATAACCCTTGTTTTTCTCTACTACAAAGGCTGGTGAGTGAAATAATATACTCTATTTCTCAGTCTCTCTTACAGCTAGGGGGAGCCATGGGACCCAGTTCTGGCCATTGAATCCAGAGAAGTATATAGCAGAGATCTCTCTATAAGAAAGCTTCTCTTTCTTGTATATTTCTTTAGAGATCACAAAGCCCATAGTGTCATTGAACATTTCTAGCATTGCTGTGATGCAGGTTGTGTTGTACTCACTGTTGAGATGAAATACATAGAAGTTCAAAAATCAAAGTAGCTAGCTCAAAGTCTCATAGCTGGTAGATAGAAAAGCTGGGATTTTAACAGAGGTGTCCCGACTTTAGGGCTGTTTCTACTCCACTAACAAGGTATGGATGGTTTGTGAACCAGAGGAAAAGGTAGGAAGTTATTAATGATTGCAAAACTGAAAATGCTATCAAGAGCAGTCAGCATAGGTTCTTGTATTTCCCCAGCATTTTATCTTATTATCAAAAGAACACAATATGAGATTTACTCTCTTAATACATTTTAAGTGTATAATACATTATTGTTGACCATAAGTACAATGTTGTACAGCAATGTTGTACAACTACCACTTCACTCTTTGATTCTATGTGTTTAACTACTTTAGCCACCTCATATAAGTGGAATCATGCAGTATTTGTCCTTGTGTGACTGACTTATTTTACTTTGCATACTGTCCTCAAAGTTTATCCATGTTGTCACATATTGCAGAGTTTCCTTCTTATTCCAGGATAAAAATTCCAGTGTGTGTGTTACCACATTTTCTTTATTCATACATCTACCAATGGACGTTTAGGTTGTTTACTAATTTTTTTAAGAAATTATCAATTTTCAGTCCATGCCAGTCACAAAGTGGAAGTAAGATACCACTTCCTTCCCAGCCCATGGTTTCTGAGTGACCAGCAATTTCACAGCTTCATCCTGGGGTATCAGGATCCAGGCTCATCTCTGGTCATTCTCCCTCAAGTATCCTATATTCTGAGTTCACTAGACCACTTTTTGCTCCTGTAATGACAAGAGCCTTTGGGCCTCGCCTCTTTGGTTATAACTTTTAAATCCAACCTCCCCATGATTCTCCATGTAACATGCTGAATTGTGATTATTTGCTTATATGCATCATCTCACTCCTCATGTTTCCCACTATAGCTGCCCTGCCACTAGGCTAGGATCTTTTAAGGATATAAATATGTCCTATTCATTTTTACATCCCATTGCCTATCATGGCACCTGACACATAGCAGGGGTCCAGTGATTGATGAGTTGGACTACTGGAGAAATGAAAATAGGAAAAGAACTGGAGTTGCAGTTATAGCCAAACCCACATTCTTCAATGTGAGTCAGCAGTAATGAGTGAAGGCTCATAGATGCAGAAATCCAGGAGTGTTGGGTTGATGTGCTATGTCTCCACTATGCTGCCAATTCTGCCCTAGGTCCCAGCTCTAGCCCCATGATGGCCAGGGTATGCTGTAGCCACTTTACTGCTATGGTCACTGTGCTGGATGACATATGGCCAGTCTCTCTGGCTAAGTAAGAGGCCCATGACAAGCTTCCCTTGAAGCTGAGGTATTCCTTGGGCTTCTCTGAGCAGCATGGAATGGGTGATGATCCATAGGAAATTGTAACTGAAGCATGTTTTATGAGGTGTGATTTCTCTCCAAGATGTGTCCAGACTGAGAAGCACCATCTGCAACCCAGAAATGGGTACCATTTATATGGCAGACTTGATATGGACTCTGATAATCCTTTATCTGTCCCAGATAGATAGGTGAAATTATGGCTATACTGAGAAACATAGGATGAGCCATTTGCATTGGAGAGTCATAAGATGTCCTTCACGACTGGGTTCAGCTTATAGGCCTCTCTGACTTTGAGACAGTTTTATAAACATAGAGAACTAATGAATGGATAAAGAAAATGTGGTATATATACCCCATGAAATACTACTCATCTATAAAAAGGAATGAAATAATGTCTTTTGCAGCAACTTGGATGGAGCTGAAGGTCATTATTCTAAGTGAAGTAACACAGGAGTGGAAAACAAAAAATTGTATGTTCTCATAAGTGAAGCTAAACTATGAGTATGCAAAGGTATACAGAGTGATATAATGGACTTTAGAGCCTCAGAAGGGGAAGGGTGGGAGAGGAGCTAGGGATAAAAACAACATATTAGGTACAATGGACACTACTCAGGTGACGGGGGCACTAAAATCTCAGAATTCATCACTATACAATTCATCTGTGTTACAAAAAATCCACTTGTACCCCAAAAGCTATGAAAATAAAATTTTTTTTAAAAACAGAGAAATCTTGATCCAGTTTTCCCAGACCACCACGACCACTGTGAGATGACCATATTTAGGAAAATAAATGCATGGAATTCTTAACATAACATTAGCCCCAGGGGAACTGTGCTCTTCCTCTTTACTTACTGCAGCTGAGAGCCAAGGGAGGCCTGAATACAACTGTGAAGAGGGGGAAGCTGGGCCAGTGCTATCAACCTGTGCTCATGTGGGAGTGGAGAAACAGCTGATGGTGGCAGTACCAGTTTTGAGCACCTACTACGTGCCAGGAACTCCACCAACTGATTACACAGCTACCTTGTTCAGCCTACAAAATAAACCTGATTCTTCTTTGCAGAAGGAGCCAGGCATGAGGTGGCAGATGAAGCAGGAGCCATTGCAGGTGTCCTCCTGCAGATCACCCTGTCCCTCAGCTTCCCCCACTCCCGGGTCCCGGTAGAATTCAAGAAGGCCCAACATGCCTGGAAACAGGAATGCACTGATGGATAACGTCAGATATAGTCCATCCCAGAGTACAAAGTCCCCAGACGGCCAGAGTCTCCATCCTTGGCTTTGTGGGACTCAGCATGTGCTCGGGATGCTGGCATGATACCAGAATACAAAAATTCGGGAATCCAGATACCTGAGCTCCCTGCTCTGTGTCAGGGCTTGAATTTAGAAATGAGAAACAATGGGAAGGGATCCAGAGCTAAAATTGCCCACTCTGTAAAGCACTCTTGTTTGTCAGGGTGTTGGAATGCAAGTGTATTGGGCTGTCTCCAGGGCCACGCTGCTTTGCTGCCTAGACAACAGCTGTCAGCTATTCTCCTGTGCCCTGTTCTCCTGTATGGGGACATTTGTGAGAATGATGGGGAAGGTATGGCAACCAGCTGAAAAGTCATTCTCTAGCTACCCCACGTAACTTTTATACCCAGACCAAAAATGACATGGAAGCAAAACCTCTAGTTTACATTTGGGAAGGGCACATCTTGGCTGGTGTGGGGATGATACACCAAATATCTCCCTTGTGTCACCCTAAGTCCAGACTGAGGAACATGTGATGTTTACGCCTTGCTGTGACCCATTTATAGCTGTGTAACTCATAGTTGCCGTGGCCCCACTTACATCATGTGGGAAATGGAGTCCACTCAACACTTGTCTGCATTTTGTCCTTTAACCAGACACTCAGGGGCAGTGCAATGATTACTTCCTCCTATGTGGTGCTAAATCATAGAGCCATAAACACAGTGACACTCGAAAGTACTTGAGAGAAGGCAGTGGCTCATGGTCTGGTTCCATATGCAATGGCCAACCATGCACCCAGAGCAAACTGGTTAAAGCTCTGGAGTTCCTTAGAGGGCATCAGAAATAAGACAAACGCCTGGCATTTGTAAAGTCTTCTAGAGTTTACAGAGCACATTCACACATATTGTCCCTTTTACTCATCAGGACCACACCCTAAGGAAGGTGGTGCAAGCTACAACTAAGGCTTGTAAGGAACAACACACACCCAAGCTCAGAGAGGCGCTCAGCCTAGAATTGCACCCAAACAACTCCAAACCCAAAACTCTTTCTTTTTTCCCAAACAGATACTTGTAAAGTCAGAGAAACAAAACTCTAAGTAAAAATTAGGAACATTTTTTCCTAAATTGTGAAACATCCACCAAAGTTGCCTTTGCAACTCATGAAGCCTTCGGTGGTTAAAATGAAAATTGAAATCCTTCTAACAATAATTATATAAAAACGGAAGAAGAGGAAGACATAAAGACCAGAACATTTGCCTTGGTCAAATCCTGCACCTGAAATCCAGATTAAAGTAGCGTTAAGTGCAGGACCGGGATAATTCGAGTGACCATAAGGAAAAGGCAAATTGCATATCCAGGTTGAATCTCATTAAAATATTTTTTATTAATCCTATTGTATTGAGAGTTTGTTATATTGGATATCAACTCAGAGTTAGGGGCTGGCAACTGAGATACATTTGTTTGGTGAGATCTTGGTGGGGAAAGGGGCATCATCAAAGACCAGTCACCACAGGCAGCTCCAGATTTTGTGGGAAATTTCTCTTCATCCATCAGAACCCAGTCCTCCCTGTCTCTAAAGGGGCCACCGACTTCATTGGAGAAATATTGACCCAAGATTTCCCTACCAAGGCAGAGTTCAATAACATCTAGAAGTAGACAAAGTGATAAATAAGTCAAGGAGACTGCTGTCTTAACCAAGAGGTTCTCAGCTTTTCCAAAGATGACAACATCTTTCTATATTGTTTATGCCTTGGCATTCAAGGCATAGAGACAATGGTGATTGTATCAGAAGTACCAAGAATCCTCCTACAACTGTCCAGCAATGATCTGTGGCAGCCAGGGGTTCTGGAGCAACCAAATGGAAAACTAATTTTTTTGGCATTTAACTAACAGAACATGTGAAACAAATGTAGGCCTCCCTGCCTTCTTCCCATAATGCATACCTGGAAAGCACATTGTCATAGTGATCACCTTAAAGCTGATTGATTGATTGTTTTCACAGTCACAATGATGGTAATGAGTGGTCCAAAGACTCAGTAGTCAGATAAAAGGATGGCCTTTGATGTATTATGAGGCAAAGATATGACTATAAGGCTTTATAATCTTTTAAAATAGTAAAACTTTTTCAAAGACGAATGGAACTAGAGTTTTGGTATTGCTCCTCATTTTAGAAATTAGGAAATTCAGATCCAGAGGGGTTGAGTCACTTGTCCAGGATCACACAGCTAGCTATCGGCTGATCCAGGATGAGGTTTGGAGCTCTTTCTGCTACACTAAATTCTTTTGCAAAACTTGTAAAATTAGCATACATGTATTAGTCTGTTCTCACACTGCTAATAAAGACATACTCAAGACTGTGTAATTTATAAAGAAAAAGAGGTTTGATGGACTCACAGTTCCACATGGCTGGGGAGGCCTCACAATCATGGTGGAAGGCAAAGGAGGAGCAAAGTCATGTCTTACATGGCATCAAGCAAGCAAGAGAGAGCATGTGCAGGGGAACTCCCCTTTATCAAACCATGAGATCTCATGAGACTTATTCACTATCACGAGAACAACATGAGAAAGACCCGCCCCCATGATTCGATTATCTCCCACTGGGTCCCTCCCATGACACATGTGAATTATGGGAGCTACAATTCAAGATTTGGGTAGGGACACAACCAAACCATATCAATAAGTAATCTGTACACATTGACAGTACATTAGAGGCACACATTAACAACTGATACACAGAAATATACCTGTAGTGTACCAAAAAGTTTACTTAACAAATATTCATGCATTTGTTCTAATGAACACCAAAATTTCACTTAAAAATATGTCTTGCCTTCTCAGAATCTAGCAGTGTTTCTAAAAATACTTTATATAGAGTAAAATGCACAAATCTTAAGTGAACTTGATGAATTTTTTTACCATGTATATATCCATGTAAGGCCTTTATTTTTACATAGCTCTTAAATACTACTGTATAAACCAACAAATCCACAGGGTTTTGTTCATTTGAGAAATACTAGTTTCAAGAGATAATAAAACAAGTTTTCCTTTGAAAAGAAAGGGAGAGGAAAAGGGGGGAAAAGGAAACCATCAATCATGAGATAAGTTGAGAAATACTGGGTTAAGCAAAGATAAACCACCTTCTTAGTTTAAGGGCTCCTTGGAACTTTAAATATACAAATATATAGTGTGTGTGTTAGGTGTGGGGACCAGGACCATTGTATCATTTTCAAAATTTACTCAATCATTGAAGCATTTTTCCAGTTTTATACTGTATAAATTATTTATCATTCATTATATCACAAATAGTATCCATAGTATTTCATCAGGTGGCTGCACCAGAGTTTGCTTAATTGGAATCCTATTATTGGACATTTAGGTTCTTAATCAATTTTGCTACCATAAATGAACACAACCTTTTCCATGTGAACATTTTCTTTAGAATGGACTTCCATCAAGACACAACTGGGTTGGAAGAGATACAAATCCACAGTGACTGGGAATTTCTCCATTTATTAACCCCCCCACCCTCATCATTTATACTGCTGTGTGCCTGCTATACAGAAGATACTTAATATTTTTTGAGATTGTGCATATGTCTTTTTCACGATCACTTTCCTATTCATCTTTGTGGATTTTCTTAAACGAAAATCAGTAACTGTTTTCTTGAACATTCCTTTGATTTCTACTGAAGCTGCATATTTTCTTAGGCTTCTCTACCAATTATACATCCACTTTTGTGAATTGTGAGTTCATTTCCTTTGTCTATTAAGGTGTTAGCATTTTGCTTTCCAATTTACATGGGCTCTTTACATAATTATACATTTCATGCAAAACAATTTTCTTGATAGAGTTTGCTATTTAATGTTTGTTTGTTTGTTTTTTCAAGTACCTTTTTTTTAATTATTGAGAATTTGAGGGATGATTTTGATGGCTCTTCTTTAAAAAGCTGCCGGGGGAAGTTTAAATCAATGCCTTCATTTTTTCCTCTAAATCATTCCAACTATTATTTTAAAAGCTACTTATATCCAAATCTTACCTTTTGAAGCTATCATCAAATGATTTAATTTTATAATGTTAAAAGAGATAAGAGGTCAAATAAAGAAGGATGTTTATGGAAAGGAAGAAAGCATAATTGATTTGGAGATTTGAGATCTTGTTTATAGGCTGTTGTAACTCACTCTGCTCTGTGTGTGTGTGTGTGTGTGTGTGTGTGTGTGTGTGTGTGTGCGCGCACGCGCGCGCGCTCGCGCGCTGGTGGGGGGTTAAACCACCTAGAATGGGTGTTCAAACGTGGCTGCACATTAAATCTCCTGGAGGGAGTTTTTTTAACCATCCCAAAGCCCAGGCTGCCCCAAACCAATTACATCAGAGTCTCTGGAAGTGCGATCAGTAATTTGTAAAGCTCCCCAGGTCTCTGATGTGCAGACAAGATTGAGAACCACAGCCTAGGAGGGCTTCTCAGTATTTAACATCCATATGAATCCCTGGGGATCCTGTTAAACTGCAGATTCTGACTCAGGAGGTCTGGGGAGAGGCCTGAGACCACATATATCTAGTAACTACCCAGGGGATGCTGTTGCTATTGGTCCATGGACCACTTGAAAATGAAGTTTCTAAACTAGTAGTTTTCAATAGAGGGAGAGAATGATTTTTGCCCCCCACCCCGTGGTGGGCATTTGGCACTATGTGAAGACATTTTTTGGTTATTACAATCAGGAAGGAGAGGGTACTACTGGCATTTGGTGAGTAGAGGCCAGGGATGCTGCTAACTATCCTAGAATGCCCAGAACGGCCCCAGTAACAGAGTTGCCTGGCCCAATTGTCAATAGTGCTGAGGTGGAAAAAAACAAATGCTGGTTTAGAGACAGCTGTTTCTGATGAAAGAAAATGATCTCAAACCTGAGCTAGAACAGAGCTTTGTGCACTGGTGTGTTAAGTGGTCCCTTCTGGGAAGTATTGCTGATAAAACATATTAGTAATTTTCTAATCAACTTCAATGAGATTAAGAGCCCCTTCTGGGAGATCTGATATACCTGCCTCACTAAAGTCACCTTGTAACAGAGTTTACTGATCACTTATACCTCGTCTCACAGTGTTATCTAACCACATGTTTTCCTATTCCAAGTTTTAGAACTGGATTTTTGAAGCCTCTTTAAGCAACTTTGAAATAAAGCTTTGACATGTGTTTCCAATCAATTCATCAGAGAAATTGCTTTTACACCCTTTGCCTTGCCAGTCTCCAGGCTGGTTCCAAGGTGGGACCCTGTCTCTGCAATCAACAAATGTTTCCTGAGTGTCCACTGTGGAGACATTTTCACAGCCCACTCTGCCTTCAAACCCAGCTTTCCTGCTTTCCACTTATGCTACCTTGGGCAACTTACCCAACAACGTGAACCCCAGTGTTCCTAAGGATAGGGAAATAATATTGTCAAATTCACAGGGTGGTTGGGAGGATAACATGGTAAAGCATTTAGCAGAGTGCCTCTGACATAGTCAACATATACTATTACTATTATTCAGGGACAAAGATCCACA
Source organism: Homo sapiens (assembly GCF_000001405.40). Lineage (NCBI taxonomy): Eukaryota > Metazoa > Chordata > Mammalia > Primates > Hominidae > Homo > Homo sapiens. The sequence continues at coordinate 21,716,613 of NC_000023.11, forward strand.
AAAAGCTTATAAATTAAAACATCCCTTCCTCCTTTTCTATCTTCCAAACAAGATTCAATCTTTGTCATCTTGGCTTCAAGCTCTTTGTGGTGCTGATGGTCGGGGAGATCTAAATATGCAGAGAGGGAACTGAAAAAAGTGAACTGAGTCTAAATTACATGGAAAAGGGGCTTGGGGACTCAGTGGAAAATAGGATTTCTTGGAAAGAAAGAAGAGAGATTTGAGGTAAAACGTCTCTAGGATGAGGGAATCTTGGGCCAATGAGAAGATTTTTAGGTAGTTTTACTGTGTTTTACAATGTAAATCTTTTTTTCTTTTTTATTTTATTTGTATAAATTTAAGGAGTACAAATGCAGTTTTGTCACATGGATACATTGCATAGAAGTGAAGTCTGTGCTTTTAGTGTAACCATCACCAAAAGAGTGTACGCTGTACCTGTTTACAATATAAATCTTTCTTAGGTGAAGATTTACATTCCTTCTGGGGGCTGATATGGTTTGGCTGTGCCCCCACCCAAATCTCATCTTGAATTGTAGTTCCCATAATCCCCACATGTCGTGGGAGGGACCTGGTGGGAGGTAATTTAATCATGGGAATGGTTATCCTCATGCTGTTCTCGTGAGAGTGAGTTCTCATGAGATCTGATAGTTTTATAAGGGGCTTTTCCCCCTTTTGCTTGACACTTCTCCTTCCTGCATCATGTGAAGAAGGATGTGTTTGCTTGCCCTTCCACCATAATTGAAAGTTTCCTGAGGCCATCCCAGCCATGCTGAACTGTGAGTCAAACCTCTTTCCTTTATAAATTACCCAGTCTCAAATATGTCTTTATTAACAGCGTAAGAACAGACTAATACAGGGGCCATTTTTAGAAATCAATGTATGTTTCTTTTGGACACAGCTCTGTGCTTAAATATGCTTAAATGGTCTTAAAAGTGGAAAGCAGAATTCCTAGTTTTATATGGCCTACATTATATGCTAGAAAATGTATTAGGCACTGTGGATACACTAGTGGACAAGTCAGACAAGTTATCCCCCTTCATGGAACTTAAGATCTAGAAGGAAAATCAGACAGAATAAACAATGGCAATCCAGTCCTCCATTGTGATGGGTGCTGCTATCCTGGGACAAACACAGGAAGCCATGGATGCTTTGCCCAGTTTAAGAGGCAACAGAAAAGTTTTTCAAAAATAGTATTTAACTGAGACTTGAATGATGGGTAGGAGTTAGCCAGATAATGAATACGGGAGGGAACAAAGATCAAAAAATAATATTCTGAGCATGTGTAAAGGCCTAGAATCAGCATGGCGCCTCCATCAGCTGGCAGAGGTTCACTAGGATTGGAGCGAGGAATGTCCTGCACAGGCAGAAATGCAAGATGAAAAAAGCCTGCCAAGTCTGAGACAGTTAACACAGGCCCGAAGGGTCATGGGGAGCCGCTGAAGGATATGCAGCAGGGCAGTGACCCGATCCATTTTGTGGGGTTTGGTTTTGTATTTTTTGAAAGATCCGCTGATTGCAGGGCTCTGGCAACTGAAAACAAGTGAGAAAAGGCTTTGAGTAGTGAAGTGCACAGGTCACTTTGACAGCTGTGGGCCATTAATGCTCCAATTGTTCAGCGAGGTCACCTGTGTGACAGCAACAAGAATACATAGTGGATGAATGAAGTTTGCAAACCTTATTTCAAGGTGAAAAGAGGGGTCAAACATATGAGAAGATCATAGCACTTGTCCAATGGCTCATGCCTGAGGATTGAGAAGGGAGTCCCTTGTCCATTAGCAAAGGCCCAGGGGCTCCTCACTGAAGCATTTCAGTTCCAGATCTCAAACTTCCATCGAGGGCTGAGGAAAATTCCCACAGGTTACACAAACATTACTTTGAGCAGTAAATCCAAGACAACCTGCAAGTGACCACATACTGTTGGGCAAGCAGTGGGAACTCATACTGAGCTCTCTTCTGGCAATTTGCAGTATTTTCTGGGCTGTGAGGAATTTGAGCTTAAATAAAGCAGAAATGGGCAGTCTCTCGGATCCCCTGGCTTAATTTATTGAACAGGGGAAATAAGCCTTGTGAGGGAGACAGTTCCATTCCTAATGATTTAACCATAAATAAAGCCCTGCTATAAATGGAACTGAGGAGAGAAGGTAGCTTGTCAGAGGGCAGAGGAGTGGGCCCCATTAGACAAAATAGGTCAGGCGGGGAGAAAGTTGTCATCTCCTGACTAGTTAAGCTGAGCAGACATGACAAGCCTTGTCGTTTTTGAACGGATTGAAAAAGGATAGCGAATATACAAGAGGTTGCTTTCTTTTTGTTTCATTTCATAGATGACTATTTCAAAGAGGATCCTGAAAAGGAACTTGATAATATTTAGCACAGTTTTGAGTTGTGCACTTTAAAACGTGTGTGTATGTTGGCCTGAGTGTGTGTGTGTTTTTAGAAACATAAGTTTTCACAGAAAAAAATTATGTGCTTCTCCTAGGAAGTTACTTGGGATTCATTCACTTTCATCTGAGATTAATGGAACTCCAACTCCTGAGGAGAGTTTTCCCTCCCGTTAGTTGGATTGTTCGTAATATCCTGTGCTTTTTTCTTGTTGTTCTGGGTTTGATCCTCAGAAATCAAAAGAGAGGCCGGGCGCAGTGGCTCACGCCTGTAATCCCAGCACTTTGGGATCCAAGGCAGGCAGATCACCTGAGGCCAGGAGTTCGAGACCAGCATGGCCAACATGGTGAAACCCCATCTCTACTAAAAATAAAAAATTAGCCGGATGTGGTGACGCACGCCTGTAATCCCAGCTCCTCCGGAGGCTGAGGCATGAGACTCGCTTGAACCCGGGAGGGGGCGGTTGCAGTGAGCAGAGGTTGTTCCACTGCTTTCCAGCCTGGTCAATAGAGTGAGATTCCATCAAAAAAAAAAAGAAGAAGAAGAAGAAAAGAAAGAAAGAAAGAAAGAAAGAAAGCAAAAGAGCAGGAAAACCATTGAATGTGGGAGCAAGCTGAGGAGAGGGAACAGTGTGCAAAAGCTAAGATGTATCACTCAAACAATGGATTTTTAGTTCACTTCTGGATTTGCCTCCCTGTAGAGGTTCTGCCTTCCTCTCCCTCCTTTTGGAACCCCTCCCCACTAATGACTCAAGGACATGAAGAAAAGACTTTCCTCAGTGCTCACACTATGCACTGTGCTTATGTGCTGTCAGGGCTTTCTCTGTTAGAAGCATCAGAGAAACTGGCTTCACATTTGGAAATAATCTTCCTAATCTCCCCAAAGATAAACAACTTTTGGTGTTTTAAATAAATGTAAGAAATCCTGGGTGGTAAGGATCAGGAGGGGTGAAAGAAAAGCAAATACTGAAATGTCACAGCTATGTGACTTTGAGAATCTCACTTCTTTGGACCTCGGTTTTATCATCTAAAAAATGAAGGGGGTAGGTGGCTATGGTAGGCAGCCTTCAAGATGTCTCCCAATGATTCTTGCCTCCTGGTATTCATATCCTTGTATAGTCCCCTTCGACATAGAATAGGGCTGGCTTGTGTAATCAGTAGCATGTTACAAAAATGACAAAGTATGAATTCCAAGGCTAGGCCATAAAAGACTTTGCTGCTTCTGCCCTGTTTTTTCTTGAATCACTCACTCCAGGGAGAGTTGACTGCCATGTTGTGAGGGCATTCAAGCAGCCCAATGGGTGGGTCCACATGGGAAGGCACCAAGGCCTCCTCCTGATAGCAGTCATCACCAATTAGCCAGTGATGTGAGTGAGCCATCCTGGAAGTAGATCCTTCAATCTTAGTCAACAACTCACTACAACCTCATGAGGGACCCTAGGCTAGAACCACCCAGCTAAGCCATGCTAAATTCCTGATCCACGGAAACTGTGAGACAATATTTATTGTTCTTTTAAATTTTGAATAATTTGTTACACAGCCAAAGATAACTAATACAGCTGCCTTAGCCCAAGTTCAGCTCTTGTATTTTATGTATCAAGGAATAGGCGAATTGATGGAAACCATGAAAAGTTCGTGTTTAGTGTGACATGTCAAAAACTGGATCCTGGCTACAGGGTAGGACCATATTGCTTGGGCATTTATGAAATGGGGAAGAAAGATAAGTAGCCAGACTCTAGAGAGGTGGCATCCTGAGAACTTATGGATTCAGCTTTGTGGGAGTGGGCAACACAGCTGGCTGACCTTGAACCAAAGTTTACAGTGCAACTGCTCAGCACCCAGTGATTAGTCCTTAGCATGTCATACCACAAACATAACCCACTTATGTTTATACATGCAGAGACTGAATTTGTTAAAAGAAACGCCAATGGAATGGGCACTTATTTGGGTTCTCCCTATAATGAGTCATTCCCAAAGGGTGCAAGTGGGATTATCTGAAGGGAATAATGGCCCTGGCAGTTTTTAGAGGGAGATGAATTAGATAGGGGTTAAAAATTGCTGAGTTCATAGTTAAACCCAGGTGATTCTCCAGGGTAGGGTACATATCTGGAAAGCAGTGAGTATAGAGAGATTGCTGCATTAGGCTGGGTCTTGGTTGGACTAAGTGACATTGATAGTCCCCTAACCTGTAAGAATATGACTCTATATATTGCTGGGTAGACACGAGTCACAACCCTGACAAGACAGCACATTTATTAGTGGGAGCTAGAGTATTCTCAGCCCCTTCTGGGCCTAATATGGCTATTGTTTGGACTCATATGGCAGTCCTGAACTTAGTATCTCTTTCCCATGTCCTATCCCAAATAGAAGCCATGGCTCACCACTGGTTCACCCTATAAATAAATGCACATGTATGCTGCATGACTTTCCAAGAATGCTTGGCTGTTTTCCACCGTTGAATACTTTCATCTCAGCAACATTCAACCAAAGAAATACTTTCCCAAGCAAGAAAGATTTCAGTCTAGTTCATCAAAGGACGCTCTGAGAAACACCTTATCAGTCCTTCTCAGACCAAGACACACATCAGGATCACCTGAAGATTCTGTGAAACATACCCATTCCCAGGCCTATCCTGCCACCCTCTAAGAATTAACTGATAGCAAGTGGCACTCAGCAAGTCCAGGTGATTCTAATGTGCACATAATCTGCTGAGGACCATAGATCTAACTGTATCCAGCGTTTTGCTGCTGCCTGACTCTGTAACTAAGAAAATTAGAATACAAACGATGGTTCTCACCCAAAGCCCAAGGCTGGACAACTGAGTTGTTCAGAAACCAGCTTCAGTTCTTCTGTCATGATATTTGAGAAAAGCTATAAAGCTGCCTATCAGGCTGGGTGCAGTGGCTCACACCTGTCATTCCAGCACTTTGGGAGGCTGAAGCAGGAGGATCTTTTGAACTCAGGAGTTTGAGACTAGCCTGGGCAACATGGTGAAACCCCATCTCTGCTTAAAAAAAAAATAGCCAGGTATGGTGGTGTGTGCACCTGTGGTCCCAGCTACTTGGGAGGCTGAGGTGGGAGGATCGCTTGAGCCCAGGAGGTCAAGGCTGCCATGAGCCACGATCATACCACTGAACTCCAGTCTGGGCAACAGAGTGAGGCCCTGTCTCTAAAAAAAATAAGATAAAGCTGCTTATCAGTCTGCCAAGTAGCTGTGATCCTTTGGTCCTGTCGTTTCTTGGACTTGAAAAGTGTTCAAATTTGGAAAACCTTTTGTGTTTTACTTCCACTACCTGGACAGCCACAGAAGTATACTTGAATGAAAATTATCAAACCCAGCTTTTTTGTCTCAGCATATATTTGAAGCTTGGCAAGGCCTTATTTAGAAATACTTTCATTAGAGATTAGAAAAATGACTTCATTATTCCCAGTCATTTCATCCAGGCATCTCTCTGTATTACTTCTTACAACTGCATGTAAATCTAGAACGATCTCAAAAAGTTAAGAAAAAAAACAGATGATGGGCTGGATTTGGCCTGTTGGTTCTGGTTTTCCAACCCTTGAACTGTAACAGTGTCAGCACTTACTAAACAGCTACAGAAATGAACATTGTATCAGTAAGGTTAAGTGACTGGGGGGTAAGTTGATGTAGAATTCCTCATCCTTTACATTAGGATTGTCCCTCATAATTTACCCAGCTCATTTCACCGCCATGGACCTGTCTGCCACATTGAGAGTCAGACTGGGGTAATGATTAAAAATCAGACAGCCTGGATTTGACTCCTGGCTGCCCCACTATCTAGTTGTGTGACCTTGCGGAAAGTCATGTAACTTCTCTGTGCCTCAGTTTTCTCACCTGTAAAATGGAGCTCTTACGTGTATTAACTCACTGACATCTCACAAGGTAAAGGGCTTGCAATAGTGCCTGACCATTGGAAGCACTATTACAAGCATTTGTGATTATTGCTTCATTGATGCTTAGTATATATAAATTTCAGCAAAGAAATCTGACCAAGCTTCTCACTGTACTTTTGGAGACTAGCCTGAAAACTGTGGAGCCGGTGATGGGATAGTTGGGGGACTTCTGAATGTCCAGACCTAAACAATCTGATTGATGGCTCTAGGTCAGTGGTTCTCAAAGTGTGATCCCAAACTACCACCAGCAGCAGCAGCATTCCCTAAGAACTTGTCAGAAATGCAAACTCTGGAACCCATCCCAGACCTACTGAATTGAAAACCCTAGGGCTTTGGCCTGGCAATCTCAGTTTCAGCAAGCTGTCTAGATGATTCTGATTCATGTGAAAGTTTGAGAACCACAGCTCTAGGCCAATCTGAAAAGGGTTTCCTTTGCAGTCACCCACAGGATGCTGTCCTTGGTGCTGCCCTGTCCCCACTGTCCTCAAGGTCTCAGTTAAAGATGAGAAAAAGCTGGCTTCTCAAATTGGCAGGTCATCCATGCAAAGCCAGCCTGGAGGAATAATGACACTATTTGATGCTAGAATGTGGACCTGAAATGATCTCTGTAGGTTGGAAGTGCCAGCCAAAATTGTTTTGATTTTTAATAGAGATAGCTTTATTTTTACCTAGGTCAAGTTTCTAACTCAAGTTTCTTGGCATTTTAACTCCTACATGTTCAGTGAGGTTGTCAGTGGTGCTGTGGGTATCCAGGCACTGTGACCCCAGTTCGCACCATAGCATAGGCTGCAGGAACTCAACCAGTAATGGAAGGTTGGCCCTGAGTACAGGAGCAAAGTCTGGCCTACCACCTCTTGGTATTTCAGAATTTGATCACATAGTAAAAAAAGGGTGCCACACAGGAGAGAAAACTGAATCTGGACTCAGTTATGAAGGGATGGCATTGGGGGTGGTGATGAGGATCAAGAACCATTCTAATGCAGTTGCATTTGCCATCTGTGCTGGTCTAGAGCATTATCAGCTGTTTTGTCTTATCTGGGGCATGAGCTCCTCTTCCTATGTGCTGGGAATCCCTGCCAGCCAGGGGCTCTGACACCAGCTGGGTTGCTGGGGTGGCCTGCTCCTGGCAGCGAAAGCAGGTCTATAATTGGCCCATAATTGGATTGGATTTGGCTCGGAATGACTCCCAGGCTCTCTCTCTCCTGACGGATAATAAGCAGTAAACTTTGTATGTGACCTCGCAGGGTGTCTGGGACACCATTTCTTAGCTGTCAGTGAAAACCAAGAGCTTTCCAGAAGAGTTGACCTTTAGGGCAATGGTTTGGGGGCATCTTGAAGTGAAGTTTTCCCCAGACCCATTTGTTTGCCACCTGATCTTTCTGAAATTAAGACATTTCAACCCAATTTCCAAATCCTGGATCAAATCTGTCCTCTACCATGTGTGTGCATGTATGTGCATGTGTGTGTGTATGTGTATGTGGTATGTTTGTATGTGTATAAAGATTACAGTACGACTTTTTAAAATTAAACAAGAAAATAGTAAACAGAGGTAGAAATTGAGATAATACATTTCCTTTGAAATATATCTATAGATAGAGGTGGGTAGATTAATCTTGAATATCTTTCCATGTCAGTGACAAAAGTCCTTCTGGGTATAAGCAGAGCCATTATCTGTTCAATTCTGGCCCATGGAATGGATTGTTACTAATCCCCTTCCTGGGCACCTGTTGCAGACTACATGGTGATCCTACTTTTCTGATTGAAAGGGATTACACCCATTTTCTACAGATGGACTTCAATAGGCTTAATTAATAATTAGTCTTAAAATGAACCTTCTCTGGAGGGAGAAGACAATACAACCCACAATCTTCCACCCTTTGTGAAGTTGGAAGTCATGTGAGATTGAACTGCAAAGTCAGTGCCTGCCCTACCTATCTCACAGAACTGTTATGAAGTTCGAAAGAGAGAATGGACATGGAAGGATTTCGGAATTCTTAAAATCAAGAGCAAGGGTTTGTTAATATTATTGCTACTATTATCCCCTAGTTAAAAGATGTGATTTTGCGTATGTTATAAAACTTCCAAATAAACCTGTTTCCTCATTGCCTGGCCTGTATGATGCCCCTTAAGCAGCCATTTCACAAAGTCTCCAGGCTGCCATGTTCTCTGGCACCTGTATTTACTAGTGACTGCCTACCTATTATTGCAACATAGACATAATTTGATTATCAAATTAAATAATGTCAGATAGAGGGAGAAAACACCTCTGCAAGGTAATCATAGCTGGAAATTAAATGTGAATGGGGCATAACCCAGGACAGGGTGTCATAGAGAAGACACCCAGGGCACTTCTGGACATTGAGATCGACATAGCTCTCATTTTATTTTCTGGACCAGACTCCAATAGTACATAGCCTATGCACAAAAGATTACTAGAAAGGTGAAATGTCTATTTTTGGCCATAAAGCCCATTCAAAATGCTCAGGAAAATGCTGTATAAAGTCCATTGTTTGACTTTTCTTTGAGAGTAGGGCAATGGCAGCTCAACTCTCCAAGTATTTCTTAAGCTGATTCTCTTCAGAGAAAAATCAAATTACAAACGAGATGCATTTGCTAGTTAAAAATTAGGGTGAGAGGAGGGAAATTCCTTGAAGTCTCCAAAACAAAATGAAAATGCTAAAGTGAAATGTTTGTAATTTTGCTGTCTTGAGACAAAGGCCTTGGAAACATGAGCTGCTGCAGGTTTTGAAAACTGGAACTGCAATGCCTCCTCCAGGAGAAAGAGGACAGTTGCAGGTTAGAAATCATCTCATGAACTGGCTCAAGCTCAAAGGATTCAGGTGATTGAGAAAGAGATCCTCCCAGATGTTTGCAAGTGCTTCAATGAGCTCATATTAGTCACAGATAAGATAATTAATGGATTTTAATTTTCAGTGAGCTTTCTTCATATTCGCTGGGGAAATGTGCAGAGCTAATCTTCAGACAGTATTTCACTTAAAAACCAACCAACCAATCAACTCCTAGCCTTGGAAGCAAGGGGCAGAGGGCAGAAGGTATGGGCAGACTGTGAGGACAGCGAAGGGAATGAAGACTTCCTGGAAGCTGCTGTGTACCAGGAGCACCATCTGAGTCAATTCACTGTCTTTATGGTGCCTTCTCAAGACTTACATTATTATTCCTATTTATAGATGTGGCTCAGAGTGGTCAGGAAGTTGCCCAAGGTCACTGAATTACTACGTGCCAGAGCTGCAAGTGGAGGACGGGTGTGTCCCACTCTTTCCAGCACATCAAGTGTCCAGTGGCTGCTGTAAGGTGGGCAAATGTGCGCAGAAAGCCTGTCCATGCCACCTGACACAGCCACAGCCCACTCTGCTATGATCGCCCCACTTCTTCTCGCAGAACTCAGATTCCCAACCCTTCTCAGCAGTCAGTACCAATGAAACAGACACAACACTCAAAATGAAAACTGTTTGTCTTTCCTATAAAGTAGGAACACAAAACTGGAAAATAGGACACTGGGATTTTAGACTGGTATTGACCTTGATTCCATTGCTCCTGGGACTCACTGCTAATAGATAGGGGATCTTAAATTAAGTTCATTCTAATGGTAACATTTTGTAGTTTGTAATAGCTCCCATGGTATGCAGAACTTTAGATATACACACTATGTGATTCAGTGCTTCTCAGCCCTGGAACTATCGGTGCCTGTTGTGGGAACTGTCCTGTGTGTTGTAGGGTGTTTAGTACCATCCCTGGTCTCAAGCCCCTGAATGCCAAGAGTACCCACCCTGAGGTGTGACAATCAAAAATGTCTTCAAACATTGCTAAATATTCCTCAGGGTGGACAGCAGAATTGCCTCTGGGAGTTAGGTATTTTTCTCATTTTTCAGATGAAGAAACTGAGGCAGAGCAATTATATAAAATCACAAGACAAGGGAATAGCAAAGCCAGGGTATAAACCTATACTTGAATCACTTCTCTTCCACATTTCTTTCAGTGGGATAACTGTTTTCCAACATCCTGTCTAGACTCTTTCTTTGTCACCTGTATTCAAAGGCCGTGCCTTCTCATTTCTTCTTCATTCCTGCTGCAACCACTATGTGCTAATATCCCCTCTCACATCCTTACCCAACTAGACTGTGAGTCCCTTGAGGGATGTTGTCTTGTATCACCTATTTCTAACATAGTAGTGCCTGAAACAGTCAGTGAATAGATGTTCATTTCATAAATGAGTGAATTTATCCAAGCACTTTAATCCTTCCCACTCAAATCCAATTCATGCTGTCAACTTGCATTATGAAGAAGAAGGTTAATTTGGCCAAGGTAAATTCCAACTAGCCCATGTACAAAATGATCAGGCAATGAAAACAGTCTGAATAGATGGATGATTGAACACTCAGAATTTAATAAACCTGTTGGGGTAGTTTTCAGGAATTAATTGCTGCCTCTGAAACTAAAATGCAGCCATGATTCTTATCATCTGTATCCAAAATTGGGGGATCAGGTAAGAGCTAGGCAGTAAAATATGTATTACTTGTTAAGGATTCTATTACATCGGTGACAGGTGGAAGGAAGTGCCACTATCTTCTAGGGTGGAAGGAAGTGCCACTGTCCTTCCTATAGAAGGCATCCAATGACTTTCTGGCAATAGGACACGCTTGCTTTCGGCTGTTTATCCAGCAGTCCAGATGAATTGTTCTGAGCAACCTTTGTGCCACCTGCCTGGACAAAAGAGACTCCAATCTGTCGACTGCTTAATAGAAATTTCCCTCAGTGAGAAGCCAATTGACTGACCCTGCCTCGGATTAAACCAGCCACCCCCTTGCCATCTGCATAAAGTCCTAGACTAGAGGGTGTGGAATGATCAGTTCACAGGCAGGGAGCAGTGGTAAGGGAGTACAAGTTAAATTTGCAAGTCTTGATTTGCTCCTCGTGATTCCTTCTCCTTCTCAAATGCCACAGCATGTGCAGGGAGTTAAAATGAGCAGCATTGTCACGATGCAGCCAACCCTGATTAGACAGCCTGGAATTCACTTCCCCAGTTTTCTGCGTGGGCTGCACACAGCGTGAGAGGGAATGAGCGAAAAGGCTTCACGGGTCGGAGACTGCTGCACCATGAATGACACAGACTCCTGACAAGCCCTTGCTCATCTCCGGAGCAAAGGCAGGTGGGCTCTGCAGCGGTCTGGTATTGCTCTGCTGCAGTTTTGTCAGCACTGGGCAAAGTCCATGTCATCCCCAGCACTGCCATAATCGGAGTTTTTCTGTCTCCTCTCCTCTCCTTTCCCCTCCTCTCCCTTCCCCTCCTTTCTCTCTCTCTCTCTCTCTCTCTCTCTCTCTCTCTCTCTCTCTCTCTCTCTCTCTCTCATACTTTCTCTGATGTTTATGGGCATTAACTCTTCCTTTTTGTCAAAATCCTTAAAAAGAGCAAATTATTTGTGCTTCCATGCAATGTTTTGCCCATTAAACCGTGAACCAGGGTAGATGCTCTGGCATATTTGAATCCCTAATGCCTGATATACTCAGCACCTGGTGCATCTTTTGTGTTTAGTAAATGCTGACTAGCTAAAAGAATGAATATGTGAATGAATAAACAAATGAGCAAACAAAGGAACACATCAACCAACATGCCAGGGTTATGTTTCAGTGTTCGTCTTTGTGACAGTGACAGTTTCTGCAGTCTCTTTAGCCTTTGCTTGCTTTGCACTGACCCAACATGGTGAAATATTATTTGCAAAGACTATAGCTAAAAGAACATTTTTTAAGAATGCAGTGGGTGATAGTGATTAAAAGGACTGGCTGTTTAGTGTGACAGATGATGGTTTGCACCTCACCTCTGTGACTTACAATCTGGGTGACCTCGGTCAAGTTGCATAAGCTCTCTTAGCCTTCACTCTCCCATAAACAAAATGAGCATTGTAGTAATACCCCATGCAGTCAGCACAAGGAATGAATGAAATAATGCATGTGAGGTGCAAAATATGGTACCAGGCATATCACAAGCATATAATAAATGGGAATGTTCATGATGACAATAAAAATGATGACATTGATATTGATGCTGGTGACTACTAATGCTTAATGTTAATACTTTAGAAGACTTGATGAGCTGCTGAGATAATCTGCTTTCTGATACATTTGAGATGAAAAAATAACCTATAAAAATAGTTGGGTTTGAGGCAATTCCACATAGACCATATACCATAAATATGTTTAATCTGGCAATTGACAAGAATCATATTTAAGAGTGCTTCATTCCTAAGTCTTAATTACTGTTAAGAGATTATAAATATTGGCAATTAATTACTTTACTCTTTTTATTACTGTCTTAATTTCTGTGACGTGCAATGCATTGATTGCTTGGAAAGCAAAGTCCGCAGCAAGCTGGACCTAACATCAACCTTTCAAGCAGGTAAATCAGGGTTACTCACTCTCAGCAGTATTGACATTTGGGGCTGGATCATTCTTTGTTGTAGGAGGCCATCCTTGGCATTGTGGGATGTTTAATAGCATCCCTGGCCTCTCCTCACTAGAGGACAGTAGCAGCCCACCCCTAGTTGTGACAATTCAAACTGTGTGCAGACATTGCCAGATGTCCCCTGGGAGGAAAAATCCACACCCTCCCCCCATTGAGAACAAATGAGATAGAGTAATGAGTTCCATTACATTGAGAGTAGAACAGGTGCCAGGTGTAACTGTCTTTTGGCCCATGGAGATGTGTGTGCCAGTATAGGAAGATCAACAGAATTGGGTTCGGAGTCACCTCTGCTTTCCACCAAGCTGGCTGAAGCAAATGTGCTTCTCTGGTCTCAAGTCTACTCCCTAAAAGCTCTCGCACCAATTCCAATTTCTTCCTGATAATTCACACACTAGACCCTCCAAATCTCTGTTTTAATAGAAACTACACAGGTAGCTTCTGTGTGTTTACTGTTGAGAGGCTCTTAAAGCAACTGCCACAATCAACTCAAAGTCTTCTTGTGTTCACTCTCAAGTCCTCTACACCCACACAGACTGTAACCAGGGTCTAAAACGAGAGTTTTGCCAGCCAGGAAAACAAATGAACAAGACCTTGATACAGTTCAGAATCACTGCAGAACCTGTCTTTATCCTAACCAAGTGAAGATCAGGAAGAATTTAAAAAGAGCATCACAAATCAAAAGAAATGTGGCTTCACTAGAGAATGAAAAATATCAGCATAAAACCATTTCCTTCAGAGAAAGTGAATAGAGCTCTGTAATTGGGTCAAAGCAGGGAACATTTCAAAAATGAGGACAAAAAATTTCCACAAACCACAGAGAAGACATTTGGAGAAGTGTGTTTAAGTCTAGTTCTATGTGAAACAATAAATCAGTCCTCTGTCTTCTGGCAAAAGGAAAAGGTTATGAAATCATGATAAGTCAAAGACTATGAGAAATAAATCATCCTAATTCTGAAGGCTGCAAAGCAACATGAAAACTAATCTTGTGATAAAATGTAAAGTGGAAAAAGCAAGATACAAAACTATACAAGTGCTACAAATGATGCTATATAAGAAAAATATATAAGAACCAGTTCCTATTTACTGAGTAATTACCCATCCCAGGTACTGTGCCTGGAGATACTTTTAAAAATACATCTCCCTAACCCTTCACAACTACTGATTGAGAGAGGTGCCATTTTCTGCTTTTATCAAACAAGAAAATAGAGGCATAGAGCGCAAAGTTGCAAACGTAGAAGGAAATGAGACCAAGTCTTCACAACCCCAGATCAACATATTGTTAGCAACTTGGTTGTATTGCATCCCAGAAGTAAACCCAGAGGAAAAGACTAGAAGGGGAAATACCAAAGTCAGTATTTTGCTAAAATGGCGATCTACTGGGCAATCATTTTTTATTTCCCAGTCTCTGTTACATTGTTATAGTGTTTATACAAATAGATTTATTACATTTATTATTCCTTACCATTTGAAAGGAATGATATTTCCATTCATGCATCAATTTAATCATAAGTTTACTATAAGATGATAAAGGGCATGTTTCCCAAATATGGAATAGGTGCTAATATTGATTTGATTGGTTGGTTATGGGATTTGAGATCTTTTTTAATATAGTCATTTATAACTGTAAACTTTCCTCTAAGTACTGCTTTCATTGCATCTTATAAATTTGGGTATGCTGTATTTTTGTTTTCATTCGCCTCAAAGTATTAATATTTTTAAATGTACCTTGTGATTTCTCCTTTGACTCATTGGTTATTTAGAAGCATGTTGTTTAAGTTCCACAAGTTGTGAATTTCCCAAACTTCCTTCTGTTATTGATTTCTAATTTCATTCCATTATGGTCATAGAACATACTTTGTATGATTTCAATCCTTTTAAATTTGAGACTTATTTCATGGCCTAACATATGCTCTGTCCTGCACAATGTTCCATGTACACTTGAGAAGAATGTGTACACATGTACTCTGCTGTTGTTGGGCAGTGTTTTATATGTGTGTATATATACATATCCACACACTATACATATAATATATATACACACATATATGTGTGTATGTGTACACATACACATAATGTGTGTATGTGTACACATACACATTATGTGTGTATGTGTACACATACACATTATGTGTGTATGTGTACACATACACATTATGTGTGTATGTGTATATATACACATTATGTGTATATGTGTATATGTGTATATGTACACATTAATGTGTATATGTGTATATGTACACATTTGTGTATATGTGTACATGTACACATAAGTGTGTATGTGTATGTGTACACATTAATGTGTACATGTACACATAAATGTGTATATGTGTATATGTACACATTAATGTGTATATGTGTATATGTACACATTTGTGTGTATATGTGTATATGTACACATTTGTGTGTATATGTGTATATGTACACATACATAATGTATATATACACATTATATATATATATATATATGTTAGGTCTAGTTAGTTTATGGTGTTGTTCTTGTCTTATATTTCCTTGTTGATCATTTATCTAGTTATTCTAGACATTATGGAAAATGGGATATTGAATTCCCCAATTATTATCATTAGATTGTCTGTTTCTTCCTTCATTTGTGTTGGTTTTTGCTTCATGTGTTTTGGGGGTCTGTTGTTATGTACTAAATGCACTTTTTAATCAATTGTCTGGGTATATCAATTTGCCCTTCTTCCAACACTCTCAGAATTAGCCCTTGAATCAGTAGGAATGATGGTGATGCATGTTTAACATTTAAGAGTAATGAGCGCCTTATGTTCTCCCGTATCAGAGATGACAACTCTCTGGATGACAGGTTGGTAAATATGTCTTATCTAGACGTGGATGTTATTTGAAAAATAAAGCCAAAGAATTCTTGAATACTAAGTTTTCTTCTGGTTTACACGTCTTTCTCCTCTTTTGAGGAATATGAGACAAACTTGACATTTTCCTTAATTTTTTAGTTTCCCAGAGGAATACAATCAATTAATTAAAGTCAAATTTCTGGGCCCATTACTGATTTTGGTCAACAATGTTAACTATGGACCTTTTGAGAGAAGCTAGTCTTTCTTTTAAAGTGGTAAGCTCCCTAAGATTACAAGGACTTGGAATGTCTACATTTCTAAGTGATCCCAGACTTGCTGTGGTCAGGGCACCGGCAACATCCTCCAGACTTGCCCTGTGTGCCTAATATGTATCATGTGAATTGCAGCCTTTAAAGGAGCTATGCGATAGCATCATAAGGAAGATGTAAACAAGAAAACCAATACATTACAATTCAGTAAGTTTGTGACAGGATAAACAGAAGATGCTAGGGATGGGGCAGAGTGCTGGAGGAAGAGGACTCTTATGGACTGCATGTTTGTGTCCCTCCCCCAAATTCATATGTTGAAGCCTTAATCCTCAATGTGATAATATTAGGAGGTGGGGCCTTTGAGAGGTAATTAGGTTTAGATGAGGTCATGAGTGTGGGGTCCCCATGATAGAATTAGCACCCTTATAAGAAGAGGAAGAGACATCAAAGGACACAGCAAGAATATGGCCATCTGCAAGCCAGGAAGAGAACCCTCACCAAAACCCAACAATACTGACATCCTCATCTCTGACTTTCAGCTCCAGAATGGTGAGAAATAAATGTCTGCTGTTTTAGCTACCCAGTCTATGGTATTTTGTTATAGCGGACCGAGCAGACTAAGATAAGGGCACACCTCCCCCAACAGGGCATTATAAAGATTCTTTTCAAATCTACAAAATCCAAAATCAGGGCTGGCTAGCTGATGTGGGGTATGAGATAGAGACTAACTTGAGATTATGAGGCTGTGTATGGGTACAAAGGAACTGCAGATTATTCCAACTCATTCTCATTTACTGCCCTACAGCAGTGTTTCTCAAAGTATGGTCCAAGGCCCACTGGTTGACCTCAAAAGACTTCTCGATACAAAAACACAAGTGCTTTCTTCAGTTCCTAATGATGAATGGGGATTAATTCCATAGATTCTCACGTCTCTACACAACCAAAACCTACTAAGTGAGCTATCAAGAATCAGTAAAATTTTGCATTTTTCTAAAACCTTAGTTTAGTATACAATCATGAAGTCTGACTGCCACACATGTGGCCATGCTGCAATGTCCAACACAGACAGAAGGGATTCTTGAAACTTCAGAAGGAGAATTTCTTTTTAGAGCTTCATCAGTTCCAAGGCTTTCAATTGCGACTTTCTCGGTGCTTATTAGCATCATTGTAGAATTATTCTTAGGTTTTACCTTTGCTAATCATTTCTTTTTCTTGTAATTGATGCGTCATTACCACTTTGATACTTATTTTGTTCCTCTTCAATTCTTTGATATCACTGAGTTCTTTTACCACTGGAAAAAGAGATGAGATGGTGTAGGCAGGCTGTGGGGTTTTATTTTGTTATGCTCCAAAAGTTTAAGACGTAGTGCCTAGAGGATCTCTTTGGTCTCACTAGACTGGTCTAATTATTAACAATACCCTGGACACTCCATTTGTCCAGAGGTGATCTCTGAGCCTCTGTTTAAACCATTCCATTCCCACTGCCTCTTTGAAATTATCCCTGACCCCAAATCATACCTTAGCCCCTCAAAAGTCATAACATTATCTCTGCTGCCTAGTTGTTAGTGGGTCATAAACAGCCTTGGGATATCTTTAATAATTAAGCTGCTATCTAATTCTTGAATTGTTAGCTACCTTTTGAAGTATTTTATCTTTCCATCAAGACTTAAGTATCCTGAGAGCAGGGACCAAGTTTTATATCTATACATTTTACTACAGAAAGAAGAAAGTACCCATGGTATAGAAGCTAGTTTCAAGGGTTCTTTACTGAGTACCTATGCTCTGATCTAAGGGTCGGGAACAAACAGAAATGGACACAAAGTCTGTTTGAACACCAGCCCAGAGCGGTTCTGCAGGTTCCCCAGACCTTTGTCCATGAAGCCTGAGGTGGTATCTGCTACAACTGTAAGCAAACAAGCTGACAGTGGTTTCTGATAGTGGCCCTGCAGGATTCCTGATAATGCAGCAAACAAGCAGGATTGGAAGTATTGGAGGACACCTGGTTTCTAGATTTTGCCACTGGTCCTGCCTCTTCATCTGGTTCTTGGACTTTCTTAAGTCACCATCTGGCTACCTTAAATCACAGCCAGGAGGATTCCAAAATTTTTGTGGCTGAACATCCTACCTTCCCTGTACCATGCCAGTTCCAGCCTGGACTGGGGCCCCATTTGGGACATTCCTGTGTCTTTTGGCTTTGACTTGGTATGTGCTGTCTCTATATTGCCTGGTCTGGTTCCGGTTTGGGTCTAGGCCCCCACTCCTTTTCCATAAGCCATGATTTCTGGTGCCCAACGGGGTAGTCACTGGCCTTTCTGATTCTTGTTCTGTAATGTTTTTAATTGATTTCTGTGAACAATTCTATCCATGACACAGGGCATGGAAAGAATCTGAAATCCCACATAAAAGGAGGCACTGATCTTGGCTAGAATGAGATGCTAACCTGTCTTATGTGTCTAAAGTACTGTAATAGTTATAATATTATGTGGACCTTGCGCCTTGTGGTTTTCACTGTGTTTGACACTATGGACATGATGGACTTATTCAATCTTCAAACAATGATCTGTTTGATCAAATAACTGGACAACACAGGGTGAGGGTGGGTGACAAAGTGGTGACCCAAGAAGAAAAAAAATCAATCCAACCAGTGAAGGGTTAAGTGATGGCTGGTCCAGGGTATTTACTGCTTATGAGTTCACTGAATCTATCAATGTTAAGAAATGTTCTCCTTCTGCGACCACAGACTATGACTACTGAAGTCTCGAAATTTCAAAATATCTGCAGGAGAAAAATAAGTCAAAAGCAAAACAGCTTGCTACAAAAAGTAAAGATCATTCCTTGGCTTAAAACAATGACTGTACTCATTTGGAATTCAGATCAATTACCCTGACAACTTAGATTTTCACATTACTGTAAGAATAAGGAAAAATAGGTCTCTCTGAGTGGTTTTACATTAGAATTTGTTAAGGAGAGAAGAATCATTAAAGTCTTCTCTGAGAAAATAAAGTAACAAAAATGTGTTCTGGATATTCTGGTACATTTTCAATATTTGATTGAGTTGTTATTCTTCCTTGTTCCCTGTAATCACACAGCCAAGGCTACTGAATCAACCCCACTGCTGAGTAACACTGCGAGATCCTCTCTAAGCTCATTTTAAAACCGCATTCCTCTGAATCTTCAAAACCAAATTCTTCTGGAACTGGAACTGAGGTTAAATTTAGGTCAACATGGTTTTCATAAAAGTAAAAACCTTTAAAGTTTGCATTAAAAATTCGTGTGTCCAACTGAACAGCCTTGGTTGGGTGATGATAATAAATATTACCAAAAGTTAAGTTCCCCTCTCCAGGCTTTCTAACAAGGAAGTTCTGAAGTTTCATCCCTACCATATTGAAAGATTTCATCTCAACTTGGCAACACAAGCAGGACTGAGTGTGATACTCAGTCATCAATTTGTTCCATTCTGTCATCAGTAGCAACAAGTGCATGTAGCCACATGTCAGGTTAGTTCCTGCTCACATCAATTTGTCCCCATCCAGGTTCCTGGGATTCAGTCTATGGTCATAGATCCACTCTGTTTTACTCTTACTCCTGTGTTCTTTTATGTAACTGTGCTGAAAACACCAGATACTATTGTTTTATTTTAACTCAAAACGGCTCCTCTCTTTCTCTAACTATAAAATATTTTCGGCTGAACTAACCTGCAAACATCCTAGTAAGTCAGTGTAAGTGTAACACAAATAACACTGCCACAATGCACTGGACTGTCTGACAGAACATTCTGTTCCTCATTCTGTCTAGAGGAGAAGACACAGCGGGGCCCTATCCGCCCCACTGCTTGCCTCTGCCATCCAGTCAGAAGATTTCACCCCAACACCAACAGAAAGCATGCAATCCATCTGTAAGGTGTGGTGGGAGGAAGGGATTGAAGCAATATAACAAGTAGGTGATAGCACTAACTTTGAAGGCAGACTCCATTTTTAGAATACATGATAGATGGGGAAACTCAGTCTCTCTAAGACTCATCTCAAAAATGAGAACAATAATTGAGTATCATGAGGCTTAAAAGAAACAATGGACATAATGTTCTTCGCACAGTATCTTGCTCATGGTAAGTGACGAATAAATGTTTCTAGTGTGCAGCATGTAGTGAACACTCAATAAATATCGATTGAATGAATGGGTGAGTGACCAAATGAATGAATGGACAATCAACCAGATAAAACCTGTTTTATGTTCCTAATATAGATTCCTCTCCTCTAGACTTAAATTTCTGCTTAAGAAATGGAATAGATTGTACATTGCGGGCTTAGTAATGTTGGAAAAGGGTAGATTTGCTCCCAGGGTCTCCTAGGAGAAAGAGTGAAGACTTGGGCCAATTCCACACTCCCCTGCTGGCAGAATTCCCATACCAGTCCACAGGAGCCAGGTGGAGGGTTGTCTGAACCCTCACCAAGGGATCATTATTGAACAGATGCAATTAAAATAAAAATAAGGTCACAAGCCCTGCTTGCAGTGCCTTGTAAGGCAGCATACAAGTTTTGAGCTACCCTTAACCTCATCCACACCTAGAGTCGTTATGGCATCCTCTTGGTCTGCCTTACACACACCTGGGTTACTTGATTAAAGGACTGAACTCCTGGGTCTCTGCCTCTTTATACTCCCAAACTTGTTCAGTTCCTTGATCCTCTGATCCTCTAGCTCATGAATAGTTTGTTGCTTTTTGTGATACCTGGGTGAGGAAACTGAAGCATGGAGTGAGGGAGGGCTCCCTGGACCTCAAGATGAAAACCTCAAGGCCTTTTCCCAAGCATCTTTCCTCTCCCAACTTCATCCTTCCACAACTAAGAAGGATGATCAGAAAGAGAATGGCAGGCTAACATCTTCAATGGATCTATGACTGGTGATGGAATAAGACAGGCCCAAAAACTTGGCTTAACCAGAAAACTGCACCAGAAATACTGACTTAAATTGAAGGCACCTGGTATTTAATGAACTCTTGTAGAATTCCAGATTTCTTCTGTGGAAGGCTTCCTTAAACCATTTTACAGAGGACTTTTTGAGACAAAGAAGATAGTTTTTCACTCACCTTTTTTCTTCCTACTACTGTTCAGCTTTGGGGACATATTTTAGTTCACTTTTAATATTCTGGATTTCCGATAGATTGACTGCAGGTCCTGGAAGTTTCTTCGCTCCTGGAATTGGCTTCTTCTCCTCATCCGAGGTGGGAGGAACACCCTGAAGAGCAAGGAGAAGAAATCCAACTCACCAAAAATCACATTTGATCTCTTTGGGCCATAAGCATGAACCAGAAAAAAAAATTAAAGTAACAATGATGTCAAAGTGTGATTCTAGCAGAGTGACTGTCCCTTGTGTTGTTGAGACAGCCTTAGAGTTTCAATAAAATCTCCTAAAGTTTGTTGTGAAGTGTGGAATAAAGTTGGAAGAAGAAAACAAGTAATTTCCACATAACTTAGAAAACACTAGAGTATGTTCAACTTCTGATAACTAACAAAAATTACTACTAGTTCAAAGGATTTGTGTTTCCAAGAGAAGCATCTTACAAGATTGACTTTAATTTGTAATCATACAATTATAATATGCCTGACAGCAAAGATTTGTACAATGTTAGAGCATGGGATGCATAAATAAACTGAAACAAACGTAAGCAAAACCTGTTTGAATATGGGCACGACAAGACAGAGTGGCAGAGGAAGCCCAGCTCTCTCCTGCTTTGGGAAGTATTTTAAATTTCCTATCATTGAATGTTATATTTTTGTTGCAACTTTAGGGCAGGACCCACATCCTATCCTTTCTTGTGGCATTTCCAGTGTCTGTCACAGAGGTGCACGCGCATACTTGTTGACTGTTGTTTATTTGGATCAATCCCAAGAATGTGCCATAATGAAAATCTATGCCTCTATGTACATACACCAAACACACATACAATGGTAACTATAAAACAACATCAGTTGCTGTGTGTGGCTCCGAGAACTTCAGAAACTCATTTATACAGAAAAAAAAAAAGTTGATTATTAGCCCATTCCTTCTATTTGCTAGAGGTGGTGTGTAGGGGAGGATATGTTCTCTGTGGCCCCAGGGAAAGGTGTTGGAGGAACATTTGATCACCGTGGCAGCCTTGAGAACGCGCCTCTCGGATCAGTTTACTGCAGAGAGGATAATTGAATGAGGGCTCCAGCTGCTTCACATTGAAATCCAGCCATCCATCACCACGCTGAGGTCACACTTCCCACGGCTGCTTGTAGCCAATGACTGAGTGCGACAGGAATTCTAAGGCGGGCCCATTCCTGGGAGACTTGGGACTCCTCTGCGGAGCGACTTCACCTGGAGAACTTGCCTCAGTACGGCACTGAAGTCTGAGATGCTTCCACCCAACCCTCTATCCCTCTCTCCCTCCCAGCCTCGGGCAACTCCCTCCCATTTTTCCTTACAAGTGTTTTCCCCAGCAAGTATCTTTGGGTCAGTTTCCTGAAGGACCCAAACTAACACAGACTGGCGCAGATCTCCATCTGCTTGGCCAACAACTGGGTGAACCAATACAGTTCCCGGGAAAAGAAATAAGTAACTGCATGTTTGCCTCTCACCAGAGAGGGTGGGCCCTATGCCCTATGCCCCGCCTCCACCCCACCCTTACCCTCAACCCCCACCAGCAGCCCTGTCATTTGGGTATTAAAGCTGATGGTGTGTGTTAATCCCTGTCTGGATCCTATGTCTAGTTCTCAAATTGGTTAGAACCTAAAGGAAGAAAGTATTCAAGCTTCCCCAAACTCTAACAAATTACTTAGTAGTCACGTCCTTTATAGAAATGTTTTTAAATTGTTTATCGGAGGGGATGAGTAGACATAAAATATTGAGGTGCTGTTCTTCTACTAAGGGCTAATGGCTTTTCCTACAGTCATTTTCTTTAAATCTGGTACAGTGCTGATGAAATAGCTAACGTTTCACCCAAACAAAATGATAAAGTATTTCAATGTGGACTATACCTGCTGTAAATATCTGGAAAATACTGTTTCCCTGGGTCAGTGTACAGAGCCCTAGAATCAGCTGTTTTTTGTCATGCACACACATTTATCAGTTATAAATGTAGATTTAGAAGCAATAATTAAAACTGTAAAGCATCCACTTGGAGGACTAGATATTCCAAAATGTTCTTTGCTATGCTTTCAGAAAGAATTTTTTAACAAGGCTATAAAGTGCTGTGTGTGTGTGTATGTGTTTTATATATGTGTAGTGGTGAAATGAAAAATGTTTCCTCACTTATAAATGTTTCCACGGCTGTTAGGTGGGTAGACCTTAATAAAGAAGCATGAAAGAGAAAAATGTTTCCAATTCCTTCTGTTAAGTTCCTGGATAAGTCACATTTACTGACTTTGTAACATCAAAATGTTCTATATTGGCACATTTAACACATTAAAGCCAATGTCTGTACTTACATGTTTATATGCAAAAATTTTTGCAGTGAGCATTTGCAGATTAATAACAATATTTAATAGGCACCTTCCTCTCTACTTATTAAAACTTCAATGCATTGTGTTTTTTTATTTATCAACATAAGACTTTCACCACTTGATTTGGTAAAGTCACATATAATGGGAAATTATAATTCAATATATTTAGTAATTAGACATGATATTGACTCAGGAAGAAGGGGGTTAATGGTGCATTTTCTTAAATGAAACTTCTCTCATCTTTTAAAAACATAACAGGAATCAGATTCCATTTATATTATGAATTTGTAATTGTAAGAATTATAGTAAGTTAAGACATAAACAAACAGGGTTCCAGATGGCCCCATTTGGCTAATAAATATGTCCTTTTTTAATTTTGTAAGTGGATATTTGAATGAAGAAGGGACATGAAAGACATTCTTTGGCTTAGATAAAGAGAGTGTAAAAGAAGGCTTATCAGCCACAGCAGCATTCTCAGTTTCAGGAATGGCTGTTGTGAAGGGAAATGTTTCCCTTGGGGGTCACAGGGTATTTGTAAAACTTGGCAAAACAGTGAAACATATTCAAGTGATCTCACTTTCATCTCCCTCATTATTGCCAGATATCCTACTGAGTTTTTCCCTAAACTCTCCTGTGTGGGACAATACAATCTGGCCTGCTCATTCATGCTCAAACACCAAAGACTTAATAATAATGGCACACTGTTAACTGTTCTAAGTTACATGTACTAACTCATTTAATCCTCACCTCAACCATAGAAATCTGGTACTATTATCATCCCTGTCTTACAGTGGAGAAGACTCAGGCACAGAAGGGCTAAGAAACTTGCCCCAAGGCCACACAGCTGGGAAGTGGCTAGACCAGAATTAAATGTTTGCATCTTGTAAAGGAGCCAGGTGGAGAGGGAAATAATTAACAGAAAATCACAACCTGCTATTTTGTGGCTTAATAATGATAGTATTTCAGTCAAAAGAGAGATTTGGGAAGCTTAGTAGAGGCTTGTCAATACCCTTCAAATCAAGCAAGCAGCTGATTGTCTTACGCAAAAGACCAGCCCTGTTTATTAACATTTGGCTGTAAGGCCTCAGTGTTGGGCACATGCCCATCTGTGGCTGGGCCAAGCAGATAGAGGGTGTACTCCAGCTCTGTGAGCAGAGCAAAGGTCTTACCAGAAACCATAGGTGGGCCAAAGACAGGGTCAGTGCTCACAGGCCTTGGCAGACAGCCAAAGACTCATTCTGGCTTCCTGCTGGGGAACATCCTCTTCACATCTGAGAGGGTGTCAGGATCAAAAGTCCTTCTGAGTTTAGATGGGGAACCTCCTGAATGTGATAGAGGTTATCTGTTTTGTTCAAAGATGGTATGTTATGATCTCTAT
The DNA here is from genome assembly GCF_000001405.40 of Homo sapiens. Lineage (NCBI taxonomy): Eukaryota > Metazoa > Chordata > Mammalia > Primates > Hominidae > Homo > Homo sapiens. Next base: position 21,741,307 of record NC_000023.11, read on the forward strand.
ACAGTAATTATCCTCATGCAAGGCTAGGCAACGAACGAATTTTAAGTCTACAAAATTAAGCAATTCCAAGTTTGCAAACTAGATGATAATGATAGTAAATGTGGATGTATATGTTATTTCAAATCCAAATTTTATTTTCCCATTCAAACTATGCCTTAAAATGTGGCTGGGGCCTGAAGCTAATTGACAAAATCCTACTTAACCCACCCTGTGGCCAAGCCAAGCTGTCTAATTACTCCCCTCACAATGTTGTCTTCATAAGAAACTTAATCTGAGGTCCAGGCCAGAGACTGAGTCATTAGATCCCACTCCCTCCCTAAGACTGCACAAATCCTGAGAGTTTATTTCTGCTTTTATGGTAAAGAAATACCATCACTAGCTCCACCCTTCTGCCCAATGAGCTCTATGAGAAAGGTATGGTACAGTTCAAGAAATACTCCATCTGTTGGACAATAAGTTGTTACAAAAAAAAAAGGAAGAAAGACAAAAAACAGAAACATCCCTGGGGTCTTTGTGTCTTTGTGGATACATCACTACCTCCATCCTATGAAAAATACTAGTTGGCCATTTGTATACGTGGCTAATTATAAAGTAGGTGTTCACACACCAAGCTGTATCAGTTCTTGTCTATTTTAGAATGCACTGCAACCAACAGATTAGATACAAGGCAAGAGAGAGCAAAGTGCTTCCCCAGTCCCCTGAGATACTTGTGTGGAGGAAAGTACCAGTTGGACAAAGAAGAACCAGGGGCCATCTGTACCACAGGTGGAAAATGAAATGTGAGCCTCCAAAACAGCTGTTACATCAGTCAATTTAGTGAGAAAAGTGGGTCAAGCTACTTTCTGACTGATTGCCATGGTAGTGACAGACACAGTTTAAGAGGAAGCACAGGAAGCAAAGAAAAATCTAATTACAGATAAATGAAGGTATAGAAGAATTCCACCGCCGTCCCTTTTACCTCCCCATGCCTTTTCCTTACAACATGCAAAAACAATAGGCCCAGGAGTGCTTCATGAAAATTGGATAATTACATCAATTGATGAAAAATAGTTTATGGAATACCTACTAGACTACGCCATGTCCATTATATCATGCCCTCGCAGTGACCCTCTGAGGAATGGAGGTGATCCTATTTTGCAGACACAGACTCTGAAATACTTGGCCCAAGTCCCAGATGGAGACCTCATGATCATGAGTTAACTCGATGGCAAAGTTAACAGCAACAGAACTTGAGATTATGTAACCATAAAAGCAGGGTAGGGCCAGGTTTTTCCAACTTGTATGTTCAAAATTTGTATTCATCAAGAGTGACTTAGTGGCTGCAATTCCAGCACTTGATGATATCACTCAAATACTCCCCATCTCCTCCTTTCAAAAATTATCTTTCTACTGATAGGAGACTGGAACCACTAATTTAGGACGACATCAGGAATATTCACAGGAAAAAAAGGTTACAAGCAGGACAAAGTTGTATTAGGAACCTTTGAAATGGTAATAGATATTCTTTTGGGACAAATACCAAAAATGTCACTTGGTAAACTTAAAAAGCCTTTTTACCCTTTTAAAAAGATGAAATACAGTTTGCTATGCCTTGTGGCTTTATTTGATTCCATTTTCCATGTCTTGTGCTAATAAAATGTTCCAAAACCTTCACTATCTTTTTTGAGAATCAGACCTTCCAGGTTTCAGCAGAAAAGTTACAATTGGGTAAGAAATATAAACATCTGAGGAAGAAACTCTTCCCTATTTATGGCATTCATTATTAATTTTAGCCTCCAATTTAGCAGATCGGGTACTTGAATTTGGGGGAGAAGTAAAGAATTAGAAAGAGGAAAAAATACAGAAATGGAGGCTTGATAGACTCCCTTGCAAAGTCCCCTTTTCAAAGGAAACATTTAGAGATTGAGTTTTTGTTTGTTTGTTGTTTATTTGAATCCCCAAATAATTTAATGTGCTTACTTTCTGCATTCTCACTTATCAGAAGCTGTACTAAGTATTATTACAACCTGCTGAGTTGGATAAAAGATCCCAAGTGAAAACTTACCAATCTAGTGACTACTGCTAGACGAAAAACTTCTCAGAGGCTTTATCCTCCCCACCACACACACGTGCACACACACACACGCATACACACAATCAATCAATCAAACAATCAGTTAATCAGTCAATCAACAGACTGGAAGTTAAACTCAGTACCTTCAAGTAATGGTGCCAGGTACAGTACTTAAATTTGGCTGAAGGGAAGGGAGAAGGCAGTGCGTTTCAGGGCTGACTGAGCAAGACAACTAAAAAAATGTACATACTGTATGTTATTCCTTGACACACAGCCATTTGCCCCCTCCCTTGTCCTGGATAGCCAGCCCTTGCCTAGCCTCTGCCCCCTCTGGTGAGGATTTTAGAAGGGAAAAACATTGCTGTGTTCTGAGAGCTGAGTTTTCCTCACCTCCTCCACTTCAGGAGTACATTCTTTTCTTCTGGGGGGTTGACCTGCTCCTGGCCGAAAGGCTCCCATTGGAATATTGATATTTGCCTAAAAGAGAAAACAGGGTAGGTTTAGCTCAAAAAAAGTAAGAAATTGCAATGACATTCTGAGACAGTAATCGTTGTGAAGAAAAATGCGTCTGAAAAGTACATCTTCAAAGCTTTTTATCTCAGGAAAATTGCTGTAATGACAGCATAAAAATATGCAAAGGAAAATTTGACTTCCATTTATTACAGATTACATTTATTACAGATTTCATTTATTACACATCCTTAGGTCTGTGCAGTGATTTTACAATTTCCTGTTGGATGGCAGAATTTGAAGACAGTTTGTTCTGGCTGTTGCCCTCCTGAGGTGCATATTATTTTTCTCTCTCTGGGATAAGGAGGGAACACATAATGACAGGCAAGGAGGAAAGAGCATCTGCATAAGTCATCCCACACCTTAGCCCTCCTTCCGGTCCCTTCAAATTTACCACATGGGAGGGGAGACATTTACACGCCCTAAGCTACTTCCTCCTTTCCATAATGTCCTGCACTTTATTGCCATAGTCTCTGAAATTGACACTCTTCTACCTTCTTCCCAACATGTACTTGTGTGGGTCAGTAAGGAGTAAAGAGGGTGCTTGGAAAGCCAAGTTCCCTTCGTATCACCACCATTGACTCTTCTCCCTTATGATGATAAAATACTAATCTCCATCAGTGGTAAACATAAAATACCTTCATGACATCCTCTAAACATTAAATTAGGTAAGGATATATTGACACTGTAATTTGAACTTGGAGAGATAATATATAAATTTGAATTTTGCCCATACTTATTTGATGTCAAAAGGTGAATATATGTAATGCAGATCAAAAATGTCCTCAACCAGTATTATCACTCACATAAAACAACCATCAAATACTATTTTAAAGTAGAATACAATATTTTTCCATTGAAGATAAAGTGTTGCCTTATGAGTAATTGGATATGTGGGCTTGAAAAGTTGAAATTTCGTTTTGATGTTATGCATGTAAATGATGCCTGAACAAAGGGAGCAAAATATTTTTTTATCTTATGACATGGATTGTATGATTTTGGCACCACACCAAAGGAAGTTATTAGGAAGTGTGGTAAGTCCCATTTGGAACTGCCTTGTACAAGCTCTGTTGCCAGGGGAATGCTTAACCCTATGAAACAGGAAGCATCCAGTGTCCATGTTCATGCAACATGGCAGGTCTGTGTTGTACTCCCTTCAGGAGCAGGAGGTGACTTTTCCTACCCAGGGGCTTTAAAACACCCCATCCTTACTAGAATAATGCTGATACCACAGAAAGAAATAGATCCAAAGTATTTGTGGGAAGTAACCGGAGAGGTACATCATTGTGGAGCCATTCCTAGTACCAACAAGCCAAGGAGTATTTTTAATCAGTATGTACCGCATATGTTAAAATATAAATCCAGCACAACTTTAGAGAAAAGCATTTTAAAAACCTAAGGCTGAGCTTTCTATGCTATTTTTATGTGTAATGGAAATACCAGGTGGCATCGAGTGGGAGGAGGAGGGGGCATAAGAGAGGAGAAAGATTTGTCTTATATGGTGGCAAATATGGAGCCATACTTCATGAATTCCAAGATGCATCTCTTTTAATATCTCTGGTCAGAGTGTGTCTTACAACCAATAGTGTCCTACAATTTTAGTTGGCACATTTGCTTTATTTTGGCAGGATGTAAAATAATGGTATTTTACAATTGACAGTGTCTTAGATTGGATGAAATATCATAGGGGCCTGAATAAAGAAGATCAAGACAGTGTAAATAATACTCACAGAAGATAATCCATATTGGACCAATAGACTATTTCCATCACTACAGTTTGGATAAAAGAGGGGAAAAATCAATATACGGACTATTTGGGAAAAAGTTAACCAGTTAAAAGTTTAGTTAAATTGTCCCTACCCCAACCCATTTATTAAGCATCTACAGGGGGCATCTTCCTAACGGTGAGCTCAAGTTATCATATTGTTTCTGAAAGACTTGATTGCTAAATTAACTCATTTAATCAAGTATATATGCTCTATGGTAGATTGTAGTTTTTAGTAAGGGGACATGCAAAGGTCATCCAGAATAATATAATATTGTGAAGGGCATGTTACAAGATGACTACTTTTCCTGTTCGGAGATTAATTTTAGTGATGCGCCCCCATGTGGCCTCTCCATGTTTCACGGGTGGCTTAACAATAGTGAAAAGAGCCTAATGCTAGCAGTTGCTACAAGTTCTCTGTGCTTGAAAAAGTAACAATTGCTCTGGGTCTCATTGTCCCCATTTGTAATATGAATATTAGGCTGTGTCAATGGTTTTCAAACCTCTTAACCAGGGAACTCTTCCTTCCTTCAAATGAAGTACTGTAAGAATATCTACAATGCAAAGCAGGCAGAGGTGGAGGGTTTAAATACCTGCATCCTCACAACAAACTTTTGAGGTTAGTATTATCATCTTCATTTTACTGATGAAGAAATGAATCCTCAGAGAGGTTAATTCTCTCAAGGTCATACATATAGTTCCAGGAAAAGGCAAGATTCCAAATTGAAGCTGCCTGACTTCAGGGACAGACCTTCTCACTCTCTCAAACCCGTCTCTAAAGAGCTCTTTTCACGTGGCCAAAAATAGCTCTAACCAGCTCTAAAATTCTCTAAAGCAGCTCTGATATTGGAGACTTACACTTTGAGAGTGGTCTTTGAAAACGAGCAGATAAAATGGATAATTTCATAATAGATACCAAAGAAAAGCCACATTGAAAAATGAGCCATTAACTCACTGACTTGACACTTTTTCTTCTTTAAAAGCATCACTCAAGAAATCAGAAAAACTTAAATGGGTTTTTTTTTTTTTTTTTTTGACAGCAGATATTGACAGGAACCAAAGCAGCCTGAAAATATGTCGAACATTCGATCATAATGTGCACCAATAAGGGAGTATAAGAGGCGTGCTTTGTCAGTTGTGGCATGCATTATACTATTAACAAGACGATTAGAGATGTTTCATTAGCATAATTGTAGGACAGTAATCTTTGAGTGACAAGTCATAGGCTAAATTATAGCCATAAGAAAAATTCCTTATAATTTGAATTTGATAAAAATATGTAGACCTGTACCTCTTGGTTTTTATTCCATTGGCCAGAAAATTGGGTCATATTTTGTCTCTTTCGCTGACTTACTCTGTGTTTAAACACAAATGAAATACTTTCTCAGCGACTAATTTTTCTACCTACAAATTGAGTGTATTTGCTACACAAAATAGGCTTAAAATACAAGCTAAACTTTTATGAAATAATAAACAAACAGAAAATGTTTAACACCAATGACCTAGAGTTGATATTAGGATAGGCTTCCTTCTCTCTATAGATTCTATATAAATGCAAAGGAAGCAGTCTCTTTTTTTTCCTTTTGTAATGCAATCCTTTGTATTTCTTTTCCCTCCCTGAGGTTTATTCATTTTAGAGATTTAAAAATATGTCCCTGATGCAGCAGACCTGGTGCATCACTTTCCTAAGCTATATATAATTTGTTACATCCTCCAAGTTGGGAATGGAAAAAAAATCTACTAGATCATCTTTTGCCGGAATAGGATACAGTTCCCTGATAGAAGACCTATCTGATGTGAAATTAATACTACACTTGATCTCACTAGGTGAAGAAAAGTAGAAAGAATTCCCTGTAAATTAATTCCACTGCTCCCTTAATTATTTGTATTGTTCTCTTTGCTTGGCTCCGGGCTTTGAGCCCAGAGGATTCTGGAAACAATATTTCCTCCACACCCCTTTCTGTGTGGCTTACAATGGAATGACATCTTCTTTCCCCAGTGGGTTGGATTCTGAGAGCTGCCAGCCGGCTGGGTACTGACAATTCCTATTGAACTTTGCTTTCCACAGCCATTGTTCTCTTATCTCCCCCTCCCTTTTCGTCCGCACTCTGTCTCTCCTTTTCTGAACCCACTGTGAGTTTTCTGAAGTTCAGAGGCTTCTGGAGTTTCCTCCCATTGCATTATTTGTTTCAGATGACCCCCTACTGATTCAATCTTTACTTTTCAAAGGACCCCAGCAGCTCCTGCCAGAATCTATAGCCTCCCCCATGCCATTCTTCTGTAGCACGGGCAGAGGAAATTCTACAGGGTTGCATTTTGCATTATTTCTTTCTGCTCTTTCCTATTCTCATAGTCTTAGTCATTCTCTGAACGGAGCAAGATATGACATTTTGAGATTTATAGCATCTTTACAGAAGACTTCAGAAAGAGGTTTGTTTTTTCATAACGGATTAGAAAATGAGATTCTTGTTTGATATATTAACGTAAAATGAGAGACACACACATATCTACCTACTACAATATAGTCAACTTATTTTAAAATAAAATTCTATATCACTGGAATGCATAACTGCTTAGGGGTTGTTGAAATATGGAGTGGATTCAAAACACGGAAAACTTTCCCACACAACACAATTTTGAGAAACTTCTACTTTGCCACTGTTCTTCACCCATGATGTTTCATATTGAAAATGTTTTTATTTTTGCTCTGTTCTCAACACTTTTTTGTTCCCTTCAATAATTTCCTGAATGACTCAATTGTAATCTCATCATCCAGGGAAAAGCAGATTTCAAGAATGTACTGTACGGCTATTAAGATAATGTGCACAATCAGTCGGGGGCAGGTTGTATTCCTGAAGTGCTTTTGGATGTCAACATAAAAAAAATGACATCTTTTTGCAAGTATGTGTCTGCTTTGCCTCGTGTCACAAATATAGAGCTAGGCAGAGCCGCAATGATCATTAGCTGGAGGTAATACTGAACCCACTTGAGAGTAAGACTCCTACATTCCAGTTCTTAATACACTTAAAAGAAACCAGCATTGGAAATCATAAACAATGTATTATAGTGGTTTATGTAAGAAACAGTAGATCCATGATCAACGAAAAGGCCTTGCATCTACATTAAAACAAATGGCAAATGAAAGTTAATTTTTAATGTTTTAAATTTAAATAAAATGTTGAAGGAAGGCATGTGTGATCATTATGATTTTTAGCTTTAATCAATCTATCAGATTAACAATGGATGGTGATAGTCTATTCCTCTATACCAATGATTGTCATATATTTGGAATCATTTTTAAACTGGAAATCCTACACAGGAAATACTTAAGAGTCTCTAATGCCTATCTGTAAATATTTTCATCTTCCGTGGAGACTGCTTTCTTCTTCCACATTGTGCCCTAGATAATGGAGAGTGGAAGAACAATGACAACTAGTGGGGAAGGGAAAGAAGTACTGAAACATGGAGCATCAGAATATTCTCTTCTACACATAGATTGGGTAGCAATGGAAAACTTCCCATGCTAAGAAGCCACATACTCACTAATGATGCAGGATTCATATAATTTTTTTCAAATGTATGATAAGTTAGATTTAGTTTTACAAACGGCTTAAGTTGATCTAGCCATGGTTGTTTGAATTTCAAGACCATGTTTATCATTGAGTCTCTTTACTTTGTACTTTTAACTCGAAGCCAACTTACTCTTAAGGTGACTTTAATCAGTGTAGACTATCAGCTTCTTCACTGAAATGCTGACACTGTTTCTAAAGGTTGAGTTCTTTAAAAGGGAGGCACGCAGCATCCATAAAACGGTAATTGCCTCTCAAGTAGCCTTGGTGCTTATGATTATCCTTGAGATGGTCCACACCCACTCCTCCAGCCTTACTCTCTGTGCCAATGGTGGGAACAGTAAGTAAAGACAGCATTGCAGAGTGCTTCCAAACATGGGCTTGGGGATCAGACTGAATAATTGATTTTAGGGCTTGACTATCCTACTTACAAATTGTATAATCCTGGGGGAGTTACTTCACTTTTCCAAACCTAACATTAGGATCCATGGAAATCCCACTGCACTGGGCCAGGTATATGGTAAACCTTGAATAAACTGAAACTATTATTGTCATCCTGATAATAAACCTTACAAGATATTCTCAAGAAGTTCACAGACTTACAAGCTGGACAGAGACTTAGAAGTCATTTAACTGAAGCCCCTCCCTTTGAAGATCACAAGGACCAGGGGGGTGAATTTACGTCGTAGAGCTAAGACTGGGGCACAGGACTCTTTTTTGGTCAGCCATGAAGTTCTCAGATCTCATGGGAGAGGACAAATAATACTCAGCTTACTTTCATTAACGGTGGAGAGAAAGGATCAGTGACAATCCAGAGAAGATTGGCTCTGTGTGAATTGGGGCCCTAAGGAGGCCTGTGGTGGTTCCCAAAGTGGGTGTGTTCAGGAGAAAGAAGGACAGGCAGATGCTGCCAGTGGCTGGTGTCACTTGGTCTCATTAGAGAGAGTCACCAAACAGATCATTGATGGGATTAGATTCCCAGCAGTTCTAGCTTTCCCCACCACCTGTCATGTCAAATTCTTTCATTTGAGGGAGAGGATCCAATATGCAGAGAGTGCTGATGTTACCTTCATTGCAGCTCAATTCCCACCAACAGTGGGGTTGTAAGAAGCAGCCTGGAGAGACCAGAACCGGAGTTGGCAATCTATAGTCCGCGGGCCAAATCCAGTCCACCACCTGATTTTGTAAATAAAGTTTCATTGGGACATAGCCACATTCATTCATTTATGTACTGCCTATGGCTGCTTTTGTGGTACAACAGCAGAGCTGAGTAGTGGGAACAGACCAAACGACACGCAAAGCCTAAAATATTTATTATCTGGTCCTTTATAGAAAAGGTTTGCCAACCTCTGGCATAGAACTTTATCAGCTGCTTAGGGGACAAAGGCCCTCCCCGGGCTAAGAAAGAATCAACTGATTCTTTCAGGATGTTTTTATGCCCCTGGCAGAGATTTAACTAATACAACTAAAGAGAAGTGTAGGATTAGAATCCCTTTACAATTCAAAAGCCATCTCTTCTTCAGTGTGGATGTGAAAGACTACTGTCTACCTCCTTTAAGGGTGGTTCTAGTTCTGGCCTCCCTCTTACTCTGGTGCACAGAGGAGATGGAACCAGTTGAAGACAAAGCCAAGGCCATTCCATGCATTACTTGGATACTTAGAAGGCCCATCTCTTAAGGAATTTGTATACTATAGATTATTTTGTCTATTCATTATAACAACCCAATTAAATAGTATGATTGTCCCCATTTTACAGAAAGGTGGACTAAAGGTGAACTAACATTGCAGAGATTTGTAACTATTTGACTCCATGTTGTCTGGAGGTGCATTAACTCGACTCCTGAAATGCCTGACTGTTAGAGCTATGGTCAAAAGTAACTTAAATTCACCCAAGCCAGACAAACTAGAAATCTAAGTCACTGTTTCTAGAAGTTCGCACTGCAAAACACTATCTTGTAAGACAGTAACTGAATAGGTCCAATATGTTTAGAAAACATTGCATATGTTTCTGCCCTCTTGGAAATAACTTGATGCCATTAGCAAGTTGTGGACTCTGAGAAAAATTTTCAAACATTAAACTATATTAGCCTCTAATCTAATTAACAACATCCCATAAAACTAGTATTCCAAGGAACACACTTTGGAAGCTGTTGAAGTAGATGATGATGGTGGTGAATGATGATAATAGCTAATATTTATTAAGCAATTACAGTGAGCCAGGCACTGAGCTGAGTATTGTCACGCATTAAATTCATTTAACCTTCATAGTAATCCTATGAGATAAAGACTGTTACTAATTCTTCTCTTGATAGATGAGGAAACTGAGGCACAAAGAGGCTAAATAACTTTCTCAAAGTCATGCAGCTAGCAAGTACTGGAGACCTTGAGTGCCTCAAACACAGGGATCAGGGATCAATTCATCTCAGGGATCAGGGATCAATTCATCTTTGTATATACCCTACACTTAGCACAGTGCCTGGCACATATTATGCACTCAGGAAATAACAAATGAACTGAATTGGAGATAAAATCCTAATAAAAATAAGTGACTAGAGGGTATGGAGTAGAACATTTCAGAGCTTTAAATGGTATTTACACAATGAGGAGAGTCCCTTATTAATCAGGGCTTCTATTTGTTCCAGACAAGACTAACCTAGATAATGTCCCTACTATAAACCATTGTGTACGGTGTAACCACGTTCATATTTTATTTCATGTACCCTACTTAAGGTTAATGCAAAGATAATACGAAAATATCGGATAGTGCTGATCCTATTTACCCACAAGAAATAATATTTCATTTGAAGGTGCATTAAATTGGGCCTTTTGTGTGGCATAAAATAGATCGAAAGAGGCAATACCACATCCATAAGGAACCGCTGTATTGCCTTTGTCGGCAGAATGGATGGATTTTTTGTAATGCGGTATAATAACGGCTACTGAGAACAGTCAGTAGCAGCTTTTAAAATATTACAAATCTAAAAATATATCAAGGTCAAAATTAGTAAATAAAATACTAGTGAATTTTCAGTGTAGATTTGAGGGAGGCCAGGGACCATTAAGGAAGAAAAACCAACACACTTTCAGTTTTAAAAGGAAGAGGGAAAAAAGACAACCCGAGAGAAGACTGTTTTTGCATCCTGCAAAAATAAAAGAATTTTTATGTTTAGCACTTCTGGAGGTTCAAATGCAGTGATTAAATGATATTACTTCTCACAACTTTAACATAAAGTATTCCTGAATGATAATAATTCTAATAATGGTTGACACTCAATGCGTGCTTGCTATGCTGTTTTTTTGTTTGTTTGTTTGTTTTTTGGTTTTTTTTAAGACAGAGTCTCACTCACTCTGTTGTCCAGGCTGGAGTGCAGTGACGCAATCTTGGCTCACAGCAACCTCCGCCTCCCAGGTTCAAGCGATTCTCCTGCCTCAGCCTCCTGAGTAGCTGGGACTACAGGTGTGTGCCACAATGCCTGGCTAATTTTTTATATTTTTAGTAGAGACAGGGTTTCACCGTGTTAGCCAGGATGGTCTCGATCTCCCAACCTCGTGATCTGCCCATCTCAGCCTCCCAAAGTGCTGGGATTACAGGCATGAACCACCGCGCCCGGCCTACTATGCTGTTTTAAGCATTTTATACATGTAGCCCTAGGAAGTGAATACTATTATTTTATCTCCATTTTACAGATGTGGAAATGGAGGCACAGAGAGGTCAAGTAGGGAGAGTAATTTTCCCATGATCCTACACCAGTACAGGATGGATTAAGGACCCTAGTAATATAGTTTCAGAGCCCATGCTACTAACTGCTTCTACACTGGGTAAAAGAGAAGATTCAAAGGCTCAAGGATGTCCACAGGTCTGGAAGACAAAATATAATTCTGCTAACACTGTCAGGGAAATCAGAGGCTCACTAGGTAGACACCAGAAGGCTGGATGTGACAATGCAGAGTGGAATCCTTGCCAAATTCATAGGCCCTTCCTTGGTGGTTTGTTCAATGACATGTTTCCAGAGGTTGCTCTACATCCTGCCACTTAAGAACCCCTTCAGTTTAAGGATCTGTATTAGTCGTGACAGGTAAAGATCTGTCCCTCCACCTACCTCCACCAGCGGTGTGTGCTAGGATTTCTAAACCCCTTGATGATGTGTTTGCAACCTGGCCACAAGCACACCCCTCCACAACACAGTCAACCATTTATGATTGTGTTTCTGTTGTGATGGTGCATCAGGCCTAAAATATTCAGGAACTGCCACATGACCTGCAGTATTCAGAAAAGTCCAAGAAAAAAGTCCCTTTGGAGAAAGCACAGACAGCCTCCATGTTGATGGAAAGATGGAATTTTACAATAAAGCACTGTGCCCAGAGTTTCAGGGTGGAAGCCATTTGAGAGTCAAATACAGGGCCCTTAAGAGAAATAACAAATTAAATATTGAGTAAAAACAAATACTGCAAGTTATTTTCATAATTGTATTTTTGTTTCCAAATGCCTGCTTCCTCCTTCCCTTTTTGTGGGTGACACTTAAGTCAGTTTAAACAACCAAGGAATTTGTTTGCTGGGAGGGCACATGGACAACTAATAACATATGAATTTTCAAAGATGAATACCCAAGCCCTGGGAAGAACACTTAACTACAAAAGGATATTATTTAAAGAAAGATGTATTTCAAACACGTGAGTCAACAAACTGTGATTCATCTGTTTGTGCACATATCAATTGGAAATTAAAAATAAAATTGAATATATCCTCTATCAATGAACACATCCAAAACATATCAAAAAACATACACACTAAATTTTTTAGAAGATAATTTAATTCTCACTTATAAACTGATTGTCTTATAATTCAGAACAATTAAACAAAAATAGCTTGCTTCTCCTGTCTCAGTTGTACCTAACTGGTTTTATATCCTTTCTCAATTGTACCTTACAAATCTTATGAAGAACTTAATTTTCTTCTTGAAGTTCACCATCAGCTAGGAGTGAACAATCGCCAGAAATATGACTTATTAAGCAACCAGGCAAGAAGTTGCAGGGCTACTTACCTGGATGGCTCTAACATTGGAAACTGGCTGTTTCGACATATTCATGCAGTCTTATCCCTAAAAAAACAAGTAAGAAACTGTTAGAGGTGGCAGCATTCAGATCCTCAGTCTTGATAAATTAGAATTTAACTCATGATTCAACTGGGCAGTCACCCCTTTCACTGGCCATATATTCTTTCAGTCTCAGTTTCCAAAGTTACGAAGACACTCTCCTTCCTAATGCCTCGGGTGAGGGAACACTAGAGCACCAGGATAAATCATTCAGGAGGAGAAATGGTGAGACGCCTCGCCCCTGATGCTAATGATATACAATCAGAAACTTGAAAGGTGCTATCATCTCCTTTCCTGCCCTCCTGACCTTCTGCCAAGAGCAGCAAAGCAAAGAGGTTGTGGGAATAAAACACCTTTGTTCCGGGCCTCTGAAGTTCTTGGCTTGAAACTGAACTTTTGATCTGAATTCATAATTGCCAGGGTTGCTATAGTCCATTGGGAGTGCCTCCTCTTTGTTGAACACCCAAAAAGAAATGGCCTGTACCACTTCCTTAACGGCTGCGATGCTCTCTACTTGCTGTGCAGTGTCTGTTCTGCCCAGCAACCTGGGAGATGCTCTGAGGACGTAGGTCCCATCTCCTGCTCTGTGTGCCCCTACCCAATGCTTTTGATAAGTTGCCTCATACAGAGCCCAGGCTCTGTAAACACGGGCAGACAGCAAGTCTCGCCTGTATACTTTTCTTTCAAGGAGGCAAGGAAGATTTACACATGACCATAACAAATCCTCGAGATGTAGAAGTGCTTCCTTCCCAAAAGACTTTTGCTTTCTTTAAGCATGTGAGACCTGACTTAGAACACAGTGACTAGAGCACATTAGGGGATGCGGGATGCAATTTACTGGGGATAGGGGAGAAGAGAATGGTCTAGCTCTGGCCTGTTTTTGTAGCTAGGCCTATTAAATGTCAGCAGGACCAATTGAAAAATTAAAAATTCATTGAATTCAAAACATGCTGTGTTTTAAACCCAAACTGTACAACAGGTTGATTGAGGTCTATTGACTGGTGTAAGTGGTGTGTCCACTGGTGAGTAAAAGAATGCAAAAAGCAGTGTTGGCATTTGCCACACATCTTGTGTAACCTGGGCAATGTCACTCAATATTTCTAAGCCCATTTCCTCTTCTTTAAATTTTACCTGCTTCACAGGTTGTGGTAAGAATCCATATTACATACATGCTCCTGAAAAGGCCTTGTGAACTGTAAAGCATGATGCAAATATTCATTGTTTACTACCATCGTCCATAGCTAATGACCTTGGAGTGCTGTACTCATCTCCAGCTTTAAGTTCAGAGTAATAATTTATATAGGTATGTTCCCCAACACCTGTAGAGATAAAAGATCTGAAAAGAACTCTGTGAAAAATAAGTCTTTTGAAATCTCTAAAGTCTTAGGCTCTATTATGTGAAGTTAAACAATTCCATATTTTTTAAAAACCTCTATACTCAGGGTATCCAAATATATAGTTTTTGGAGCCACATACATGAAAACAATAGGACTCTTTTTAAAGAGTTTCACTTGAATGTCTTTGTAACATATAGATTTAGCCTCCATGCATAAGGGTCTAGGTAGAATTATTTTTAATACGGTTACAAAATTAAAAAGCAATAACAAATGGAACAGTCAAGGATACATTTTTCTCTGTGATATGTTTCAAATAGATTGCTGTCTTTCCTGCAGTGTCATAAAGAAATGAAGGATTTTTAATTTGTGGATCTAGGACATACAGCTTAATTCCAAAAAGAAAAGCTTCGTGGCTTAATTTTTAACGTTTTTATTCTTCAAAAGCTGTTAGAAGTCATACAAAGCAATAATTTTCACAGAACTTTAAATATCTCAGCATATGGTATTCTCTGTGTGTGTACAACTAAAGTTTAATATCACTTGGGAACTTGTTAAAAAAATTATTGTACATCAATTTGAAACAGGGATTAGAAAATTTCTTTATGTTATGACAATAGCAAGTTGAAATGTTTTTTAAAATTAGTCAATGAATGATTGTTATACTGTATTTTTTTAAAAACCAATTTTATATTTTCAATGGACTGATTTAACTTACTACTGGATTGCTGTTTTTGTGTGAACCTCTGAGCCTCAAGAATGGATGGGCCTCGTCTCCTGTATTTTTGGTAGATTCTGATTTGCATACAAATCTCTTAACATGCATGTCAATCTTTGAAAGAGAGATCTATAGAAAGCTGGTCAGATCCCAACTCTCATTCCTCACAAACAGGCTGGATAACATTTGTGTAAATCAGTTCAGCAGCGGTTCCTGCTGTCCTCATTATTTTCAGAGAAATCAGGGCAAAGCATACTGATGAATAAAAATAGACAGTGTTCCCTGTTTCCCTGCCCCTGCAGTCACCTCTATCAGGGATGTAGAGTGCGGAACACACCTTCCTTCTTCATCTGAATGCTTCATCCCGGGACCAAGAAAAGAAAACTACACCTTAGATACACACTCCACTCCCACCAGGGCCACTGCTTTTCGTCCAAAGAGGTACTCTTTACAGCACTCAATTACTACGTCTCCTGGTTCTGGCTACAGTTTTGAAACATGGAAAGTTTGACAAGGCATATATTGACTTTTACAAAGCCTATAGTATAATGAAAATGCTTGCCAGCTAAGCACCGCTGAGTTTTCCTGGCAGTTCTGTAAGTCAGTGGGGACCATTAATGGTCTGTATGCTGAGTCACCTATGATATATCCCTGCTTGTCTTTGATTGGGCAGCACCTAATATCTGACTTCTAAATAGAACTCTTTGACTTACTAAAAATTTGTCAATAGTAATATCACTCATTTAATAAGAAGGGATTCAGAGGAAAATCAATCACTATTCAGAGATAAGAGCTTTGTTTGTTCTTTTTAAAGGTCGAATAAGTGGGTAAAGCTCCATCGCAAAGGGAATTATCTTCTGTCCTGCAGCTAAAAATAATTCCTGAGAAGGGTGTAGAAAGATGTTCAGCTGTCTGAACTGACTAACTCCTTATTCACTCTGCTTTAAATATGCTGAGAGGAAAGAGGTACTCTTAGCGTTCTCATACTTCAGAACCTGGTGCCCACATAGAAAGGGACAGTGAGTGCTGCCCTCTACCCTGCTGAGTATGGGAATACTGTGACCAAAGTGAAGATTTAAAAAGATGGTTCTATCATTGATAGAACGTTATCATTGAGACCAAGCCTGGTGCTTAGGGAGAGGAGAAAATCATTTTAAACTTGTACTGTATAAAAACTCTGGCAATAATTTGCATTTTGGTAAATAAAGGAACTAGCATTATAGCTTCTCTCTGGCCCAAATTCTGATGATTTCTTGGCTTAGGGCTTCAATCAATCTGCAGCTGACCGACTGTAATCCTGGCCAGCACAGCTTCAAGGTCACAGTTATCATTTCTAGACTGTGGACATTTTATTGTTGCCACTATCGATGAAAACTGCCTTTCAGTATTTGCCTAGTTCAATATTCTTTCAGCACCCTCACCCCTCACAATTTATAAACAGAATCAGCAATACCACCAATGAAAAATGAATTTACAAGGAAGCTACACCCACTGGTTACAAGCCTACAAAGTTAAAAGTAGTCACTTCGAGTTAGGTATCAAGGAAATTTCCTTTAGAAAACCCAGTCGCCGGAGCTGCGTCCTTCTGCTTACCTGCTTTATGTATTTGTTTACTGCCTAAGGGAAGTCCCAGGCAGCCAGATGCAAGAATACAAAGCTCCTTGGAAGGTGGAAGGGGCGCCCGGTGTCCTCTGAGCTGCGATCTCAATTCCGATGCTTTTCATGTGGCTGAAATAGCTCTGTGCCTCTCCCGGTATTGAGAACTGCTCCTGGCTCGGGGCTGGAGGGGAACTTAAACCGTTAAGGCTAAGTGTTAAAGAGAATTCCTGTCATAGCTCACAGTTGTTCTTCCTAAATATAGAGTTTGATACAAGCCATACGCTGGCTGCCTCCGAAAGGCTTGACCGTGCGGAAAGCAGGCTCAAATGTCAGCCGGGAGGTGGCTATGGTATCTTACTTGCCCTCCTAATCTTCCAGAAGATGCTGGCTGCATTTTCTCATATATTCTGAGTGGGTATAGCAAAGTTCGAAAAGTAAGGAAAGTCTATCTTTAGCTTTATTACCTGGATGCCAGAAGATGAGTATTCAATAAAAATTGGGGGGTGTCAGCATGGTACCATGCCTCTCAGCAGGGGTACTGACATTAAACAGGGTTTGAATCCTAGCTTGGTCACTTGGGAGCTGTTAAAGTTACTTAATAATAAGTACTCAACAAATAGTCACCAAATGATGATAATTATCCTAGTAAGTTGAACTATATGACATTGCCCTTTTTGTAGGTCAAAAATGGTCCAAGATTGACAGGCTGGTGAGGTTCCAGGGCCTACAGCCCTGCCCACTCTGCTCTACTGCCTCTACTGGTGACAAAGATTTTGACCTTAGAGTACGTGAGACAACAGAACAAAGAAGAAATGTCTATTTTAAATATGGCAAGGGTCAGGAGCAGGTACAAGGCAAAACATTTTTTAAACAGAAAACTTCCAAATCCTAAGATACATGCTCACTATTTTTAACACCACTTTTAATTTTTTTAACCTCTCCACTCTCTGAAATTACCTTTACCCAGAGCTGTACTTCAGTAGAAGTATTAAACAGAGTGGAGAGACTTAAAATCCATCCACTGTGGAAGTGAGCTCCATGTCTGAGTTCTTGACAGCATGGTCAAGCCACTGAACTATATTACCAGCAACCATCGCTTACCAGTCTTCTTGTTACATGAGGAAAAGAAGCAGCTCCAATTTGTAGGAGCCCTAGACATCAGGCTTCTGTTCCCTGTAGCTGAATGCATTCCAGATGGAAGTAGTTGGGCTTTTTTCAGAACTGTAGAAGGAAAACCAACTTTCTGGGAGTTTAGGAGGTCAACAGATAATTGTGGTTCATTTTAGATTGGGGTTCACCATTAACTTCTGTTTAGGTGTTGTTCAAAAGAATTGTATCTTTAAAATTCAGTTTAGACATCATCCTTTGAGATCACATGGTGCCAAAAGTGAGTTATTTATACACTGGAGAAGAGAATATAGTGAGCACCTTAATATTTCTCCAGGTTTTTGGCTACTTCTGTGTGTTCAGAGCTCTTCACCAGACAAATGATGGCATCACTCCATGGACCAACAATGAGCCATTTTTGGCCCCTTGTCCTGAAGTTAGACCACACTTTCTGCCACAGTCCTTTTGCCCCGGTGGCCCCTCAGTAGCCACTGATGGTGTATATGTTGAGGAAACTGCTCCTGGCAGAAATGCCTTGTACACAGGGCTGGCCCAATATGAGTGTGGCTGCCTCTGTGGGAAAAACTAAAGTGAGCTGCATAACCAGGGCTCTGTTGGTCATAAGTCACAGTAACCCAAAGGGAACCAGTTTAAGCCAAGAGGGGTGTGGCAGACAGTCAATGCCTTTCTCAGTATCACTTCTGTCCACCTGAGTTCTGTAGTTGTAGGCAGCTTCCAGTATACTGTCAGCTTCACACCTCTCTCTTTTTCTCTACACTGGGACTCTGCACATCATCCAAAAGCAGGAGACATAACTCATAAGTGCCGGGAAACAACACCCCTAGGGATAAGCCTCAACCAATGGGAATGGAAGTTGAGTGATAGATGTCCCCACTTCCTCATCCTGTGGTCGGAATATTCTGAGGTGTGATCTACAGTTTCCCAGAGGTCCCCAGCAGGACTGAGCCCCAGTTGCCCACCATGGGGATTTGCTCATTAATATACCCTTATTGGCTTTCTCTTTTCCCTCACTTCCCCCACTCCCTTGCATTCTCTGGGATCATGCCCCAAGTAGATCACCTGCAACCAAGTCCTTGTCTCAGCATTTGGAGTTGAGGCAACCCGAACTAAGAAAAAGGAATTTATTAGGAAGGTTTCACATTGCAAGAGGAAGGGCAGGGCTGCAGGTGAACCTCATCAATAACCAGAACCAAGAACTCAGACCTCACTAGAGAGTGATGAATCTATTTCTGCAACTGCAATTTTAAAGACCTCAGGACTCTGGTTGCCCCAGCCTGAGTCAATACCGCACTCCTGGTTAGCGACAAGGTTACCGAGCACAGAGGAGGCCATTGGGGTACATACCTGTGCATTACGTCCTTCCCAGAAAGGGGAATAGTTCTGAGCTGAGCAGCTCTCCCAGTTGGGTCTCCAAGAGGCACCAAGAAGCCAAGTGCTTTTCCTTGACTTCTTGCAATAGCCTGAAATGTGTACTCCTATTGTCACGTTATTGGTTTAAGACTCCACAAAAACACATGTTGGCTGGTGCGGTGGCTCACGTCTGTAATCCCAGCACTTTGGGAGGCCCAGGCGGGCAGATCACTTGAGGTCAGGAGTTCAAGACTGGCCTGGCCAACATGGTGAAACCCCATCTCTACTAAAAAAATACAAAAATTAGCTGGGCATGGGGATGCGCATCTGTAATCCCAGCTACTTGGGAGGCTGAGGCAGGAGAATCGCTTGAACCTGGCAGGCGGAGGTTGCAGTGAGCCGAGATCATGCCACTGCACTCCAGCCTGGGCAACAGAGCGAGACTCTGCCTCAAAAACAAACAAACAAAAAAACACATGTTGTTTGGCAAGGGTAACAGAAGAAGTCTCTGACACACACCTACACATACCAGGTTGGTGAGTGACAATTAACTGGGCCTGAAGGGATGGGGCACAAGATGAGTCCATTTCTTTTTGAGAGGATTGAGATAGGAGGAGAAGTTGGAAAAACATAGCCTTAAAGTATGGAAAATGGAGAGCTAGAGGGTACTGGGCATTGAGGGGGTAGCTTGAGTCCTTTGGGCATATTTCAGTGGAGATCACAAAGAGGGGTATGGTGGCGGGGGTGTTGACAAAATCGAAATTCACTTAAGTCATTCCTACCTGCATGCCTTCATCCCTCCTCCACTATGGTCAAAGAGCAGGATATCTAACAACATCTTACATCTATGCAACCCTTGCTCAGTTGCAATGTGCTTTCATTTGTATTATTTTATTTAGTCCTCCCAACAGCCCTGTGGGTTCAGTGGCATTCTTCCAGTTTTATCGATCAGTAAGCCAAGGCTCAGACTATCATTTCAGAGCCAGTTATCCCCAGCTTTTGACTCTCAAAGTTAGTGCTCTTTCCTGTTATACCACAGTGCCCTCAAGGAACCACACTCATCTGTATGCCCCACATAAGCACATACAAATATGGTAACAGGATGCATCTGCTTGCAAGTTAACAGAAAACCTAACTAGCAGTGGCTCAATCAACAGTCATTTGATCATCTCACAAACCTAGGAACTTAAAGGAAGGTAGTTATGGGCTGGTTCGGAAATTCTACGAAGTCAAAAACTCTCAGGCTCTTCCCAGATCCTCTTTGGGAAGGAGGATCTACTCTGCCACTCTCAACAAGTCAGCTTTTCATCCTCATGCTTCTTAACTTATGTTCCCAAGATGGCTGCCACAGCTCCAAGTATTAGGACATTTTACGAGCATCCAAACAAGAAGGAATAGCAGTGATGGTGGGAAAAGGGGCTTTTCTTCTCAAGGAGGAAACTCTTTCCCAGAAGCCCCAAGCTGACTTCCCCTCACATCTCTTTGGCTGGAACTGGGTCTCGTGGCTGCAAAGGAGGCTGAGAAAAGAAATAAATGGCAGCAGGTGAATGGAATAGAAATGATTAGCTAAGATCAAATGTCCCATATAAAATTGGGATGCTCTTAGCAATGAAGAAGAAAGGAAACAGCAGTGACACAGACAAAACGTGCACACACATACAGAGCTTTAATGGAAAATGTGCTTCCAAACACATAATCTCATTTAATTCTCACCACCTTATGAAGCAGGTATTGTTTGTTTATCTCCACTTTATAAATGACAAAACACACTGGAAAAGGTCAAGTCATATGCCTAGGAAGTGGCTGAGTCAAAACTCTAATCTAGGTCTGCAGGCTCCAAATTCCATGTGTTTCCCCTATTCTTCCATGCACAAACCAACAGGAGGAGCCAGGCTGCTCATACCATTGTCCCATCTGTGAATGCCCTCTTGGCATGTGCCCTAAATTACATGCTTCTTTTGGGTTCGTCTTTGCTTGGTTCTACTCGATCTTAGGCCTGCCTACAGTTTGGGCAAAGAGTAAAATAAACCATGTTACAGAATTTTGTAAGTGAATTAATAGATAACTCTTTGTACCATTACGTATAAACATGTAACCTCCAAAAAACATTATAGGCTGACAAAGAGAAGAAAAAATAACAGATGAAGAATGGTTAGCTAGGAAGAAAAAATTATGAAAAAGAAACTAGCTATGATCTAATGAAAACACTTTTCCCATAATATTTACTTCTATATTCAATTTTAATTTTTAACAGCATGACTGTGATCAAATCAATGTCTGTTTTTAATCCAGGACAGCAGGTGACAAGGTTTGTCCCCTGGGATGCATGCTGCATGATGACATCCCTCCTTCCCCAGCAGATGCTGGCACCTTTAAAAAGACTGATGTGCAAGGTAGGAAAAAAAATTGTTGTCATTATCTTTAAAGAAATTGATACTCTTATGCATTAATAATGGAAGCATAAACTCACACAACTACTTTGGAGGATAATTTCTCAATATTTTATGAAGCTAAAACTGTGCATATCTTTTGGCCAGTTTCATGATTTGGCCAATATTTGTAATTTTTGGCAAGTGTGTATAAGAAGACAGATAGCAGAATGTTCATTGCAGTATTGCTTATAATAGTGAAAAATCTGAAAACAATCTAAATGCCTATCAACAGAGAATAATGACTTATTCATTTGATTGAATCCAAATAATCAAAAGAATGAGCCAGAGCAACATGTATCAAAAAAGATACATTTATATATTTCAAAATCAAACTGAATTTAAAACACACACATACACACACACACTGAATTTGAAAAGAGTTAACAATGTAAAAACTTGCAAGCAAGTAAGCACAATATTTTAAAAGTGATCATCTCTGGGAAAGAAGAGGGAGCAAGGGGATTTCATAAATAACTTTAATAGTTTCCATTATATCTAATATCCTTAAAATAATTTCAACTAAGGCAAAATATTAGACTTTGAAAGGACTGGGTTGTGAGTATATGGGTGCCATTTTGTTGTTTTGTGTGTAATTTTCTGTATGTTTGAAGTATTTCATCACAAAAATGTAATCAAGGATTTTAGTTGTCAAAAAAACAAAAAAGACTGATGTGTAAGTGTGGCCCACCCTGTCCACCTCACCCCCACCTGGCCCACAGCTTCGCTTGGCCAATCCAGATCTCCAGCTTTGGCAGAAAGTAATTCAAAATTTCCCATAACATCTATCAGAGTAAAGCCAAAATTTCATAGGGCATAATCAGTTGATAACAATAAAAATGAAACACATCGCAATATTGGTAAGACCCAACTAATGAGATAGATGCTTTCTGACTGAGGAATTTGTTGCAGTTCTCTATATTATAGCATCAGGTAATGGCACTACCCACCCTCCCAAGGCCAGTAGCTTTTAGGAACAAGAAAGTTAGAGAGGATATGGATTTCAGTAAATTTACTATCAGAGAAAATACAGGTGATTAAAATATGATCATTAGAATGATACCAACCAAGGATAATTTTATCCTTCTTTTTTTACCAATATTGTTGCTTCCTGTTTTTCTCTCACCCATGCCTAAATCCCCATTTCTCTATGCAATATTACCACCTTGAATCAATTATAACTGCAGTGGGCCCTTTGTATTAGGCATGATGTACATGTGGTATTATAGATTATAAATGGTTTGTCATTGTCACTGAAGGCACGTTGCCCAATAGTTCTACAACCAGATGATTTATTTTTATGTGTTCTGGCATTAACTATGATTGGAGCTAAATAATATGACTCAACTGTCTCCTAGGCACCATAATTTTGTGGCACCTGTACGAGTCACTTTAAAGGTGTGTCTCCAAGTGGGTGATTCACTATCCCTTCATGAGCCAAATGGCAGGACTTCCACTCTCCTTCCTTATATCTCGCTAGGGGTCCCCACAGAGAGATGTATCTCATAGATCATCCACAGTACTGCTCTGCTGTTCCACATCCCCTTAGTGCCCAGTGCCTCAGAAGCCACCTCTCTCATTATCACTGCATAGAAGGATTTGTTATGGTCTCTGGGACCTAGCTTCTTACTTATTCTTTGGCATGTGAGGAGGTACCTTCTCCATCTTAAGACTCAATGCTTTTTAAAAAAATAAAATGTGCATACTAAAAAAATCACCCTTAGAAAGCATAAAGTATGCAGTTCAGTGGTTTTTAGTACATTCACAAAGTTGTGCATTGATCACCACTATCTAATTCTAGAATATTTTCATCATCCCTGAAAGAATCCCCATACCCATTAGTACTCCCCATTTCCTCCTTCCCCTGGCAACAACTCATCTGCATTCTCTTTATGGATTTGCCTGTTCTGGACATTTCATATAAATGGAATCATACAATATGTGGCCTTTTGTGTTTGGCTTCTTTCATTTAGCATAATATTTTCAAGGTTCATCCATGTGGTAGTATGTATCAGGATTACATTCCCTTTCATGGCTGAATAATAGTTTATTGTGTGGTATGCTACATTCTGTTTATCCATTCATCAGTTGAGAGATATTTGGGTTGTATCTACTTTTTGGCAAATATGAATAGTGCTGCTATGAACATTCATGTACAAGTTTTTCTGTGAACATGTTTTCAGTTCTTTTAGGTAAATGCCTGGGAGTAGAATTGCTGGGTAATATGGTAACTGTTTAATCTTTTTAGGAACTACCAGAACCTTTTCTAAAGCAGCTGCATCATTTTACATTCCTACCAGCAGTGTATGAGGGTTCTATACTTCTCTATATCCTTATCAACACTTGCTATTGTCCGTCTTTTTTGTTATAGCCACCCAGTAGGCATAAAGTGCTATCTAATTGTGGTTTTCAGATATATTTATCTGATAACTAATGATATCAAGCATATTTTCATGTGCTTATTGTCTGATGGGATATCTTCTTTGGAGAAGTGTCTATTCAGGTCATTTTCTGAAATATTTGGCTATTTGTCATTTTGATTATTGAGTTGTAAGCATTCTTCATTTAGTCTGGATACAAGTCCTTATCAGATATATGATTTGCAAATATTTTCTCCAGTTTCCTGGTGTATTAGTCTGTTCTCACGCTGCTAATAAAGACACACTCTAGACTGGGTAATTTATAAAGGAAAGAGGTTTAATTGACTCACAGTTCCATGTGGCTGGGGAGGCCTCACGATCATGGCAGAAGGCAAATGAGGAGCAAAGTCACTTACGTGGCGGCAGGCAGGAGAGTGCGTGCAGGAGAACTTCCCTTTATAAAACCATCACATCTCGTGAGACTTATTCACTATCATGAGAATAGCACAGGAAAGACCTGCCTCCCACCAGGTCCCTCCCATGACACATGGGAATTATGGAAGCTACAATTCAAGATGAGATTTGGGTGAGAACACAGCCAAACCGTATCACCTGGGTTGTCTTTCACTTTCTTGATGGTGACCTTTGAAGTGCAAAAGCTTTTTAAAGTTTAAATAATAACTAAATAAAATTTATTTTTTCTTGGGTTGCTTGTTCTTTTGGTGTCACAGCTAAGAAACCATTGCCTAATCCAAGGTCACAAAGAATTGCACCAATGTGTTTTCTAAGAGTTTTATAATTCTAGCTCCTACATTTAGATTTTTGATCTATTTTTAGTTAATTTCTCTATGTGGTCTAAGGTAAAGGCACAGCTTTGTTCTTCTAAATGTGGATATCCAGTTGTCCCAGCACCACTTGTTGAAAATACTATTCTTTTGTCATTGAATTATATTAGCACTCTTTGGAAAATCAATTGACCATAAATGTAAATATTTATTTTTAAACTCTCAAGCCTATTCTGTCAATCCAGATATTTATCTTTATGCCAGTACCATACCATTTTGATGACTGTAGCTTTGTCATAAGTTGTGAAATCAGGAAGTGTGAGTCCTCCAAAAATTTTTTTCTTGTTCAAGCTTGTTTGGCTATTCTAGGTCTCTTGCATTTCCATATGAATTTTAGGATCAGTTTATGTATTTCAGCAAAAAGAAAAAGAAAGAAAGAAAGGTGTTGGTAGTGGAGATAAAGAGATGAACAGAGTTCATCAAAATGTATTTTAGTAATAGAGTCAAAATATCCTTGCTAATGAATGGGATATGGTAGGACGGAAAAGAAGAATGGTGGGTGTCTTAAATTTCAGGCTTGGATAATGAGATTTAAAGGAATTAGGTACATTAGGGGAGGAGTGGACGTACCAATGACAATCCGAAACACAACTTAAGTTCTTGACATTGGGCCTGGCACATAGTGAGCTCTCAAGGTGGAGCATGAAGACATAAAAAAGTCATTGTTGATCTCTGAGAGAAGAGTTTCAATAGATTGTGGGGCTGCTCAAAAAGCAGGTCACTGCAGGTTGTGGTGTGAATGAAGGGTTGAGGCAGCAAGTGGATTCATCTCTCCTCAGACCCCTGACTGGGAATTAAAAAGGACAATAGCTGGGTTTGAAGATATACAAAATGGAGAGAAAGTTTTTTGGCTGTATTTTATTTAAATCTGAGCAATATTTACCTATGTTTATAAGCCAAGGTGAAGAGGATGATAAAGGCCAAGAGGAAGTCATTGAAGAGCGAGGCCCAGAGGAGGGAATGAAATCCAGCCTCCAGAGGCAGGAAGATAGCTTATTTCCTCTGAGAAGGAGCTGAAGTAGAAGGCTGATACCAAAATGTTTGTAAGAGGGTCTGTGGGGCTGACGGAGGAGGAACAGGGAGAATGGAGGTCTCCTGATGGCCTGCCTCAACTTTCTAAGGGTCTTGAAGAGGAAACCAAGTATAGGGAATAGAGAGACACCAAAAGGATTGCCCAGCAGTGGTTGACAGTCCAGCTGAGGGTGGAAGCCTTGCTACCTTGGAGATAGCTATTCTATCAGCATGGTGACTGCTTTGCTGAGGCACTGGTTCTAAAGAACACGTCTTCAGTTGGATTCCCCAGAAGCAGATCTTGAAATGAGGATTTATGTGTTAAGTGATTTATTTTAAGAGTATTTCCAGGAAAAACCAGGAAACAAGGGTGCGATCTCAAGTCCCACAGAGGATATCTTCTGTCTGATCCCACAGCTCTGGAGTATAAATTATGCCATAAAGTTGTCCCAACCCAAGCAAAGGAGTGGAAGCTACCATACTCCTGTACCCATTAGTCATTGGTTGAGTGCTGCCCAGGGGAATAAATTCCCAGAGCTTCTGGCTCTCCTTACCAGTTGGAAAGATAGCTCCAGAAGCCCTAGGCCAAACCTCCAAAAGAGAGCTAAGGTATTAGAAGCAAATGCACACTGAAGCCAGGAACAGATCACAAACAGGGGAAGAAGATCTGGGCAGGTTACAATCATTATCTGCCCCAGCACAGCTGTCCATTACGGCATATGGGCCTCAGCAAAGTTGTTCTTAACTACAATGACATCTCATTTTGAAAAAGCCCAACTTATTTCTATCAGTCTTCCAAAGTTATATCATTGCAATGTTGAGATCTGTTTCTTATTGGTCATTTTCTAATGAGTGTTGAAATGGACAATTTTTGCAGGGTTTAGGCATCCTATAAATATATTTAGAGTTACATTTTCCTGCTTTGTTAGTTGCGACCTCTATAATCTGGCTCTTTTTCAAAATGAGGTAATTCTATTCTCTTTGGTGACACATGGTAGGGGTAAGGGGGGATCCTCCTCCAGGGACTGAAGCAGTAACAGTAGCTACCCTGGCACATGTACCAGAGATCTGGAATGTCACAGAAACATCACTGCAGTCTATGTGCCCTTCAACAAGATTTTTACCCAACTGGAATTTTACCTAAGGTCAGGATATGTAAGACTGGAGAGAATCATAATGACACCACACACCATGCAGGGCAATTTCCCCAGTGTCCTTTCCCTCCTACCCTGCAAAGGCTTTAAAAAATAACTAGATCTGGCCAGGCACAGTGGCTCACGCCTGTATTTCCAGCACTTTGGGAGGCCTAGGCAGGCAGATCACCTGAGGTCAGGAATTCAAGACCAGCCTAGCCAACATGGTGAAACCCCGTCTCTACTAAAAATACAAAAATTAATCAGGCGTGGTGGTGGGCACCGGTAATCCCAGCTACTCAGGAGGCTGAGGTAGGAGAATCACTTGAACCCGGGAGGCAGTTAGCTGAGATCATGCACCACTGCACTCCAGCCTGGGTGACAGAGTGAGACTCTGTCTCCAAAAACAAACAAACAAACAAACAAACAAACAAATAGATCTGTGAACACAAATGAGACAATAAACCTGTAAACAACTGGGTCCTCATAGAGGAAAAAAAATGAATAAAACCTGAACTTAAAGCGTATCACAGAGACAATGCAGTGAATCCAGCACATGGCCCCTCTTCCTGGCACCCAGGGCACTATACTTTCCAGGCTCACTCTCAGTTGGATTGGGGACATGTGATTGAGTTCTAACCAATAAGATGCCAGCCTAATTACTGAAAGCCAATGCTACTCAAAGTGTGGTCCATGCACCAGTGCCCATTTGCAAACTGTTACCAGTTTGCAATGAACTAAATACAGAAATTTAAAAGTAAGCAATTAGGTACTTTTACAGCTATTTGATATTGCCACTACGTTCAAGCACCATTCCCTTTTCTAGTAATTAATTTTTGTTGCATTTTACAAAAGTATAGGTCTGTGATGAATTTAAAATGTTTTAAAATTTGGTCCTTGAATTGTTTAAGAAGCACTGCTTGTAAGCCATTCCAGGCCCAGCCCTTAAAAACATACTGTGCGATCCAGAACTTTCTTCCCCATCTGCAGCAACTTAGCAGCCATTGGTCCTAGATGTCATAGCTACAAGATGGTAAAGGATCACCCAAACCACATGAGACTCCAACATGAGTGGGAAATAAAATTTTACTCTAAAAAGCCACCGAAATTTTGGTTTACTAACTGAGGCACAGCCTAGGATTATTTGACTTATACATGGAATTATTGCCCTTATTCTGGGAGCTGGATCAGCTGGGGCTGGAGGATCCACTTCAAAGATGGCTGCTTCACTCATGTCTGGCACCCCTTGGCAGGGGTGGCTGGAAGGCTGGGCTTGGCTGGGACTATCAACCAGAGTGCCTACATGTGGCTTTTCCAGGATGGTGGCCTCAGGACTGCTGACTTCTTACATGGAAGTTCAGGGCTCTGAGAGCAAATGATGCAGTATAAAACCAGAAGCTGCATAGCCTTTTATGCTATCCTTGCAAATCACATAGCACCACCTCTGCCATACTCTATTGGTTCAAGCAGTCACAAGCCTGCACAGATTCAAGGGAAGAGGAATGGAGCGCTGTCTCTCTGGGAGATGTGTCACAAAATTTCTGGCCATGTTTTATATCCACCTCCACCGTGATTATAATTTGGGGCTCTGGTTCCAGATATCTTACATTCCTTTCAAACCATCAGACCCGGAGCCTTATCCATAGCAGGTATACGCTAAGTGTGTATTGATGATAAGGAGAGGGAGAAGACAGGAATATTGCTCCTGTTTTGAGGATAACTGAGCCCATGGTCATGGGAGTTTGAGCGTGCAACAGTTTATGGATTCTAAGATGCACATTTTTCACACTTTAACATGTCTGGAATTAACACTCATTAAAATGTATGGGCCTTGCAATGATATTTACAGTGTTTTTCTTTCTTAGGGGTACATAAGATAACTGTGTATCATCCAACCAGTAGCTTCTTAAATAAACACAGGAAATGCCAGGGACTCTATAGCTACTAGATAAATCCTTCGTTAATGAGAAGCAATGAAAAGAAATTAAAGGATATAAAAATTCCTGCTACCTCTGAGCTCAAACTGATGAGCACCCTAAGGAGGCTAGATGGAGAACCTGCAGTCACTGCAGTCAGTGAATAATAATATCATCAAGAACCTGAAAGGGCAGCAATCCTGAGAGGACACACAGACCCTCTGAAGGAGGTGGACTGTGACTGCAGGACCCAGGACAACCCCCAGAAACTTTGAGTGCCCCAACTGTGGAAGTAGGAAAGGGAGACCCTCTTCTCCAGAACACACACCCCCACTGGAGAAGCTGAAGGTCTGTTTGCGGGAGAAGTTTCCGACTTTACCTGGAGCTGAGTCAATCTGGAGAGCCGAGTGAAATACAGGGGTAGAGGAAGCAGCAGAAAGGCCCTGGGAGCTGGCTGGGTCCCCTAGCAGGCCATTCCTGCCTGGCACCACAGGAATCCAATGGGAGAGGAGCAGGGGGTAAAACTCCACAGAGAGAAGCAAATCTCTAGCTGAACTTTGTAACAATTTGAACAGGGTGAGACACCTCCTGGCCAGAACTCGGGGGAAGGCACAAATACTGTGTGCGGACTCCACAGACTGGGGAATAACCAAGCCCTTTTCTTTCGCAGCAGGGAGGCAGATAGCCTGGGGCAGGTTTTCAAGCCTGTATTGCTCTCCGCCTGGAAATGGTGTGGAGGCTGTTGGGGGGGACACAGTGGGAGTGAGACTGGCCCTTCAGTTTGCATAGGAGTTGGGTGAGTCCTGTGACTGCGGCTTTCCCCCACTTCCCAGACAACCTGCATGACTCAGCAGAGGCAACCGTAATCCTCCTAGCTACACAACTCCAGTGACCTGGGAATCCCATCCCCATCCCCTACAGAAGCCACAGCAAGACCTGCCCAAGGAGAGTCTTGAGATCAGGCATACCTAGCCCTGTCCCCAGCTGGTGGTCCTTCCCTACCCACCGTGGTAGTGGAAAACAAAGAGCATATAATCTTGGGAGTTCTACGGCCCCACCCTCCACTAGTTCCTCCTCATAATACCACAGCTGATGCTCTCTGGAAAGCGCCACCTCCTGGCAGGAGGCCAACCAGCACAAAAACAGAACATTAAACCACCAAAGCTAAGAGCCCTCAGGGAGTCCATTGCACGCCAGCCACCTCCACCAGAACAGGCACCGTTATCCATGGCTGAGAGACCCATAGACAGTTCACATCACAGGACTCTGTGCAGACAATGCCCAGTACCAGCTTGGAGCCAGGTAGACTCACTGTATGGCTAGACCCAAAAGAGAGACAACAATCACTGCAGTTCAGCTCACAGGAAGCCACATTCATAGGAAAAGGGGGAGAGTACTACATCAAGGGAACACCCCTTGGGACAAAAGAATCTGAACAACAGCCTTCAGCCCTAGACCTTGCCTCTGACAGAGCCTACCCAAATGAGAAGGAACCAGAAAACCAACCCTGGTAATACGACAAAACAAGGCCGTTCATCACCCACAAAAATCACACTAGTTCACCAGCAATGGATCCAAACCAAGAAGAAATTCCTGATTTATCTGAAAAAGAATTCAGGAGGTTAGTTATTACGCTAATCAGGGAGGGACGAGAAAGGCAAAGCCTAATGCAAGGAAATCCAAAAAATGATACAAGAAGTGAAGGGAGAAATATTCAAGGAAATAGATAGCTTAAAGAAAAAACAATCAAAAATTCATGAAACTTCGGACACACTTTTAGAAATGCAAAGTGCTCTGGAAAGTCTCAGCAATAGAATTGAACAAGCAGAAGAAAAGAAATTCAGAGCTTGAAGGCAAGGTCTTCAAATTAACACAATCCAAAAAAAAGAAAAAAAAATGAGAAAATATGAACAAAGCCTCCAAAAAGTCTGGGATTATGTTAAATAACCAAACCTAAGAATAATCGGTGTTCCTGAGGAAGAAGAGAATTCTAAAAGCCTGGAAAACATGTTTGGGGGAATAATCAAGGAAAACTTCCCTGGCCTTGCTAGAGACCTAGACACCCAAATACCTATAAAACAAAAATACAAGTTAAAAAGCAAAGTACACAGGCAACAAAGAGCACAATGAATGCAATGGTACCTCACATTTCAATACTAACATTTAATGTAAATGATCTAAATGCTCCACTTAAAAGATACAGAACCGCATAATGAATGGATAAGAACTCACCAACCAACTATCTGCTGCCTTCAGGAGACTCACCTAGCATGTAAGGACTCACATAAATTTAAAGTAAAGGCATGGAAAAAGGCATTTCATGCAAATGGATACCAAAAGTGAACAGGGGTAGCTATTCTTATATCAGACAAAACAAACTTTAAAGCAACAGCAGTTAAAAGGGACAAAGAGGGACATTATATAATGGTAAAAGGCCTTGTCCAACAGGAAAATATCACAATTCTAAACATATATGTACCTAACACTAGAGATCCCAAATTAATAAATAGATATATAATCTATTTATAAATAGATTATAAATAAAATAGTTATAATAGACCTAAGAAATGAGATAGACAGAAATACAGTAATAGTGAGGGACTTCAATACTCCATTGACAGCACTAGACAGGTCGTCCAGACAGAAAGTCAACAAAGAAACAATGGATTTAAAGTATACCTTGGAACAAATGGACTTAACAGATATATACAGAACACTTCAACCAACAACCACAGAATACAAATTCTATTCCACAGTTCATGGAACTTTCTCCAAGACAGACCATATGATAGGTCATAAAATGAGCCTCAATTTTTAAGAAAATTGAAATTATATCAAGCACTCTCTCAGACCACAGTCGAATAAAACTGGTAGTCAACTCCAAAAGGAACCTTCAAAACCATGGAAATACATGGAAATTAAATAACCTGCTCTTGAAAGAGCACTGGGTCAAAAATGAAATCGAGATGGAAATTTAAAAAATTATTCAAACTGAATGACAAAAATGACACAACCTATTCTGGGACACAGCAAACGTGGTGCTAAGAGGAAAGTTCATAGCCCTAAATGCCTACATCAAAAAGACTGAAAGAGCACAAACAGACAATGTAAGGTCACACCTCAAGGAAGTAGAGAAACAAGAATAAACCAAACCCAAACCCAGCAGAAGAAAGGAAATAACCAACATCAGAGCAGAACTAAATGAAATTGAAACAAAAAAAAACACCAAAATATAAGTGAAACAAAAAGCTGATTCTTTGAAAAGATAAATAAAATTGATAGACCATTGGCAAGATTAACCAAGAAAAAAAACAGAGAAAATCCAAATAACCTCACTAAGGAACGAAACAGGAGATGCTACAACTGACACCACTGAAATACAAAAGATCAATCAAGGCTACTATGAACACCTTTAGGCACATAAACTAAAAAACCTAGAAGAGAATAATAAATTCCTGGAAAAATAAAACCCTCCTAGCTTAAATCAGGAAGAATTAGAACAGACCAATAACAAGCAGCGAGATTGAAATGGTAAATAAAACATTACCAACAAAAAAAGTCCAGGACCAGATGGATTCACAGCAGAATTCTACTAGACATTCAAAGAAGAATTGGTACCAATCCTTTTGACACTGTTCCACAAGATAGAGAAAGGAGGAATTCATTCTATGAAGGCAGCATCGCCCTAATACCAAAAGCAGGAAAGGATATTACCAAAAAAGAAGACTACAGACTGATATCCTTGATGAACATCGATGCTAAAATCCTTAACAAAATACTTGCTAACCAAATCCAACAACATATCAAAAAGATAATCCACCATGATCAAGTGGGTTTCATACCAGGGAGGCAGGGATGGTTTAACATACGCAAGTCAATAAATGTGATACACCACATAAACAGAATTTTTTAAAAAATCACATTATCATTTCAATAGATGCCAGAAAAGCATTTAACAAAATCCAGCATCCCTTTATGATTAAAAATCTCAGCAAAATCGGCATACAAGGGACATACCTTAAGGTAATAAAAGGCATCTATGACAAACCCACAGCCAACATAATACTGAATGGGGAAAAGTTGAAAGCATTCCCTCTGAGAACTGGAACAAGACAAGGATGCTCACTCTCACCACTCCTCTTCAACATAGTACTGGAAGTCCTAGCCAGAGCAATCAGAAAAAAAAAAAAAAAAAAAAAAAGGAAAAAGAAAGAAAGGGCATCCAAATCGATAAAGAGGAAGTCAAACCGTCACTGTTTGCTGACGATATGATTGTTTACCTTGAAAATCCTAAGGACTCCTCCAGAAAGCTCCTAGAACTGATAAAAAAGAATTTAGCAGAATTTCTGGAGACAAGATTAATGTACACAAATAAGTAGCTCTTCTAGACACCAACAGCAACCAAGTGGAGAATCAAATCAAGAACTCAACCCCTTTTACAATAGCTGCAAAAACAAAAAATACTTAGGAATATACCTAACCAAGGAGGTGAAAGACCTCTATAAGGGAAACTACAAAACACTGCTGAAAGAAATCATAGACAACACAAACAAATGGAAACACATCCCTTGCTCATGGATGGGTAGAATCAATATTGTGAAAATGACCATACTGCCAAAAGCAATCTACAAATTCAATGCAATCACCATCAAAATACCACCATCATTCTTCACAGAATTTGAAAAAACAATTCTAAAATTCACATGGAACCAAAAAAGAGCCCGCATAGCCAAAGCAAGGCTAACAAAAAAGAATAAATCTGGAGGCATCACACTACCTGATTTCAAATTATACTATAAGGCCATAGTCACCAAAACAGCATGGTACTGGTACAAAAATAGGCCATAGGCCAGTGGAACAGAATAGAGAACCCAGAAATAAACCCAGATACTTACAGCCAACTGATCTTCAACAAAGCAAACAAAAACATAAAGTGGGGAAAGGACACCCTTTTTAAGAAATGGTGCTAGGATAATTGGCTAGCCACATGTAGGAGAATGAAACTGTATCCTCATCTCTCACCTTATACAAAAATCAACTCAACATGAACTAAGGACTTAAACCTGAGACCTGAAACTATAAAAATTCTAGAAGATAACATTGGAAAAACCCTTCTAGACATTGGCTTAGGCAAGGATTTCATGACCAAGATCCCAAAAGCAAATGCAATAAAAACAAAGAAAAAATGGCTGGGACCTAATAAAACTAAAGAGCTTTTGCATGGCAAAAGGAACAGTCAGCAGAGTAAACAGACAAACCACAGAGTGGGAGAAAATCTTCACAATCTATGCACCTGACAAAGGACAAATATCCAGAATCTGCAATGAACTCAAACAAATCAGTAAGAAAAAAACAAACAATCCCATCAAAAAGTGGGCTAAGGACATGAATAGACAATTCTCACAAGAAGATATACAAATGGCCAACAAACATATGAAAAAATGCTCAACATCACTAATGATCGGGGAAATGCAAATCAAAAGTGCAATGTGATACCACCTTACTCCTGCAAAAATAGCCATAATCAAAAAATCAAAAAACAGCAGACGTTGGCGCAGGAGCAGTGATCAGGGAACACTTCTACACTGCTGGTGGGAATGTAAACTGGTACAGCCACTATAGAAAACAGTGTGGAGATTCCTTAAAGAACTAAAAGTAGAACTACCATTTGATCCAGCAATCCCACTACTGGGTATCTACCCAGAGGAAAAGAAGTCATTATTCAAAAAAGATACTTGCACACGCATGTTTATAGCAGCACAATTAACACCTGCAAAATTGTGGAACCAACCCAAATGCCCATCAATCATTTAGTATATAAAGAAATAAAGAAACTGTGATATATATATACGTGTATATATATATATATATATATATATACGTGTATATATATCTATACGTGTATATATATCTATATGTGTATATATCTATACGTGTATATATATCTATACGTGTATATATACACACACACACACACACACACACATATATATATATATATATATATATATATATAATGGAATACTACACATCCATAAAAAGGAATGAATTAACAGCACTTGCAGTGACCTGGATGAGACTGGAGTCTATTATTCTAAGTGAAGTAACTCAGGAATGGAAAACCAAACATCGTATGTTCTCACTGATATGTGTGAGCTAAGCTATGAGGACACAAAGGCATAAGAATGATGCAATGGACTTTGGGAACTTGTGGGGATGAGTTGGAGGAGAACAAAGGCTAGAAGACAAATATTGTGCAGTGTATACTGCTCGGGTTACAGGTGCACCAAAATCTCACAAATCACCACTGAAGAACTTACTTATGTAACCAAATACTACCTGTACTCCAATAACTTATGGGGGAAAAAGAAACCTTTATAAATAAATAAAATAAACTTTTATAAATAAATAAAAAAAGAACCTGAAAGGGCACTGTGTCCAATCCCTCACCCAGTGGCTGTCCCCCACCACCACCACACTTCCACCAAATCTATGTAGTCTCTGGACACCTCCCCACCACCACCCTCTACTATAATAGAAAATACCATAAGCTTTGGAGAGGGGCCAGTTGAGGTTCAAATTTGGGCTCTGCCATTTTCCATCTCTAAATTTCAACATCTTCATCTGCAAAATGGGTATTATAATACCTAACTTGAAGTGAGCTAATAGAACTAAAGCACAGGGCAAGGCATATGGGAGATGCTACACAATGTTATTTTTCTTTCCTTTTCCTTCACAAAAATCTCCCATTGTTTCCAACTTGTCTATTTCCTGTGAGTCTTGAGATAATCCTCTTTATTATGCTTTAGACCTTGAGCCTCTGTTAAACAAATCTATTGTGAATGTCTCAGAATATTTAATATTCCAAGATCCTACCCCTGAGTCTGAAGAATCTGACAAGATGGCCCCATTTTAGCTCAAAGAATATTGCCATCAATTCACCCAAGGCCTGCCCTCCCACTCTTTCTGGAAGTTTTCCTGTTGTCTCCTTTAAGCCATTCAAGCACAGGGGAAGGCACACATTAAAGGAGCTACGAATTCAAAGGAAGAAAACAGCCTAAATTTGCTCCTTTATTTATTCAGTCACTCAACAAACTTTTTTGATCATTTACCATGTGCCAGAAACAGCACTAGGCCACGAAAACATAGCACTGAACACGACAGGCATAGAAACTGTCCTTAGAGTTCACAGCCTATGCTGGAGACCAACAGTGAATAAGTAGTCACTTCAAAGAGAGAGAGGAGCACTCAAGGTGGAGAAACCTGATATACCTAGGGATCCAGGAAGGATTCTGTCTTAGTCCGGGTGCCTCTAAATGCAGACCATGAGAGAAAGACTTGAGTGCAATTAGTTGATTTGGGAGGTGACCCCCAAAAGCAGGAGTGAGGAAATGGAGAGAGTAAGATGGAAAGATGTTTTTAAAAGCCGGTGAAAGATGCTGGGTGCAGTGGCTCAACCCTGCAATCCCAGCACTTTGGGAGGCCAAGGCAGGAGAATCACTTGAGTCCAGGAGTTCAAGACCAGCCTGGACAACATGGCAAAACCCTGTCTCTGCAAAACACCAAAACATTAGCTGGATGTGGGGGTGCACACCTGTGGTCCCAGCTACTCGGGAGACTGAGGTGGGAGGACCACCTGAGCCCAGAGAGGTCGAGGATTTAGTGAGCCAAGATTGCACCACTACGCTCCATCCTGTGTGACAGAGCGAGACCTTGTCTCAAAAAAAAAAAGATAAAGAAAAAGAAAAAAAAAAGCCAATGAAAGGAGCAATTTGCCTTTCTGGGCAACTGAGTCCTGCGGGGGACGTTTTGAGAAACTATGTGGAACACACCTCAGAATTCTCTCACCAGAAGCCGAGGAGCTTCGGGTATCTATCCACTGGCTCTGTTCCTCATTCCTTGAGGGCTGTCTCCCAGGAGCCTTAACACCCCCCTCAACATACAGACACACTTCGGG
Organism: Homo sapiens; assembly: GCF_000001405.40. Taxonomy (NCBI): domain Eukaryota; kingdom Metazoa; phylum Chordata; class Mammalia; order Primates; family Hominidae; genus Homo; species Homo sapiens. The sequence goes on from NC_000023.11 coordinate 21,778,077, forward strand.
GTATACCTACATCAGGGTTTCTCCACTTCAGCACTATTGACATTTGGAGCCAGGTGATCCTTTGTTTTGGGACAGTCCTGTGCCTTGTAGGATAGTTAGCAACATCCCTGGCCTCTACTCACTAGATGCCAGTAGCATCACGCCCGCTCCTCCGAAGTGTGACAACCAAAAAATATTTCCAGACACTGCCAAACGTCCCCTGGTCTATGTGCAGCTGAGCAAGGATCCACAATGCCAAAAAATGCCCTCAATTAGAGAAGAATGATGCTGGAGAAGAGTGGAAGGCTCAGGGGACATGAGGCCAGCATCAACACCAGCTGCTGCAGCTTCCCCAAGGATGTTATGGTGTTTAAGCTGGAATTTAAAGAATGGGGAGGAATTCACCTTTGAAAGTGGAAAACAACAAGACTGGAAGGACACCTGCTTTGTAGATGATGGAATCCCCAGCAGCCAGCACAATGCCCAACAACATATGGTAGCAGCTCAATAATTCAAGCCTGGGCTGCTTCACATCAATGGAAATGTCAAGAAGCATAGATAAACAAAAAGACAGAGCCTTAAGAAAAACGTGGCCAGGCACGGTGGCTCACGCCTGTAATTCCAGCACTTTGGGAGGCCGAGGCAAGTGGATCACCTGAGGTCAGGAGTTCAAGACCAGCCTGGCCAACATAGTGAAACCCCATCTCTACTAAAAATACAAAATTAGCCGGGCATGGTGATGCATACCTGTAATCCCAGCTACTTAGGTGGCTGAGGCAGGAGAATCGCTTGAACCTGAGAGGTGAAGGCTGCAGTGAGCCAAGATCGCGCCACTGCACTCCAGCCTGAGCAACAAAAGTGAAACTCTGTCTCAAAAAAAGAAAGAAAAAAAAACTTGTCTTAAATGTAACCCCCACTACAAGAAGATGCAGCCCCATGGGCACAGGGCTTGGCAAATGGAACATGCTTGGCTTGATTTCAGCTCCACTTGCCCCTTGTCCAACCCCGTGTATATCTAACAGCCCTACCACAGGCTCCACTCTGCAAGTCACCCCTACTTCCTTCATACCCCCAAATCACCACGTACAAAACTCTGTGGTGGGTAGGTTTGGGAAGAATGGAGGAGGATCATAGCACTGTGCGGCTCAATAAACAACTTTCAGTTGCTGTCCTGAATGTCCTTGGCTCTTCCTGCTGTGAGCACTTTGTCACTAGCTTCCTTTCTCCCCTGGCTCTGCTCTCTGCTACGTTGCTCTGTCTGACATCCACTCCCACTATCATAGTTGTCTGTGTCTGTGGCTCTGTCTGCACCTGCCTCTCTCCATCACTATCTCTCTCTGTCTGCTTGTCTGTCTCCCCTTCCCTAACCCTTTCACTCTTCCTTTCAATTTCCTTGTCTTCCCCATGACAGCCCACCTCAGGGGCCTTTGTCACTGCATTAAAAAATTTGAGGTTGCAGCTCTAATCCCTGGGACAAGCTTGTTTTCTTGGTCTCTTTCACCTTGTTCCCTCCTGCACAGGTGGAAAGCTGTGGCCTTCCTCAGGAGGGTCAAGACTAAACTTAGGTTTGGACTTAGAAAACAAGACTAGTTTTTTAGGTGAGCCTGGCCCAGGCAAAGGAATATTGCGTGATGTCCATGAGTTTGCAGTGTAGTCTGGAGACACAGCCCCAGGAAGTAATAGACCCTGGTTTTCCTCTTGTGTGCATCTATTTACCTTTAGGACTATATTTGGCAGGGTATGGGGAGGAGGACAATAATGACTAGTAAAATATTTATTTGGATATTCCTGAATCTCCTTAGGAATTTTCTCTTAGATTCATCCTCTTAATATCACCCCAAAACCAGGTTGAAGAATTAAGAGATGCTTGTCAAAATATACAGAGCAGAGACTATTATAAACACAAAAGAAAAAGTTTTGAAAAAACACCTCTTCTAAATTTGGAAAAATCTAGCTAAAAATTGATATTAAAGATTTTATTTAATACTACAGTTATAAAACTTGATTGAATATATATATACACATACAGACACATATGTGATTATTCATTATTTTATGTGGATATATGTCTTAGTCATTTTCTGTTACTATAACTGGATACTTCCTGCTTAGGAATAAATGACTTAGAGTGGGGACCAGCAGAAGTCACAACTGGGTCCAAAAGCACTCACTAGCACCTCATCCTCTCCAGTCACTCCCATCTCAGGGAGGTGGCCAGACGGAAAGAGCGTCCTGCCTTGATTCCAAACTAGGGGAGTAGAGGAATAAGGGATTCTGTCTTTTCCTTTTTTGTCCACTGTGCCTGTATAAATAGTCCTTTTCCTTTTTAAGTGCCTGATGATAGATGCTCATTGAGGTTGATCCACATAGGCCAGTTAGATATGAGGGAGAAAAGCCATTGACTCCACCCTAATTCTTTAGGTCAACTCAAATATCTTTAGGAATACATGTAGATACTCAGCATAAGTATGGAAGATTCCAAATGTGTACAGGGTCAAGGGAACAGCTGCTGGGGAGAGTAAAATGCATCACTGAGACAGGAAGAGGTAAGGAAATACAATAAGTACATGGAGTTTATAGGAAATGCACTGATTCAATTCAATAAACACTGCCAGGCACTGGAAAATAAGATTTGAAACATGTCTTCAAGGAACTCATGGTTTGGTAGAGGCTCTCCTACAATGTTCATTAAAGGTTTTTCCCTCAGTGATGGAAAAAGTGTCGAAATCTAGAGTGCTCCAATGAAAAAATATATGTGAAATTATTTAAAAGGTTATAAAGCACCAAATTCTGTATTATTTTCACTATTTATTACTTGATCATAAAGCTCTTCCTAATAATATATAGCAAGGGTTGGCAAACCACAGACTGCTGCCTGTGTTTGTACATAAAGTTTTACTGGACCATAGCCATGTCCATTCATTTACCTATTACCTATGGCTGCTTTCATCCCTACAAAAGCAGAGTGGAGTTGTTGCCACCAAAATGGCATGGCCCGCAAATACTAAAATATTTACTATCTTCCCTTTACAGCTGAAGATTACCAACATCTGATATATAGAGTCATTCAAATGTTCCCTGGGTCACTCAATTCTCCTGAATCTTCTTTCTTTTCCTGTAGAGAATGACTGTTTTTTTCACGTGTGAAAAAACCTGTCATTCAAAAAAATTCTTTATAATTGAGTGAAAAACACAGGATGGTAGGTTTTTAACTCTTTCAACAATAAAATAACACAGAATCATAATTATTATTTATTGCTTTCTATTTTACTAAATTATTGGAAATAAAATTTTGCTTTTATAAATTAAAAAATTCATTCTGCCATGTGGCAACTTGTGTTTTTCCAGTTTTTTTTTAAAGATGAAAGCTTTTCTCCTTAAATTATGACAATCTGTCTTGTAGAAGAAATAATTGCTTTGCATTAAGTTGACTTGCTTTATTCTGTGTTATTATTGCCAAGCAACCTCATCTTAAATCCCAAAGTTCTAACTTCTTTTAATAGACATAGAGGTATTATCTGAGTTCCAAGAATTTATATTAAGCTCTTACAAAGTGTATTATGAATGTAGCCCACACAAATACTGAAACATAACTCTGGGACAGCTGCACTAGACCCAAGGCTGGTTTCAGTTTCCATTTACTCTTTGAATGTAGCAAATATCCAGAAGTTAAAAAAAAATCCTCTGAGAAACCAAGATATGAGTTGGCATTGGATTAATCCCACACTGGTATTTGTGATCATCAAAAAACTGGAGCCACAGCTATGTGGCCTAAACCAGATGGGAGCATGAACTTTCTTCCTCTGCCAAGTATTATTTCATGTGTATTTTTAAAATCGTCACTACACCTAGAACCAACAGGTTTGCTATCCTTTAACATTTGAATTAGGTTTTAGGGGAGAAAAAAACCCTTGGTTTGTTTTTGAGTTAGACCTTAGAAAACCACTCCTGAGGCCCTGAAGAAATAAGAACCAGGTAAACGTCAGCTTTGAAAACCTGAAAAATAGTCATTCTTAGTATACACAGTTTGCTTCATTATTGCCATTTGGACATATCACTTGCCTAGTCCCTGACTCTTCTTCTATTGCTTTCTTCTAGTCACCATGCACTAAGTGGTTTTGGCAGTGTTAGGTCTCCTGTTGCAAAGGCCAAAATTATCCCAAAATAGAAGCAAAGAAGCAGCATAGGCCAAGGAAGGCCTTAAAGAAAAGCATATGCATTAACATAAGAAGATTTTGGAAAGTAGATGAGAGGGATGTCTTCAGGCCAAAGAGAGGAAGAATCCAGTTTGGTTAAAGAAAGTGGCTAAAAAGATTCTGGCTAATTCTGAATACATTTTATGTCCATACTTTATCTAAGAGAAGAGTTTATCCATTAGCAACCTGCATCTGGGCACAGCCAACCTTTAAAACTATAATTGGTACCTTTCCCATTAGTAAATATTATGAATTGAATTGCTGTTCTTGCCCCTCCAAAATTCATATGTTGAAGCCCTAACCCTCAGTACCTCAGAATGTGACCTTATTTGGAAATAGGGTCATTGCAGGTGCAATTAGTTAAGATGAGGTCATAATGGAGTACAGTGGGCCCTAATCCAATACAACTGGTGTCCTTATGAAAAGGGAAAATCCTGACACAGATATGCACACAGGGAGAAGAATACAATGTGAACACCAAGGCAGGTATCAGGGTAATGAACCTGCAAGTCACGAAGGCCAAATATTGCCAGCAAACCACTAGAAAGTTAGGTGAGTAGCATGGAACGGATTCTCTCTCACCGCCCTCAGAAGAAACCAATCCTGCCCATACCTTGATCTTGGACTTCCAGCCTCCAGAACTGTGATACAATAAATTTCTGTTGTTTAAGCTGCCCAGTTTGGTACTTTGTTACAGCAGCCCTAGCAGACTAACACAGTAGAGCCCCTGTCAGATCATCAGTCGGCATATCTACATGTCTACAACAGCATCATTCTAGGTCACAGGGCATCCCCCCACCCCAGGTTCATTCCTTCTGCAGACCACTCTAGAGAAAACTCCGGCCTACCATATATAGATTGGTGTTCCTATATATGGTACTGGTTAGTTCACTTTTTCATTCCTCTGTTAAAGAAGGTATTTCCCAGCTTGAAATTTTTCATTTCTTTTTAGTTTCCAAACTAAAGTTTTTTAGTAAATAAAAATGCATACATTATTTCCTTATCCCTCATTGGATTAGAATGAAAGTAATATCTTTTTGAAAAGGCATTAGTTTCAAAATACAAGTAACCAGAATACTCATTGAATGCTTTTATAATCAGGATATGCACAATTACCTCTAGTATATGGTCTCAATTCCTATTTCATTATTTTTCTCCTGACAGTAAATATGCAAAACTCTTCTATATTTGAAGAGTTTTGTTTCACCAAGCCAAAAATCCCTCAAATATGAATCCTTCAAATTCTCTTTTAAAAAGTAAAATTAAAGCAGTAAAATAATCCTAACAAAAGGATAATAGTCAAAGTTGTGAGAGAAAAGGGTTTGGAGACTTTCAGCTACAATCAAATCCATGAGATGTGAATAAACTGGAAAAGAATCATAGACATAATAAGGCTAAGACATAGCTAATGTTTTCTATATTGAGTGTGGTTAAGTGTTTTAGTGAAATCAATTATTCCATTACAAAATTGTATAAATTCGGTAGTACTATTATTTTCACCATTTTATAGATGTAGAAACTGAGACACCAAGAAATTCTGTGAATTGCCCAAGGTCACAGAGCTAGTCATTGATGGAGTAGAAATGACCCCCAGGCAGCCTGACTCCACAGTTCACATGCTAACCCCTTGGTGACACAACTTCTTAACATTGTGGTTCATCGCCAATATTCATAAGTGAAATAAATACTAAATTTCAGTTACAGGATAATGAAAAGAAATATTTAAGTCCTTAAGCCCCCTGAATTAACTCTAGGTTAAGAAGCCCTGGTGTTGATAGACTTTAGAAGGCAGGTAACATGTCAATCTTATGAACTATTAAGTAGCTAGTACAAACCCTCAAACATACATGCACAATAGAAAAGACAGATTTGTGCTGCATTCCATCGGGTCGAATGCCATGATCCATGACTTGGCTCCCACAAAGCCCCAGTAACCCCTGCCTCTTTTGGTATCCAAAGTCATCCCACAGTCCTTGGGAACAAGGTCAGACATTAGACAGATACCCAAAATATCCTTGAAAAGTAAAAATAACGTATTATCAGAAAACATTTAACCTGAAAAGGGCCAGAAATTTGGAAGATGAAAGTTCAGCGGTAGAAAATGACTTGCCAACACAGTGTGAACCACGTGGTTTGCCAGATGTTAATTGCAATTGGCACTTCTGAGGCTGGTGTGAGATGTGTTGTCCTTCATATCCAAAGAGCTGTTTCTGACCTACTTTCTTCCTGACCGCCCCATTTGGAAAAAGGAGGAAAAAACTTTGAATTTGATTCTAAGTGTTTTACTGAGTTATTTTAATTATTTTGAAGGATAATGTGCTTTCATAAAACTTGAAATAGCAGTTTTCCTTAGAGCTCACACTTTATGTCAAGTGAGCAATTATGGCCTAGATTGAACACATTTGGACCTGACTCATTTTTCTATTAATATAGTAATAATCCCTCATGAATATTCATAATTCCTTCATTCGTACTGTATTTGCACATCTCCTTCAGATGAAACATCTTAAAACTTCCATTTTATCATGGGAAAAATAGGCATAGCAAATTTCAAACAAGTAACGTACATTTTTACCAAAATAGGGTTAGTTTTCTTCATTGATATTTAATTCTCAAATGAAACTCAAGCTGATTCAGACCTAGTCCTTGAAGGCTAACACATGAAATTCTTTCTTCCCACTCCCACATCATAAGGTCTCTCTGTCCCCTAGTAAAAGCATTGTTTATTCAATTCTTAACTGTTTAAATGTTCTAAACTTCCATTCATTTGTTCAACAAATATTTACTGAGAGCCTCCCATATGATAGGTGATGAACTAGACCTGGCAATGCAATGATAAATAAGAAGTGTCCTGATCCCTGAGGGTCTCATAGTGAGGAAGACAGATAAACCTAACCAGACTATAAGCTGGTTGGTGGTGTAATAGAGGCAGTAACTGAAGGCTGTGTAAGTACTAGGGAACTTACAATTTATCTTCCTAGAATATTAAAGAAAGGTTTCAAAGAGATAATCACCTACGGAGCTTCAGGAGGAGGCTGGTCACCAGAAAGACCAAGGCATGTTTAGAGGTTTGTGACTTTCAGCCCCACTCCCTGACCTCAGGGAGGTGAACATGTGGAGGTTTCCGGAGGGTGACCCACTAGGAAGGGCATGGAAGCTCTACACCCCTTCTCACATGTTTTGCCACATGTATCTCTTTATCTGTATCCTTTGTAAATCCTTTATGATAAACTGGTAAACATAATTAAGTGCTTCCTTGAATTCTGTGACCTGATCTAGCAAATTAATTGAACACAAGAAGAGGATCATGGGATCCCCAATTTATTGCCAATCGGTCAGAAGCACAGGTCAAACAAACTGGGGCTTGCAACTGGCATCAAAAGTGGGAGCAGTTTTGTGAGACTGATCCCTCAACCTGTGGGATCTGATGCTATCTCCAGTAATGTCAGAATTGAATTAGAGGACACAAAACTGGCGTCTGCTACAGAATTGATTGTTTGCTTGCTGGTAAGGAAAAAACCCCATACATTTGTCGCTGAAGTCTTCCATGTTGATTGTTATTGAGTAAGAGAAAAGAAAAAGAACTTTGAGTTTAAGTGTGTTTTTTCCACTCACAGCTTAAATAAAATGACATCCCAGGGTATGATGTTAAATTGCTAATGAGTTGATTAAATCAGGGAGGTCAAATGCCACGGGCAAAATTATAGGACAAGACTGCAATGGAAAAAAGCTTCATTTCAATGGAAAATTTGCCTCAGATATGTGTTTTGGAAACACACTGGGGTTTATATCTGGCAGCAATGTGGATCATGCCCATTCACTCATTCTTTACTGTCACCCTAATTAACCACCAGTGCCTTATGCAGACTTGCCCAGGAGGGAGGAGATTGTAGCCTTAAATATAAAAGGAGAGTGCTAGAAAGAAAAATTGAGGAAAGATGAAGTATGAGGCATAATGGTATGAAATAAGATAATGAAAAAATTGAAAAAAGCTGAGGGAGAACAGAGTAGAGGTAAAGGTGCTGAACCTGAATCTGTTTACTAGTGATTGAGAAGAAGAGTATAATATATAATAAGTATATAATAGCTTACCTCTGCTGTGTACTGGCTGGACTTCCAACTATCGGCACCTGTAGCCCTTTGCTCGAGAGCCTTTTTGGCTGCTACCACCCACTCTAGGGCGCACACAAAGGCTAGAAGGGGCAGAGGATTAAGGGCTCCTGGGAACAGTCCTCAACCAATGTCTGGCAGGAACTGTTAGATAAATCTCCCAGCTCCTGTGCCCCTTGGATGGGATAACTCTGAGATATGTGTTTTATCTTTCAAACCAGACTAAGCTCTTATTGCCCAGAGTGGGCACCCTTGATGACACATTCTTATTAGCTGCCTTCCCTGCCCTTTCTCACTTCCCCACTCCGCTACTGGTATCTCCTAGGATCACCTCACAAAGAAACAACTTGTACTTGAATTCTCATCCCAACTGTTGATTAGAAAGAAAGTAGGTGTGAGGGAACAAATGAGAATGGAAAAGTGAAAGGTTGAAAAGTGAATATGAAAAACAAAACAGTAAGAGGCAGGAAAGACAAAAAGGAAAGTTGCCACATCCTTGAAGAGATGAAACAGAAGAATCCAACTATATATCCCTTAAAGCAGAGGTTTTTAACTTGGACTGCACGTTAAAATCGCCTACGATTAATAAAAACAAAAACTAACAGTACTCAGGTCCCATGCACATAACAATTATAAATGTACAAGGTCTGTCTCCTGCATCTCCTGCCCTCCAGTCCCTCCTCTCATAGTTGATACTGTGTTGTTGTGATCAAGGGAATAGGTAGAAATGCATACTTGTTAGAGCAAGTGGCTGGAAATGAATGAAAAAGGAAGGAGAAAGAAAAGAAAAGCTAGCTGAGTATTGAATAAATATCTGCATCACTCTTGAAGTCTTTGGAATTAGAATAGGTTTTTCTTTTTCTTTTTCTTTTTGAGACAAGATCTTGCTCTGTTGCCCAGGCTGGAGTACAGTGGCACGATCATAGCTCACTGCAGCTTCCACCTTCTAAGCTCAAGCAGCCCTCCCGCCTCAGCCTCTCGAGTAGCTGGGACTACAGGCATGCACCACCAAGTCAAGCTATTTTTTTTTCTTTAGTAGAGACAACGTCTTGCCATGTTGCTCAGGCTGGACTTGAACACCTGAGCTCAAGCTATCCTCCCACCTCAGCCTCCCAAAGTGCTGGAATTACAGGCATGAGCCACGGCACCCAGCCTACATTTATCTTTTAAATGTACCACCACACTGAGGCTGGCCTCAAGGTGGTCTAGTTTTTTCACATTCAAAATAACAATTTTTCTAATATGCATTTAATCTACAAAATCTGCAAGAGGAATAAATAAATATGCCTAAGAGAGAACACGTGGCTGGGCCCAGGAGTTCCTTTTACTTCACTTGGGACAAATCCAGTAGACTAGATGACTCTGATTAATGATCTCTATTGTCTTGATTTGGGAGTAAAAAATAATTTCTGATTTGATTTTGGACAAGCTTTTAAGGAAAACAATCAGACTGGTCAATGTTTGTTAAGCATTGGATTGGCAGGAAGTCCCAGGTTGGGAATAGATTAAGGATCAACCCCAGGGATTATTATTGAGTGAACCAAGAGTTCTTAGTTTAATGAATGGGATGAAAATAAACACTGCAACACATGCAAGTCCCCCAGATTTTATCTCCTCAAAAAGGAGGATGAAAATTAGTGACATATATATTAGCAACACCCCCGCCCCCAAAGAAATCTATAGCAAATTTAGAACTGGAAGAAAAATCAAGTTCACTTTCATTCTTCAGTTACTCTTCATTGGTATCATTATACTACCATTTTAAAGATGATTGGTGGTAGATGATGTTGTAGGTGCAATAGAAAGAGTTGGACTTTGAAGTAAACACAATTGGATATGAATCTCAGGTCACTAGGTATATGTTCTGGCGAATACTTCATTGTGTTGTTGCCAGGATTAAATGAGATAGAGAAATACAGAGCATGTGCCTAGTGCATAGCAACTGCTCAATAAAATTGACCAGTAGTCATCACAGTAGCATTAGTAATAATAATATTAATATTATATAATAACTTTTCTGAACTTCATTTTCTTCATCTATAAAGTGAAACAAATAAGACCGACTTTGTAAAATTCTGAGAATAAGTTTGCAAATGAAATAACTTATTTAAAATGCCTAGAGCAGCATCTGGTTCAAAGCAGGCATTCGATTAATGCAGCAGCTATTGTTATTGGCTTGTTTTTGTTTGTCCAGGACCTCATGACCTTTTCTCACTGATCCTTGTCCCCATCCCCTGGACATTTCTTCAAAACCCCTGGAGGTCAGTTTTGTGGCAGTGACCCATAGTTATCTCTCCACCATGGTACACACAACATGCAATTACAAATGTCTATTATCTTCATTAAAACAATAGTTAGGAAAGCAAAGCTGGTTTGGGTTTGGTTGTTATTCTAAGTTCTCCTTCCCTGATTCCTTTGGCATTCTTTTCTGCACTGGCACTTTTTAACTGCTACCAACCTCCTTTTAGTCACTGTTTAAATATAAGTATTTTTTATCTGAGGGAAGGAAGCTGAATTATTGCATAAGACAGTCCTCAGGGCAGTTGCATTTGAAGACCTCTACTCCAGACAGATTGTGATATAGTGAAATCTCCATTCTGAACAGCCTTGTGCAATTTTTTGCTTGGACAATGGAAGGAGCAGCCCAAAGAACAGGTAAAATGGGAGAGAACCAAAATCCTACTCTTATGAAACACAGGATAAGCCAAGTGGTATCAAGTGGACGATGAAAAATGAAGGCTGCTTCTTGTTTGGTAACTTATTTATAAGCCTCAAGTAATCTCCATTTTGTTGAAAGGGACCTTTAATCTTTGAAATAGGTCAAATCCAAGCTTTGATTAAACACCTTTATGGTGAATTTCTGAAGCATCTGAATTTACAAAATGTGGCTCCTGAGAAAGTGAACTGTGCAGAGAAATCTGGCTCATGATGACAAACTCAAGCACAGAAGAAACAATCATCTCCTGTTCCACTCAGGTTGCTGAGGTTGCTTTTTCATTTTTTTTCAATTTCCTTTTGATTTAATGTTAATCGTTTCAAACAAGCAATGAATATAGACTAAACATGGTCTACATTTTTATTAACTATTAAATCCTACAGGACTAGCATTCCCATTTTCCATTTCCTCTCCTCTGTCCCAATTCAACAAAATTATGAAATAAAATACAGACTGATTCAATCAGCTTATTATTTTCAAAAACATATTAATTTTTTGAATAGTAAATTAATCGATGTTCATTGTAAAAGGTATGCAGAAATTTCACAAAGGCCAAAAGGGAGAAAAAAATCACACATAACCCCACCAGAGAAATAAACACTATTAACATGTTGATGAAGATTGTGCTTGTACTTTTCCATGCATTTATATGTTTATTTCATCAGAATCATAGTACACATATTGCTTTTGTGATCACACTTTAAAGTCATTCAATATCTCTCTCAGCATGATTTTAAATGGCTGCATAGTATTCCATCAAATAGATAATTTAGATAGCCAATCCCAAATTTTTGAACATTTGGGTTGTTTCTAGGTATTTTTGTTATTTTGACACTTCAGGGAACATTCCTGTACATATATCTTTGGGCACATCCATGAATATTTCTCTAAGATAAATTCCCAAGAGCGAAGTTTCTGTTCAAATGGCATGCTCATTTTAAGAGTGTTTTAAGGATATTTTTTACTTTGTAGAGCCTACCACAATTGCAACTAAATGACTATTCTTGTAATTATTTTTCCAGTGACTGACTTTCCAAGTAGTTAACAAATTCCAACAGTTTGGCTCCCAATCTATATCTCCCTCACTGTCTTTCATGCCTGAAAAAAAAGTGTAAAAATCTTTTGTCAAGAACATGTGTCTATGTTTTTAGCTTGGGAAACATGGTAGCCATAACCATATGCCATGAAAGCAAAATATTCAGTAAAGTTTCAGATATTTGCACACCTAACATTGAGTTGTTCCTTATATCCAGTAACTTCTAGAAGGGCAGGCATCTCATATCTGCTTACACCTGTGTCTGCAGATACAGTATAGCAGCTGGCACATAGTATAAGCTCAAAAACAATTTCCTGAATGAATACATGAATGAATGGTCACCTGGTAAGGGGTATATCAATTTACATTCCCACCAATAATGAGAAGAGCTTCTCTCTCACAATCTCAGTCAGCTAACTTTTAGGCAAAAATTCTACATATCCCACAAGTGCTCAGTTGTTTAAGAAAATATATTTTAATAGCTTAAGCAGATAAAACTATCTAAAGGAGTCACTCAGTCATACCAAATTTAAAAGCATATGATGTTTATTTACCCACATCACATGTAATATGATGATCATTCTAGAGGAACAGTGTCTAATAGAAATATGATGTAAGCCACACATATCATTTTAAACTTTCTAGTAGCCACAATTTTAAAATTAATAAGAACTGAATGAAATCACTTTTAAATATATTTTATTTAATCCAATATTTCTAAAATATCACTCCAACATGTATTAAATATTGATAATAAAAATTACCAATAGTTTATATTCTTCTTCTCATACTGTGTTCAAAATCCAGTGTGTTTTACAGCACAACACAACTCGGACACAAAATTTCCATCAGAAATACTTGACCTCTGTTTAGATTCCATAACATTTACAGTTGTTCCATACTCAAGGGGTTCCGAATACTCATACCTAAATTCTTCCAAATATACTTCAAAGTTTTTCAATTACTGAATCGAGTCATTTTTAATTCAAATTAAATAAAATTAAATTCCTCAGTCACACTCATCATATTTCGAATGCTCAATAGCCACACATAGCTAGTGGCTATTATATTGAACAGTGTTGCAGAGGCCAACCCTTTACGTGTCTTTTGTATGGTCCATTAGCATTTAATAAGTTATCATACAAATTAGTTCTTATCATCCCTGTTTTCAGATGAGGACATAGAAGCTTTGAGAAATTGTCACTCATATAAGACCATACAGCTAGAGATTAGTTAAGACTCACATCTAGGCATGTGGCCCCCAGATGCTGAATCCTTTCCTCTGTCTCACTAGCTGAAAGAACAGCAAAATGAAACATCTGTGTTAGGTGTGCAAATATCTGAAACTTTCCTAGATACTTTGCTTTCATGGCATATGGTTATGGCTACCATGTTGCCCAAATTAAAAACATAGACACATGGTTTTGACAAAAGATTTTTGCACTTCTTTCAGGCGTAAAAGACAGTGAGAGATAGATAGTTTGGAAACTAAAATGCTAGAATTTGAGGACATTTCAATAGTTTATAGCAGTGGTTTCTAACTTCTTTTAGGCAGCAGAACCTGTTTGTCCATGAGATCTTAGGTAGAACGCCAGTGTATAAAATCATCAAAGCTGCTGTACTAAATCACAGGTAAGGGCGCCCAGAGTATTGCCACTCGACATCCTCCTCTGCCAAATCCTCTCCTCACCATGGCAGCCCCTGAGGTAAAACCCCAGAACCCAAAAATGGCATGAAACAGCATTTTAAAACCCCCCTTCAGAAAGGACCTCTGCTTTCAGAAAGATGAAATAGATGTATTTTTCCCTATTTCAACAACTAAGTACAGCTAAACCCCCCCGGACATTATATATAAAACAAATATGAGAAGACCCAGAAAGGTGGAAAGGAAATGGTAGATGAACCAAGGGCCTTGGGGCCTGAAGAACAGCACAGTGGTAAATTCCTTCTTTTTTTGTTTGATTTTTGTTTTTGCCACAAATATACCAGCCTGGATGCTGGAGAAGCCAGCAAACTGGAAAGTCCAATGGGCGCAGACAAGAAAAGCCTGCACTCTCTAACCAGAGGACCAGGAAACGGACAGCCTAGAAAGACAGAAAACTTTTAGACAATAACTTCTTTACTCCAGCTAAACACAATAGAGAATACTACAGCCCCTACCCCCATCTTCATCAGCAAATGGTGAATGGGAAAACCATACTTCCACACTTGCCAGCCTGTAACAAGGCACCACAAAACCCCCCTCTCCCACCAGGGTGTTGTCAGAGAAGGCCACATGAGGACTTTATTTCTGCTCACCCACCTCCTGGTGTCTGTGGAGACTACGTGGGGAACCTGGACTTTCATTCCCATTTGGCAGTAATGAAGCACCCCTCGCGCAACTGGAGTGGTGTCAGAGGAGGCCTGATGAAGAGTTAAGACTTTCACCACCACCCAGTGGTCATGAGGCCTCCCGCCCATGGTGTCAATGGAGGCTACATGGGGAGCAGTAAAGTACTGCTGTTTCTTACAGTCACAGTTATATGGGCAGAAGCCTACTAAGGAAGAAACCTGAATTCCCACCACAACCCAGCAGTAATCAGAAGTCCCTCCTCCACCCCCAGGTATCACTGGAAGCCAATGGAGAGCCTAGATTTGTAGTGCCACCTGGAAGTAACAAGGCAGCACCCCTCCTTCTCTCTGCCAGAGTGATGTCAAGAGATGCTAGCTAAAACAGAACATTTAAATAAGACCCAGAATCTCATAACATAATAACCAAGATGTTCACCTTTCAACCAAAAATTATTCTTCATGCCAAGAACCAGGAAGGTCTCAACTTGAACAAGAAAAACAATCAACAGATACGATTGCTGAGATGACACAGATGTTACAATTATCTGACAAGAATTTTGAAGAAACCATCATAAAAATGCTTCAAGAAGCAATTATGAACATGCTTGAAATGAATAAAAATCAGAAAGTCTCAGCAGAGAAATAGAAAATACAAAGAAAAACCAAATGAAAATTTTAGAACTGAAAAATACAATAACCAAAATTTTAGAAAAACCTCAATAGATGTGCTTGAAAGCAAAATGTAGAGGTTAGATGACAGATAATCAGTGAATTTGAATATAGAACAATAGAAATTACCCAATCTGAACAACAGAGACAAGATCAACTGAAAAAAAAATGAATAGAACCTCAGAGACCTGTGGAACTATAACAAATGATGTAACATCTATATCATCAGAGTCTCAAGATGAAAGGAGAAAGAGGGTCAGGCTAAAAAAGTGTTTCAAGAAATAATGGCTAAAAAAATTCCAAATTTGGAATAAGACATAAACATATCCAAGAAGCTAAGCTCACCCCAAACAGGATAAACCCAAGGAATTTCACAGAAAGATACATTAGAGTCAAACTTCTGAAAATTAAAGACAAAGTAAAAATCTTAAAAGCAGTGAGAGAGAAATGACACCTAACCTGTAGGGGAAAAACAATTCAAATAATATCAGGCTTCTCACAAGAAACTAAGAAGGCCAGAAAGAAGTGTCACAAGATTTCTCAAGTCCTGAAGAAAGAGAAAAGAAGAACTGCCAATCCAGAATTTTATATCAGTGAAGATATCCTTTGAGAATAAAGGGGGAAGCAAAGACATTCTCAGATGAAGGAAAAATAAGGAATCTGTCACCAGCAGACCTATGCTGAAATAATAGCTAATGGAAATTCTCTAGACAGAAAGGAAATGATCAAAGAAGGAAATCTTGGAACATTAGAGAGAAAGAAACAATAATAGAATAAAAATATGGGTAAATACAATAGGCCTTCCTTCTCTTCTTGAGTTTTCTAAATTATGTTTGACAGTTGAAGCAAAAATTATAACATTGACTGGTTGATAATGGTTTGGCTGTGTCCCCACCCAAATCTCATCTTGAATTATAGCTCCCATGATTCCCACATGTCATGGGAGGGACCCAGTGGGAGGTAATTGAATCATGGGGACAGGTCTTTCCCATGCTGTTCTCATGATAGTCAATAAGTTCATGAGATCTGATGGTTTTATAAAGGGCAGTACTCCTGCACATGCTCTCTTGCCTGCTGCCATGTAAGACGTGACTTTGCTCCTCACTCGCCCTCTGCCCGATTGTGAGGCCTCCACAGTCATGTGGAACTGTGAGTCAACTAAACTTCTTTCCTTTATAAATTACCCAGTCTTGGGTATGTCTTTATTAGCAGCATGAGAGCAGACTGGTGTAGTTCTCAATGTATGTAGAGAAAATATTTAAGACAATTATAAATGGGGGGAGAGTAAAGGGACACAAAGGTAAGTAAGGTTTTCACATTTCACTTGGACTGATAAAAAATGTTGACACTAGTAGATCTAGTAAGTTATATATATGCAATATAGTAAAGTTATTCAAAGAGGTACACTCCGTAACACAATAAATCAAATAAACACAAATAAATTACAAAAAACAAAAATAAAATGGAATTCTAAAGAATGTTCAAGTAACCTACAGGGGGAAAAACAGGAGAAAAAACAGAGAAATGAAAAACAGAGAGAACAAACAGAAAATAAAAAAGAAACTGGCAGACTCAAGCCATAGCATATGAATAATTACATTAAATGTCAAAAGTCTAAATACACCAAGTAAGAAATTGTCAAAATGAATTTTTAAAAAATGTAACCTAACTATATACTGTCTACAAGAAAACTCACTTCAAATCTAATCATACAGGTAAGCTAAAAGTAAAAGGATGAAAAAGATATACCATGCAAACATTAATCCAAAGAAAGTAGGATTTGTTATATTAATATAAGATAGTAAAGTTCAGAGCAAAGAAAATGACCAGGGACAGAGAGGGACATTAGATAATAAAAGGGCTAAACAGCCAAGAAGACAAAGTAATCCTAGTGCGTAAAACAGCAGAGCTGAAAAATATGTGAAACAAAAACCGACAGAACTAAAATGAGAAATAGAAAAATCCTCAGCAACTGATAGAACGACAACTAGAAAAAAATCTCCAAGCATATAGAAAAGAGCAACCCCATCGGCCAACATGATCTAATCACCATTGATAGAACACTCCACCAAAGAACAGTAGAATATACATTATTTTCTTCTTTGTTTTTGTCTTTTTGTTATTTGGGGATGGGGAGTCTCCATTGGCTTTTTCTAACTTTTATTTTAAGTTCAGGGGTACATGTACAGGTTTGTTATATTGGTAAACTTGTGTCATGGGGGTTTTACTTACAGATTATTTTGTTACCCAGGTATTAAGCCTAGTACCCATTAGTTATTTTTCCTGATCCTCTCCCTCCTCCCATCCTCCACCCTCCAGTAGGCCCTAGTGTGTGTTGTTCCCCTCTATGTGTCCATGTGTTCTCGTCATTTAGCTCCCACTTATCAGTGAGAACATGTGATATTTGGTTTTCTGTTCCTGCATTAGTTTGTTAAGGATAATGGCCTCCAGCTCCATCCATGTCCCTGCAAAGGATATAATCTTGTTCCTTTTTTATGGCTGCATAGTATCCCATGGTGTATATGTATTTACCACATTTTCTTTTTCTTTTTTCTTTTTTTTTTTTTTTTGAGACAGAGTCTTGCTCTGTCTCCCAGGCTGGAGTGCAGTGGTGTGATCTCCACTCACTGCAACCTCCACCTCCCGAGTTCAAGCAGTTCTCGTGCCTCAGCCTCCCAAGTAGCTGGGATTACAGGTGTGTGTCACCATGCCCGGCTAATTTTTGTATTTTTGGTAGAGACAAGGTTTCACCATTTTCGCCAGGCTGGTCTCGAACTCCTGACCTCAAGCAATCCACCCACCTCAGCCTTCCAAGTGCTGGGATTACAGGCATGAACCACCGTGCCCAGCCCCACATTTTCTTTATCCAGTCCATGATTGATGGGCATTTAGGTTGATTCCATGTCTTTGCTATTGTGCTGCAATGAACATATGCAAGTATGTGTCTTTATAATAGCATGATTTATATTCCTTTGGGTATATAGCCAGTAATAGGATTACTGGGTTGAATAGTATTTTTGTCTTTAGGTCTTTGAGGAATTGCCACACTGTCTTCCACAATGGTTGAACTAATTTACACTGCCACCAACAGTGGAATATACATTACTTGCAAGTGCCCACAGAAAATACACTGAGATAGACATATTCTGGGCCACAAAACAAACCTCAATAAATTCAATGAATTGCAATCATACAGAATGTATTCTCTTTCCACCATGGAATCAAACTAGAAATCATTAACAGAAAGCTAACCAAAAAATCCCCAAACATGTGAAACCTAAATAACATGCTTCTAAGTATTCCAGTGGTCAAAGAGGAAGTCTCCAGAGAAATTATAACAAATACATTAAATGAAATGACAGTGAAAACAAAAAATATCAAAGGTTGTGGAACACAGCTAAAGCAGTGCTGAAAGGTAAATTTACAGCATATATTAGAAAAGAAGAAAGGTCTCAAATGAATAATCTAAGCTCCTACCTTCAGAACCTAGAAATAGAGCAAAATAAACCCAAAGCAAGCAGAAGGAAGGAAATAATAAAGATAAAAGCAGTAGTCAGTGAAATTGAAAACAGAAAAACAATAAAGAAAATTGGTGAAAAACAGCAATCTCAAAAGGTCGCAGACTGTATTATTCCAATTATATAACATTCTCCAAATGACAAAAACATAGATGGAGAACAAATCAGTGATTGCCAAGGGTTGAAAAGGATGTGGGGAGATGGTGGGTATAACTGTATATGGGTGGCATGAGGGAAGTCTTTGTGATGATGGAACAGTTCCACATCTTGATTATGGTTCCTTGAATCTGTAACTATTTCAAAATTAAAAGATTTTTTTAAACGGTAAGACTGAACCATATCAAATGTTGGTAAGAATGTGGAGTAACTGAAACATTCATACACTGCTGGTGGTCATATACAGTGATACAATCACTTTGGGAAACAGTCTGACCACACATATTAAAGCTATACATATATGTATATGCATATGTGTGTGTGTGTGTGTGTGTGTGTGTATACACACACATATACATACATATATCTTTTGGTTTGACAATTTCACTCCTTGGTATATACTCAAGTGAAATAAGAGCATATATCCACCGAAAGATATGTCGAAGAATGCTCATAGTACTTTTATTTATAATATCCAAAGACTAGAAGCAACTCAAATGTCCATAACCATTAAAATACATGAGTAATTAAGGTATATTCGTACAACTGAAATGAGACAGCCCTGAAAAGAATTGGCTACTGCTACACGCAACCACATTGAGGAATCTTAGAGACACTTTGTTGAGCAAAAGAAACTACACACAAAAGAATACATATTTTATGATTCCTTTTATGCAAAAATCAAAAACTGGTAAAACCAACCAATAGAGGTGATGGAAGTCAGAACACTGATTATCTCAGGCGAGGAGTATGGGTGTGGACTGGGAAAGGGCATGAAGGAGCCTTCTGAGGCTGTGGAAATAATCTATATCTTACCCTGAGTGGTATTTACATGGGTATATACCTATGTAAAACTTCATTAAGCTTATACTTAAGATTAGTGCACTTCACTGAATGTAAGTAAAAATAATAAGTAAAAAAACAAGAAATGAAAAACCAAACCATTCTTTTTGGGAGACTGTTCTGCAATGCTGGGCTATTGTGTCACTTTGAATAAGACCAAAGTGAGAACTGTGCATGATGGACCCATATATATCCTCCCGCTCTTTTGGAGGCCTGCTCCATGGAATGCTTTTCTCACCTTTGCACCTCCCTTGGTGGCATTATTTAAACCCTATATCTGGTGTCCCTGATACTTAACCCAAGCAATGGTTCAGTTACATTATGCATTTACTTACCTCTATGAAAGACATTATCACACCTTGGGCGAGTATCTGTTTACAAATATTTGCAGGGAGGAAGACAGCACAGTGGTTAGGGGTGTGGGCTGGGGAGTCAGATTGCATGGGTTTGGATTCCCACTTTGTCACCTACTAACCCAACTTTGGGAAAGATCTTAAGCTCCAGGGCTCTGCAGTTTCCACTTCACAGTAGGACTATCCATTGAACACCAAATGAAAGATAGGTAAGAGAGACAAGATAATATACCAGTCTCTCTGGAGGACAAGGAGCAAATCTGATTCATTCTTAGGTCCCTAGCATTTAATGCAGTGCTTTGCACAACACAAATAACTGATAGAGCCTAATGGTTAAAAGCAAGGGTTTTGGAGCTACACATACCTGGGTTCAAAACCCAGCTCCACCACTTACCAATTGTGTGGCTTTGTGCACACACACACTTCTCTGATATCAATCTCCTTGTGATAAAATGAGAGAATTAAATGACATAATTTATGGAAAGTGCCTAGCACAGTGTCTGATACCTAGTAGAAGCTAAAAAATATTGATCTAAAAATTCAGTTGAATGGAATTTAACTGACAAAGGATTGTAGTTGATTCTACAAAATGGACAATTGTACCTCTCTGACTAATCTGGAAAAGTCTGCTTGGTGTTTAGAAGAAAATGTTTGCCCTTAGAGTGTCCATCACAGCTGAAATGTATAATGTGTGTTTGTGGGAGGTGACCTTCTTTCACCTCAGACTCAAGGGGAGACAGGTGGGAAGTGCTCCCACTGGGGCAAAATGCCAGCGGGAGGGGAAAGAAAAGCAAATGTTTCCACCCCTCCTTCTGGATAAAGGCAAAGTACTGTGCGGAGGCTGGTATGTGGCACTGGGCCCACTGAAGGGTATTGATTTTTTCTTTCCAGGAAGAAATGCACATTACTCATTTTTAAATAGGCTGTCTTGTTCTGGACAGTAACTCCTGTGACTTTGAAATAACGCACTTGCGTGTTTTAGGTATAGGCTGCTTTTGGAGGGAAGGTGTGCTGTTTTGATTAAGTGGGTACACAGGAGAGCTCTGTTCTTGGTACCATGACTAATGGGATAAATATCTTTAGCCCTGCTCTGTTCCTGTTCCTCACTCAACTCTCAAGGCACATGACCTCCCTAGAGCTCATTATGACTAAGAACTTGTTCTATGGTGCTGTCTTCTCCCTTGCGGTCAAATGTGTTATTCTAACGGTGGTTTGAAAAGTTCCTAGTCCAGTATCACTTTGCCTGGCACTTATCACTTTTCCGAATATTTCTGCAGCACCGTATTATTCAGTCCTCACAGCACCTACCCAGTGAGGTAACATACCGACCTATTTCACAGCTGAAAAAACTAAGGCACAGGGACAGAAATGGAGGGCAAAAAGAATGGGACTTAACCAGCCTGAAGAAGGAGGAGCTGCAGAGACACTTAGGACCTCATTAATCATTTAATTAATTAGTTAAATAAATACGCAGCAGGTGGTGCTTTTCCTACTAAGAAAAAGACCAGGAAAAAAATAGATACATTGAAACACTGGAAATTTAAATCAGATACTTAGGGATGCATCCCCAAAATATACTGGCACACCCTACTTTATGGGATAGGGATTCCAAAAAGTTGTACTAAATATCATTTGCTTCTATATTCATGAGTTGATTCATTAATTAGTTCTATAAATATCTACTGCATGTCTCTCCAGTACAATACATACTGGAGAAATGAGAAAAGGAAGAAAAACATGCGTCATGAAGAAGTTTACCATATAGGAGAGGAGATTTGAAGATACACAGATAAAACGGAATACGGAAGTGCCATTAGGTTTTCAGAGGAGGAAGGGGCCTGCGGGAGCAGCAAGCAATCCCAGGGAGGGTTTCGTAAAAGGCATCTTTGAACCTCAAGCAGCTCTGAGCACAAATGGAGAGGGCAGGAGAACTCACCAGAGACCAGGGCTGGCATAAATAAACACATCAGAAGCCGGAAAGCACAGGATTTTGTCACCAAGTCTAAATTACTACCATTGAACCTATTACTACAGAGGTCTATTTATAATGCTTGGGGGAAGGGAATTTCTAAAGAACATGAACTAATTTCTCTCATAATGTGGATTCTCTTCCCTTAGATTCTGCTTTTTGCAAGTTCGAAGCAATGTCTTGTGTGCTTTCTGGATAGCAATTGTGTTAATTCTGTCTGGCAGGGATATGGCAGAGGAGAGAACCTTTCCTAATTGTATCTGGATGTTATTTTTAGTACAAATCAGTCGCAATGAAGGCTCACAGATTAGGCTAGATTGTGCTTTGCAACTTCTCACCCCAGAGAATTTGGTCTAGAAGGCCCATTGAAAAAAATACCTGGGATTTCCAGCTAAGCAGGTTCTGTACCATCCAAAATTTGTATAGCCTCACTTGGTAAGCATGAAAGTATACAGCTGTATCATCCTGGGCTTAGTGCTCACCTACTGTGAATGTGTCCCAGGCAGCTGTTCTCCTGGCTGTCCTCAGTAGATGACCTTTAGGGAGAAACCTAAAAATGAGGTGTAAAGTCCCTTCCCAGCAGACTGTAGGTCAGGGGGATTAGAACACCACCTGGTTTGTACCCTCATGGAATTACTAATCTCAATGACCTGGAATGACCTTTGCAGTTATTTTTAAGCCAAGTCGTTGGGGATTAGTCATCACCTAGAATTTAATATGTGTGTTTCTTGGCCTTATAACAGAAGACTTTGCCCAGTACACATGCCATATATTTACCCTCAAGTGCAACATGTAATAAAAACTGTGCTGTTCTGTAGTAGTTGTTCATATTATAGTTCCAGATGATGGATCATCTTGAGCCTTTAGCTGCTCATCTTGGTCTCCAAAAGGGAATTTCTTCAGCAATTATTTCCCACAAGTAGGCTTGGATCAGGATCTGCTCTTACTTTGATACCGTCCCCCAAAAACCAAGAGCCATCAGGGATTTTCTCCCTGTATCCACAGGAGGGGTACAAGAGACTTTCTAACTTGGGGAAAATTCCCACAAGGTCAAGGCTTTTTGGTTGCCAGGGCCCTTATTTCCTAGATGGCCAGCATTTGGCCAACAACTTGGTCCTTCTGCCACATCCACCAGGCTCACTGGGCCTCACCCTCTGCCTGTTGCCTTCCTGGCTGCCCAGTCTCCCTGTCAGTCTTCTCTGCCCCACTCTCCCTGGAGCACCTGCAGTCTTTCTACAAAGGAACAATTCACCAGGCTCCTGAAGCTTCTGCCTTCACCATGGGCCTAACTGAATTGCAGCATCTTATAGGAAAACTGCATGGTCCATCTTTTCCAACCCTTTATTTTCCTTGCATTTGGCTCTGATCCTTCACTTGACTCTTGCCTCAGCTCTCTGGACATGGCTACGTGTCCTGTCTTTGCAAATCCCTATGGCCTGTGTTGGTACTACTGATACCATGTCTATATGTAAAAAACATCCAGCAATTCCACTCCTAGATATACATATACCCAAAAGAATTAAAAGCAGGGACTCAAACAGATTTCTGTACACCAATGATCACAGCAGCATTATTCACAATAGCCAGAAGGTGGAAACAACCAAATGTCTATCAACTAACTAATAGATAAACAAAATGT
Source organism: Homo sapiens (assembly GCF_000001405.40). Taxonomy (NCBI): domain Eukaryota; kingdom Metazoa; phylum Chordata; class Mammalia; order Primates; family Hominidae; genus Homo; species Homo sapiens. The sequence continues at coordinate 21,801,592 of NC_000023.11, forward strand.
GGTACAATCATACAATGGAATATTATTCAGCCATAAAAAGGAATGAAATTCTAATACATGTTACAACATGGATAAATCTTGAGGACATTACACTAAATGAAATAAACCAGACACAAAAGGACAAATACCGTATGATTCCACCTATATGAAATATTTAGAATAGGCAAATTCACAGAGATAGAAAGCAAATTAGAGGTTACCAGAGGCTGAAGGGAAGGGGAGTGAGGAATTGTTGTTTAATGGGTTCAGAGTTTATGTTGGGGATGACGCAAAAGTTCCGGGTATAGATAATAGTGACGGTTACATAGCTTGATAATATAGTTAATGCCACTGAATTATACACTCACAAATGGTTGAAATGATAAATATTATGTTATGTATATTTTACCACAATTTTTTAAAAACTGATTTTTAAAAGTCTCTTTTTTCAATTTAAAAAAAAACACTTTTTAAACAATTTTCTTTTTTCAGTGCCCTCCACCCACTTTGACTCTCAATACACCTGTGGACAGTAGTTGGCACATAGATATGCTCACATATGGAAAATGGATGAGCTTACATAAGGATAGAAGTGCCTATACGCCTCACCATGTCAAGCAGAGTTTATTCAGCAGGACTGCTGAAGCCTTGCAGAGTTACAAAGACAGATACACTCCTCAGGAAAATAGTTAGGGCCTGCGTTTCTTAAGACAGCAGAGAGAAGAAGCAGAGGCAACTGAAAAGGAGGGAAGCGCTGTCTTATGCCAGAAAGTGGGAAGGTACACTGAGCTCATTCCCCCACCCTACGCCTATTCCTCAAGCTTCTTTCTTGGATCAGCACAACTGTAGGAGAAACCTCAGCTCTGAACAGCCTTTCTGTCCCTGGCACCGTTGCTTCCCCAAGAGGGCAGCGTCTCTGGAATCTGTCCAAGAGCAAAATGGATTTTTAGGGATCAAAGACTTAATTCACATGAAAAGCAAGGTTTACAGCTGGGCAGAATTACTGTTTAGTGCTTTTTTTTCTCCTTTCTGTAATTTATATCTGGTGTGTTAGAAAACCCTGGGGAAAAATGAATGCGATTTTTTTTTTCAATTAAGACTGACTCCAGCAAAATTTTCATTATACTCCCCAAACCTCAAAATTAAAAAGACACCATGAGTACTTATAGAAATGTTCCTCAATGTTCTAAATAATTTCTTTAAGATGTACTCTATAATTTTTATTGTGTCTCTGTATTTAAAATTCACTTTCTAAATAGGTAAATGTCCATGTCAGGCAAAGATCAACACTCCATTTTGTACACAGAAAATAGAAGTACAGAGAGGAAAAGTAGCAGCCTACTTTGGTTTGTTTGTAGGAGAGACAGGACTAGAGCCAAAACCTCCTGACTCTAAAAATCCAGGCCTCTTTTCCAAAATACCATTTTGAACAGATGCAAAGCAAGGATCAAGATCAGGTTTCTGGACCAGGGACAAAGCAACAAGTCATCAGTATGAGAAATGCTGAGAAGTGAGGGATAAAGCACCAAGAACTCAAAATCTTCAGGACTGAGAGGGGCAGTTTCTGGGCCATAACCTTTCAGGATTCATGGGTTCCAACCAGGTTGGACCCACCTGCCAGACATGCTGGGATAATGCCTTTGCTGAAGGTCTACCAGGGAGGCATGAGTAGGCGGAACTGGGTAGGCCTGGGACTAAGGGAGCTGCCTTTGCCTTGGGTGGCCTGTAGTTCAAATCAAAATGTTCAAAATTATAGGGAAGCCTTGGGTCTGGAAGGACATCAACACAGAAGGGGGTTCAAGTCAGTGAATGGGACACCATGGGCAGCATCTATGGACAGATTCTACATCTTAGGGCAGGAGAGTGGGATATCCTGAGTCTCAGCCAGTAGTTGAAGATAATCAACTCAAGCACCATGGAGAAAAAGAGAAATGCAAGAGTTGGGATGGCTATCAAAGCCTGGTCACACAAGGGCCTGATTGAGGAGGAAAAAAAAAAAAAAACAGCAGTTCAGCTACACAAGCTAGACACACAGGGTGAGAGTTTAAGTATCATTTGGGAACGCTTCGTGTTGTGAATAACAGCAACTAACAGTGTTAGAAGCAACTAATAGTGACTTAAGCCTTAAGAGCATTCATTATTTACAGAATAAAGAATCCAGAGATAAGCAGTCCTAGGATTTGTTCAGCAGTTCAATGATAACATTGAAACTTCAGGATTTTTTCATCCTTCCCCTCTACCATTCTTCAGCATATTCACTTTTTGCCCTTAAATGTGTTACCTAATGATCACAAAATTGTTGCCACAGCTATACGCATCAGATCCTCACATAATTGGCCCTAAAAGAAAAAAGTAGGGGAAAATATTTTTTAAAGAGTTCTCCTTATATCTAATTAGCGAGAGATGTGTCACATGACTACCCACAAAAGCAAGTAATATTTGACCTTTTTATCTCTCTAGTGTGCGGAAGGCAAGGGAAAAAGAGGAATGGTTATTGAATAACCACGCAACAGTGTCTGCTGCAGTGTGGCAGGGAGGTTGCTGCTTCATGTGAAATGGTGGGGCCCAGGGTCTCTCCATCAAGCATCCCAGATACCAGGCTTGGACAGCCAGACCAATTCCAGACTCCCTTTCCCTGGTGAGAATGCAGCTTCTAATACTCTTGTTCAGATGGCTCAGGAAGGTCTTTGGCATGACATAAGTTTTTGGAAAAAAAAAAAAAATCCTCTTAACCTAAAACTGCATGCATGCTCTCTTCATATAAGAAATAATACCAGGCCAGGCGCAGTGGCTTATGCCTGTAATCTCAGTACTTTGGAAGGCCAAGGTGGGCAGATCACTTGAGGTCAGGAATTTGAGACCAGCCTGGCCAACATGGTGGAATCCTGTCTTTACTAAAAATACAAAAATTAGCCTGGCGTCGTGGCGCACACCTGTAATTCCAGCTACTAGGGAAGCTGAGACACGAGAATCTCTTGGCGGAAGTTGCAGTGAGCCAAGATCATGCCATTGCAGTCCAGCCTGGGTGACGGAATAAGACTCTGTCTCACACACACAAAAGAAAAGAAAAGAAAAGAAAAGAAAGCCAAAGTCCTCCTTATGCCCTTCCAGGAGACTGGCTGCTACCATCAATTAGCTTCCCATCTTTGCTTCCATCTCAGGAACTTCCAGGGAGGACTTTGGCATTCTTTCTAATATGACGAGAGCATGAATGCAATTTTAGCTTAAGAGAATTTTTTTCCAAAAACTTATGTCATGCTAAAGACCTTCCTGAGCCATCTGAACAAGAGTATTAGAAGTTGCATTCTCCCTAGGGAATGGGGGTCGGGAATTGGTCTGGCTGTCCAAGCCTCGTGTCTAGGATGCTTGATGGGGAGACCCTGGGCCCCACCATTTCCCATTAGAAAGGAGGCATTACAGGCTGGGTGTGGTGGCTCACACCTGTAATCCCAGCACTTTGGGAGGCCAAAGTGGGTGGATCACCTGAGGTCAGGAGTTCGAGACTAGCCTGGCCAACATGGTGAAACCTCGTCTCTATTAAAAACACAAAAATTAGCCAAGTGTGGTGGCGGGCGCCTGTAATCCCAGCTACTCGGGAGCCGAAGCAGGAGAATCACTTGAACCTGGGATGCAGAGTTTGTGGTGAGCCGAGATCGTGCCACTGCACTCCAGCCTGGGTGACAGAGTGAGACTCTGTCAAAAAAAAAAAAAAAAAAAAAAAGTTAGGAGGCATTACAATCCTGGGGCTGCCCATGCCCCTCCCAGTGAACAAAGTTTAGTGAAACTTTCCCCTAAGACTCTGGCCCCCTTGGGTGCCCTTGGGAGGCCAGGGCCTCAAATTAGTTCCTATGGTGGGCTTCCTAGGTATCTTGGCAACTGAGTGCCCTGATAAACCAGATAAACCCTCTCTTGCCAAGTGCAATTCCAAATCACAGTAACTGTAACCAGAGGCAATAGTCACAGCTAACACTTATGTAACATTTACTATAAGCCAGAAACAACATGTTCCATGCCCTTTATATGCCTAATTCATTTAGTCTCACAACAACCCTGTTATGAGATGCTGTTATCATTACCCCTGTTTTACGGATGAGGAAACTGAGGTACACAGAGGTTAAGGAACCTGCCAAGGACACGAAACTAATAAGTGGCTGATCCGGGATTTGAAGCTGAGTAGCCTGGTCCCAGAATTCATGCTCCTAACCATTACACTGCCTCTTATCCAAGTAAATTTTGCAGTGCTTTGATCAAACACAGAAAAAAAAAGTGCAGTTCAGAGGCAGTAGGAAGCATGTGGATGAAGAAGGAGTGCATGGTGGGCACTGTCATTCATTCATCAGCCCCCAGGGTCTGGTGCCTTTATCCAGTGCTGTGGTGGTAGATTGTGGTGGCACCCATTGGACTGTGAGGAACATTCCATCTGAACAGTGATATGCTGTGTTAATAAGATGCCTAAATATTTGCATCTAATCTAAATAATGTGTGAAAAGAGCAGTCCCCATAGCTAGGATGCTCTGGGCCAGGCAAGATCAGACATGGCATATGTTAGGATAGAATTGTCACTTGGGTTACATTTAACACTCCCACATAATGGAGTCTTTGTGAACTTTTCAAAAGATATAAACAAAACATCTTGTTTCTCATGCAGCTACTTCAGAGAGATTTTATGGCTGCCTGCCTAATGTTGACATGAAATAGCTTTTGTCTTGACTATTGGAGTCATTAGGTATCAATATTTGAAACACAAAGGTTACTCCTTTGTGTTTTAATTACTTGTGCATTTTTTATCCTTGAAGTACCAAATATAAAATTCATTTTAAGAAGGCTTTTATACATGTAAATTGTATTCAAAGCTCCTTTTAAAGTTACTCATTATTTTATAAAACATACAAATTTGGGTTAAGATATGAGGAATGTTTAATGATGTTTTCAGGTTATAATGATGAAAATGGATCTCCCTCTGGGTTTGGCAATACCCTTAGGTAGCTCTGACTCTGTCAAGGGAAATACAAAAATTCCAGAAGTTCAAAGTAAATTTAAAGCCTGGAGCAATGGTGTGCACCTGTAGTCCCAGCTACTCAGAAGGTTGAGTCGGGAAGATTGCTTGAGCCCAGGAGTTCAAGGCCAGCCTGGGCAACATAGCAAGACCCCATCTCTAAATAATAATAATAATAAGAAGAAGAAGAAGAAGAAGAGGAGGAGGAGGATGAAGAAGAGGACAAAGAGGAAGAGGAGAAGAAGAAGATGATTTAACCTAAGTCAGGTGCTTAGAATTTGCTTCTGGGAAGTGTGTGACTCACAGGGCATATATAATATCTTCAACCAAAGAGTGACTCTCTGATGACATAATCCAATTGTGGGACTGCCATTACCTCACCTTAGGCTGACTCATTTTAATGACATACAATGGGTGACATTAATGACATGTGATAAACAATCACCAATGATTACCTAATAAAACCTCTTAAATCATGTAACACTTGATTATGAAAAAAATAGCAATAAAGAATGAAGACCTTGTTTTGTACTGCTAAGATGAAAATTGAAATTTAACATTTAGGATACACTCCAAAAGCTAGCAACTTAGCAATTCCTTCTGGCTGTGATTGAGGAATGGCCTCCTGTGAGAGGGTGGGTCAGATGGATGACACAGAGTAAGGAAGAGCTAATTCTCAAGATTGCTCCTACACAAAAATATGAAGTCAGGAAATTTTGTCCATCTTCAATCCCTCACATCCCTTTCTTGGCCTAGCCCCCTTCCTCTCACCCTCCCACTTCTCTTCCTTGTGTCCTCTCTATTGGAGAAAGGGATGGTCAGGGAAGGCTTCGTGGTCACTGACTCTTTTCTGAACTCCTGGCTGTGATGCTGTGGTTATCCAGTTTGATTAAATCCGTTCAGACACTGCTCATGCAACCCAGACTTATAGAAAAGGAATTTGTAGCAATGGTTCAAATTAATAGCTATAACAGAAATGTAGTCTCCAGGTAGACCAATGGATAATACATTCCTTCACTTGCAAGACAGCCTGCTTATAATGCAGAAGAAAAATGCAACAGTTGGGATAGGCTAAGTTAGACTGTGGCAACAAACAACCCCATAACTTTGGCGGCTCACAACAGAAAAGAATATTTCTTGTTCACACTACATGTCTATCACAGCTCTGCTCCATTCTGTGTTCACTCAGGCCATTGAGGCAACAGGAAAAGAAAGATTATGAACTGCAGGAGAGGGGCACTGAAAGGAGTTGGGAGAAACAATATTTGGGGGAACAGTAATACGATCTACCAGAACAATTAATGGAATTATCTCTCTGAAAAGTCCCATGCTAAGAGTCAAAAAACCAGGTTCCACTTCTCTCTCTGCTGCCTAACCACTCTTATATCGGGGGAACCCACCCCCAATATTTCAATGTAGGTTCTTTCTATTTTCCAAGTGTCAGCCAGTCTGAGAAATAAAGAGAAAGAGCACAAAGAGAGGAATTTTACAGCTGGGCCTCCAGGGGTGACATCACATATCGGTATGACAGTGATGCCCACCTGAGCCACAAAATCAGCAGGTTTTTATTAAGGATTTCCAAAGGGGAGGGGGTGTAAGAATAGGGAGTAGGTCACAAAGATCACATGCTTCAAAGGGCAAAAAGGAGAACAAAGATCACTTGCTTCTGAGGAAACAAGGCAAGGGCAAAATCAGAAACTCCTGATAAGGGTCTATATTCAGCGGTGCACGTACTGTCTTGATAAACATCTTAACAGAAAACAGGGTTTGAGAGCAGAGAACCGGTATGACCAAAAATTTACCAGGCTGGAGTTTCCCAATCCTAGTAAGCCTGAGGGTACTGCAGGAGACCAGGGTGTACCTCAGTCTTTATCGCAACTGCATAGGACAGACATTCCCAGAGCTGCCGTTTATAGACCTCCCGCCAGGAATGCAATTCTTTTCCCAGAGTATTAATATCAATATTCCTTGCTAGGAGAAGAATTTAGCGATATCTTCCCTACTTGCACATCCATTTATAGGCTCTCTGCAAGAAGAAAAATATGGCTCTTTTTGCCTGACCCCACAGGCAGTCAGACCTTTCGGTTGTCTTCCCTTGTTCCCTAAAATCACTGTTATTCTGTTCTTTTTCAAGGTGCACTGATTTCATATTGTTCAAACACACATGTTTTACAATCAGTTTGTACAGTTAACACAATTATCACAGGGTCCTGAGGTGACGTACATCCTCAGCTTACAAAGATAGCAGGATTAAGAGATTAAAGTAAAACAGGCATAAGAAATTATAAGAGTATTATTTGGGAAGTGATAAATGTCCATGAAATCTTCACAATGTATGTTCCTCTGCTGCGGCTCCAGCCAGTCCCTCCATTCAGGGTCCCTGACTTCCTGCAACACACTTAACCTTGGACAAATTAACCTTGAATCTCTCTGAGCTTCATTTTCCCAATGAAGAAAATAAGGGGATGGGGTCCCATGACTCTCAAGGTACCTTCCAGCTTGGAAGCTGTGTGACCAGAGGCTCCTGATGGCTAAAATGGGGACCTTCTCACCAGCCAGGACCTGGAGCACATCACCAGAGTTTTTCTCTAAAAACTCTTCTGAAAGACAAATATCATATGTTCTCACTTCGTGAAAACTAAAAAAGAAATTGAACTCATAGAGCTGGAAGTAGAATGATGGTTACCAGAATCTGGGAAGGGCAGCAGAGAGGGGGTATAAAGTGGGGATCACTGATGGGTACAAAAAATACAGTTAAATAGAATGAATAAGATCCAGAATTTGGTAGCACAATAGGGCAACTATAGTTAACAATAATTTATTGTATATTTTAAAATAACTAAAAGAGTGGAATTGGTGAAAACAAAGAAATGATAAATGCTTGAGGCGATGGATATCCCAATTATTCTGATGTGATCATTAAACATTGTATGCCTATATCAAAATATCTCATGTACCTCATAAATATGTAATTATATACCCATAGTAATTAAACATTTTTAAAAAGGAAAACACAATAAAAATAAAAACTCTTCTGGCTCTATCAGAAGGTACCTTATTTGTGCTATAAAAAAACCTGATGTCTCAACTGGGATTCCACATCCAAACCCCAGAACACAGAAGATTATTTGAATGACTTTGTTCTCAATTCTCCCAAGAAGAGTTGATAATGAGTACCAATCTAGAAGGTTCTTCCGGGATGAAAGTTACAGGAAATAAGTTAATTCATTGTGTACAATGGATGTTCATAGTGCACTTGAGTCCAGTTCTCTCTTGGAACCCATTTGAGAAAGGCTATAATTGTTTCCTGCAACTTTTCTTTGGAGTTGGAGGAGCTCCACTCAAGCTTCTCCAAACATTGTGAGAAATTCCATGCCCTCCCCAAATGTCTGCAAATTCCTAGGAGCTCATGATTTTGAGGCCACTTCTCAATAAGATTTCCAGCTCTTGCTGAGTCCCACTCATACATTTCTTCCTATTCTGTTATCTCATCTCTGTCCAGGTGGGAAATGCAGCTCTGTATTCTTTTGCTTATCCCAAAATCAAAATGATTCTAAATCATGTTGTCTTCATTCGTTTTGTGTTGCTATAACCAAATACCACAGACTAGGTAATTTATAAAGAAAACAAATCTATTTCTCATGGTTCTGAATGCTAGGAAGTCCAATGTAAAGGTGCTGGCATCTTGTGAGGGCCTTCCTGCTGTGTCTCCCCATGGCAGAAGGAGGAAAGTGGAAGGGCAAGAGAGCACACACATGTGCACACACGAGAAAGACTGAGAAGGAAAGAGAGAGATAAAGAGAAAGAAAGAGAGGTGGAAGGGGGCCCAAATCATCCCTTTTATCAGGAACCCACCCTCAGGATAACTAACCCACTCCCACTATAAGGGCATTAATCCATTCATGAGGACAGAGCCCTCACAGCCTAATCACCTCTTAAAGGTGCCACCTCCCAACACTGTTACACTGGCAATTAAGTTTCCAGTACATGAACTTTGGGGAACACTTTCAAATCATAATACCATAACATATGTATTCCAAAAGTTAAAACCACAAACTAACAAAATAGATCCTTAATGCTGTGTTCCCTCAATGTTTAATCCTTATGTTCTTCTAAGTGAATACTGTAATTCTTTCTTTTTTATTTTTTAAGAGACAGAATCTCACTCTGTCACCCAGGCTGGAGTGCATTGGTGCAATAATAACTCACTGCCACCTGTAATTCCTGGCCTCAGGTGATCCTCCTGCCTCAGCCTCCTGAGTAGCTGGGACTACAGGTGTATGCCACCATGCCCAGCTAACTTTTTAGGATCTCACTATGTTTCCTAGACTGGTCTCAAACTCATGGACTCAAGCAATCCTCCCACCTCAGCCTCCCAAAGTGCTGGGAATACAAGCACGAGCCCAGCCCATTCTCTTTCTTTTTACATCACCTGAATCTTAATCCAGTTGAACACCTATTCTATCTGACTCCCCTTGTTTTCAAAATGTATACTCAAATTGCTTTTCAAAACTGTAAAAATTTGTTTACAAATACAAGAGTCTCCAACCTTGTGGATCCCAACACAATTTCCGGAAAGAGATGGGATGGGAGATCTTGGATTGCACTCATGAATAAGAAAGCTGGTAAAACTGATGTGCTAAGAACTGAGGCAAATTGACATTTGGCTCTGGCTTGTAGCTGCTCTCCTCCTTTCTTCCCAAATGAGTGGTTTCAGTGAATGTTAAATGTTTTATTTCAAAGTTTTTTAAGTCTGTGGTATCATTTATACATCAATTTCAACAGCAAACATTCCAAAAAGGCATATAAGTTTATAGCAAATATTATATACTGGACAACCTTGTTCTAAGAGGCCTCCATCCTCCCACCACTGGGAATTTCTCACAGGTCTTCTCTCCTCACAGAATCTGGCCTCTGGCCATGTTGTTCATTCACGCTTTCTCACTCTCACTCTCATACTTGCCTTTTCATTCATTTGCTCTCTCACCCTCTACTCCCCTTTTCCTCTTTCCTCTGTCTTAAGTCACCCCAGGAATTCCTATCCATTTCTATGTAGGCAATTTCGCCTATATTTTTGTTGCCTTCTTCCATTCAATGTCCAAGTGCTTCATCTTCCATCTCCCAAGCAGCCCATCAAAAGATTTTAGACCCTTCCTAAATTCAAATGCCATGGGTGTAATCAAATTTTTACCTTGCTGTGCTAGCTTAAAAGGAATCATTTGGAAGAGGTATAAATACTCTTGCTATGATAGGTTTGACCAACCTTAGCAACCATGTCACCAAGTTTCTTATCAGTGACCCTAGCCTCCCAGTATTTGGGAACTGGGCTTTCTGTTTTGGTTCTCTTTTTGTTGCATACAAACCATTCTAAAAATCTAGTGGCTTGAAGAATGACCATTTCATTTTCTTTCACCAGTTCCTTGGTTGACTGGGCTCAGCTGGGTGGTTCTCTTGCTCCACATGATGTCAGTTGGGACTATAGTCATCTGGGAGCCCAGCTGGTCTGGAACATTCAAGATGGCTCACTCACATGTCTGGCAGTAAATGCTGGCCGTCCATGAGGATCTCAACTGGGGCTGTTAACCAGTGTACACCAGTTTTCCTTCATGTAGCTTCTCCATGTGGCTCAGGCTTCTCACAGCATGCTGACTGGGATATAAAAGGGAGTGTCTGAAGAACAAACATTCCAAGAGAAGAAAGCATAAGCTGCCAGTCCTCTTAATGACCAGGCCCAGAAATCCCAGAATGTCAGCATAAAGCCACTCACAAGTCCAGCTCAGATTCACAGGGAAAGAAAATAAGTTCTATCCTAGATGTAAAGAGTGACATATGTATAGAAGAAGGGAAGGAACTGTGGGGCCATCTTTAGAAACTAGTTAGCACATTGTCCATAACTCCCAAGCACTCAGTGCCTGCTTCCCCAGTACCTGCTGTCAGCTAACTGTGAAGACTAGATTTTGAACAATCTTCTGATTACCTGTGCAAACCAAAACAGGTGTCTAAGATGGGTCTCAATCAATTTACAGGTTTATTTTGCCAGGGTTGATGATGTGCGCAGGAAGAAGAGACACAAGTCACAGCAGAATCGATGGCCTGCACTTTTTCTAAAGAGAGTTTTGAGAGCTTCTTATATAAAGAGGGAAAAGTGGGCAGAAGAGGAAATAAGAAAGAAAAAAAAAGAGGGAGGGTATGTAGTGAGGTGAGTGGTCACATTCTTATGAGGCTTTGATTAGCAATCACTGAATCCACAGGTTGCATGTGAAAGGAGAGAGTAGAGGAACAATTACATTCCTTTTGTGCTCAGTAAATCTGCATTTTATGTAAGGCAAAGTAAATATAGAGTAGGGGAAGAAGTGAAGTATTTGTCTCGGGGTGGGTGGAGGGAAAATTTCTAGTCTTGTCTTTGTCCCCCACCTGTGAGGATAAGCTGTTAATGTACATTTTCAGCATGAAGGAGTCTACCTGGGGAGATATGTGGCCTTCTATATTGCAGCCATCTGTTTAAGAACAAAAATAAAGAGAGTATTTTTTTTTCTGTGACTCAGCTTCCAAGCTTAACTATTCCCTTTTGTATAGTGAATTTGGGGTCCTGAGACTGTATTTTCCTTTCACACCTGAAACAGTCTTGCCATACTGACATTGTGGATCTTGAGCTATCCAAAGACAGTCCTATCCTCCCAGTCCTTTCCTTGTACACCAACCTTTTGGGTTGAGAATTTGTTGATAAAACTCCTGAAATGTTTTTCTGCTTCCATTCTTATTTTTAGACTCTGACAGTATCCTTCAGGATACAGTCTAGAAAACAGAAACCAAACCAGTAGTTTTAACAGAGAAAAGTGAATATAGGAATTTAGTAAAGCAGCTGTTGAAGGGCTGAAAAAGCAAAAACAGAACACTGAAGTAACACAAAGACAATAAACTGCAGGAATCAGCTACCAACCCTGGGGCTGGGGAAATAAAGGGGAGAAGTTAGAGCTGGGTGGTTCTCTTGCTGCCAGCTCTATGAGAAGCTCAAATGAGGGGCTCTATGGAGCTGGGACCCAGACCTCTGAGGAGGGGGAGCTGCCTGGCAGAGGCTGGTGCCTCAGAAGCTAAGAAGAGGGTCTTATGTAACTGGGACACAAGCCTCTGAGGGTAGCATCAGAGGCTGGCTCCAGGAGTGCTAAAAAACACCTGGAAAGTGGAGCCAATTTGCTGGGATCAACTGCTGCTGACAAAGCAAAGTGCAATTGATGGGCTGATGCTGAAAGACACAGGAAGCAGACAGGAAGGAGCATCCTTTCTCCTTTGTCCAGCTTTGCAGTCTCTCTCTAGTGTCCCTCCAGACAAAGCCTAACAGGGACATCTGGCAAAGCAGAAAATGTCCTATGCAGAGTCCCATCCCCAGCATCACAAAGAAAAGTGTGGAATTGAGAAACAATGGCTTCATAACCTGCACACTGCTTTATCCTGAGTGGCAAGGATTTAGTTAAGTTATTTTATTTCCATGAATGATGTTTATAATATTGTTTGTGGGGACTGGTGTGGGGAGAAGAGCACAGGAACTGCTAAATCTGTGAGTGAAATGTACTTTCACCTACACCCCAGGGGCAGCTAGTTAACATTGAAGGGCTCTAGCAGCTAGTTAACATTCCAGGGTGGCTGTGCAAACATGGCCATCTGAATCTGCCCTGGGGTTTTTACATTAATTTAAGGGGTGTTAGAAACAATGTCTCACTGATAGAATGAGTGGTGTTCCAGGTATATTATGGGCCAGAAAGATTGCATGGGACTCATAGCTGTGGCATAAATGAAAAAGAAGAATCCAGCACACTCAGCAGCCTACCAACCTCTAGGCCCAGCATTGTATTTGATCTTGTGTTCCATTCCTTTCATAAAGGACAGTGGGGCCTGATCAGACTAAAAAGCCTTGCTTACCTGTCTTCAAAATATTGTGGAGTCTGCCTTGGATTAAATAAACCTTTGGTGCTTGTCGGAATGCCTAAAGAACTGAGAGTAAGGTTACTGAGCTCACACAAACAGGTTGCTGTTTTGTGACTGTTCACTCTAAGTATTTGCATGTTTAGCAGAATTTGGTCTATGGCTTACTTTTACAGTTAAATCCCACCTGGTTGTGGGGTAGGACATACAGAACATTCACCTATCTCTGATAGTATTTCCCTGTATTAACCAAAGAACCTGGCAATTAGCAAGCAGCCACACAGGATTAGGTTCACTCACAAGAGCTCTAACCATGCTGACGGTGGTGACAGCATCACCAGTGAGAGAACCCCAAGAAGAAGGGAATATTTAGGGGGACCAAGTCAGAACAGCATGGTCAGCAGATCATGCATCCATGAAAATTCTCCTTCCATGGCTTCTCCCCAGAACTTTGGAAATGAGTGTGTTGGGAAACCACTTCTTCACCTTCCAGTTCATTGTCCTCTAGTACTCCAGATCCTGCTACCACCCCTCCCTCCACCTTCATCTCACTCTCCCTCACCACTCCTCACCGGGGCCCTGCCCTGCTGGGGCTCCTCCCTCTGGATATTGAACAATTCCCACCTGGACTTTAGGAGGTTCACTCTCAAAGTGGGTGAGAAAATGGGCAGAGGGGAAGTCCCCAAGGCCATTTTTAAGTTCAAGCAGCTGTGCTGAGAGTTTCAGGGCAACTTTTGAAATAATTGGGAGATAAAGGGTCACAACACAAAGGATGGAAGATATTATACATTTTGAAAGAGGCTAATCATGCTAACTAGAGTTCCCAATATCCCTGCTTGAGTGTTTAAAATGTGGTTCCCTGAGGCCGAGGCGAGTGAATCACTTGAGGTCAGGAGTTCGAGACCAGCCTGGCCAACATGATGAAACCCCGTCTCTACTAAAAATACAAAAAAGTTAGCCGGGCATGGTGGCGCACGCCTGTAATCCCAGCTACTCAGAGGCTGAGGCAGGAGAATCACTTGAACCCAGGAGACGGGGTTTGCAGTGAGCCAAGATCACACCACTGCACTTCAGCCTAGGCAAAAGAGCAAGACTCCGTCTCAAACAACAACAACAACAACAAAATATAGTTCCTGAAGCCTCTTCATAACCCTCTGCCATTATACCCCAACAGACAGACACACAGACACACAGACCCTCTCTCTCTCTCTCTCTCTCTCTCTCTTCCCAATGGGATTACTGATATCATTTGAGAAACAATCTATTTTCTGTTGACAATCATGCCCTTAAGTTAGCCAGGAAAGTCAGGACAAATTTTTAAAGGATCAGGCTTTACACAAGAAGAAATTCAGGAAATAAAAAATAAATGTACAAGACCTATATACTGTAACCTACGATGATTTGGGCCTTTAGGGGAAATGAAAACCATTTGGCACCTTCAATCGTGATTTCTGTTCTAATGTTTGGCCAGGATGGGATTTTCTAGAGCATTCGTGCAGTTAATTAAATATATTATTATGTTGGCTATGTTTCTCTTTCAATATAAGAACCCAGCTCCTAGAAAACATTTGCCTGAAATGAGTCCAAATAGTTTAGGCCTCAGAAGCAAATCCATTTTGACTAATAAAAGACTAATTTTCTAAATAAAGCAAGATGGCTTTTTCTTAATTGAGAATCTAATTGTGAAATCCTATATCCTTAAATCTAGCAAATTACTAGCATAGACATTTCTAAGCCTATGTAACTTGGATCAGATTTCTCATCATCAAAAAAAGGAATAATTTCTCTATCATCAAAATTCAAAATGAGCTGCAAGAACACTGGCCTCAGCTGGCAATTACCTCTTGAAGTAAACAAGTCCATATGCTGGGACCTTGGAAGATTTGGGTCTCTTCCATTACTTTTCATTCCCCCTACATCCCCTCGCCCTCCCACCCCACACCACCCGCCAGCCAATCACTTTCAAATCCTTAATCGGCCTTCTTGTCCGCCCTTTACTGGGGACCAGAAATGGCTTCTGCCTTTAATGAGATTTTCTTCGTCAAATTTCAGAGACAAAACGTTATTGTTCATATTTTCATGCAGAGCAGCTAATCAGGTGTGACTGATCCAGTCTCCCAGCCCTTAAGCCAGTATCGCATAAATTGACACACACTAAAAACAAAAATTAGCATGTAACATATGGATCTCTTTACTCAGAAATGCATCGATTAAGAATTACTCTTCTGGTTATAAACAAATAACTTGGAACACTGTATCTTACAAGGGCAGATCCTACCACTCTGTCCTGGAGGAGATGCCTTTGTCCCTTGGCATTGAATCAGCCATAAGAGCTGATCATTATTCAGGCTGCATCCTTTGAATTGTTGCAAACATTATCAGCCCAGTTCTGTCTTTTTTATTATAGCCACAGGACACAGTCTCTCTTCAAGCTGCTAGGGTCACCTGTAGGCTGTCCTGCAATGTAGTGTGTGCATGACAAAATTCTAACAAAGGGGAGATTTTGTGTAATAAACAGCAGAGAGCAGAAAGGACTTTGAAAAATGCAAAGGCTGTGCACATATTTCATTCCCATAAGTCTCAAGGATATGTCAATACATTAGACTTCTCAAAATAAATTCCTTTAAGCAGATCCTGAAACCAAACTGTATTCTCGGTTGTTTGTTCTCACTCGTGTATACATTCATTAAATAAAAACAAAACGAGTACTTCTTATATGCCAGACACTATATTAGGTGCTGGGAACAGGAGGGTAAAATAGAGTCACAGTCCCAACCTCAGGATAGTCTTAATCTAGCAGGAGAAACAGTCAATGAAATAAGAAAAAACAATGCTTGTGATAAAGGCTCTGATATTATAAAATCAAGTGCTAGAGCTTTGGCAATGCAGACAAGGAACAACTAATTCATTCCTACTAGAGATAATATTCATACTGCTGACCAGGAGAGGTAGACACCCCAGGGTGAGTGGGAGTGGGAACAGAGGGGTGGGAAAGATGAGAAAAGAATGGGTCAGGACAAAGCAATAGCATGTATAAAGCCTTGAAAGTGAGAAACGGCATGCTCCATCATGGGAACTGAAAGATGACAAGAACAGAGTTAAGAGAATATAGTGAAGGGAAGAAGTTGCAAAAGAAAATGGAAAAACAAGAAAAAAAAAAGATTGTGAAGGGTTTTGGACTTGGCTCTAAGATCAAGGAAAAGTGGAGTCGATTGGATTATTTTGCCCAATTCTTCACTCCCTTTATGTTACAGAGCTGCCATTCTTTGCCCTTGCCATGGCTTCATGGTGGTCTGTGTATTTCTCTGCCCCTTGACTTTGGGTTAACAATGTGACTCTGATATTGTTTGGATATTTGTCCCCGCCCATATCTCATGTTGAACTGTAATCCCCAGTGTTAGAGGTGGGGCCTGATAGGAGGTGTTTGGATCATGGGGGAGGATCCCTCATGTCCTGGTGCTGTTCTGGAGATAGTGAGTTCTCATGAGATTTGGTTGTTTAAAAGTGTGGCACCTCCCTCCCTTCTCTTCCTCCTGCTTTTGCCATATAATGTGCCGGCTCCCCATTCAACTTCCACCATGATTGTAAGCTTCCTGAGGCCTCCCCAGAAGCAGATGCTGGTGCTATGCTTCCTTTCCAGCCTGCAGAAGTGTGAGCCAATTAAACTTCTTTTCTTTATAAATTACCCAGTCTCAGGTATTTCTCTATAGCAATGCAATAATGGCCTAATACAGACTCACTTTGGCCAATGGAATGTTAACATTCAGAGAAGGCTGGCAGAAGCTATGAATGAGCTTGCACCATTTGGCTTGCCTTTTCATACCCCTGCAATCTTCTATACCCAGCATATGCTTTAGATTAACTGCTGCCCCTTCTGCCTGAAGTCCAGTCTAACTGAACCTAGCCTTAGTGAGCCAAACGGCCACCAACCTTCATGCCTGAAAACACGGAAATGAGTATTTATGTAAACCACTGAGATTTGGGGATGTTATATAACAGAAACTGACTAAAGTATAAAACCATGGCAAAATTTTCAAGAGAGGGTGACACGGCCATAGTTGTATTTTAAAATGCTCCCTGGCTCCATTATAGAGACGGAGGAAGAGAAGACCTGTTGGAGGAGTTGCAGCGACCAATTGGGAGAAGGCTTTGTTAATCCAGAGAGAGATAATGATGGCCTTGCCTAGGGTGTCAGTGGTAGGGGATGGAAAGAAGCACTGATTCCTGTTTAGTATTCCTTTAGTGCGGTGTTCATTTTTGTGGATTTTTTCTTTTTAATATAAAATCTATTTTCCTCTAAGACCAAGATAAGCACAGTCTCTCGAAGCCATTAGAGCTCAACAACTCCTTTAGCAGTCCAGCTTCATTTATTCATTCATGTATTCATTCTACTGACATTTATTGAATGCCTGCCATGTGTTAGAATACTAAGATATGGCACCCCTGCCATCCAAAAGCCCACAGTTCAGAAAACAGAGACAGACATGTAAATAAATAATTACAATAATATGTTGTAAGTATTGTAATATACCATAATAAAAGTGAGGATAAAGCCTAGAGGAATGTAAAGGAGAACACGATCCTTTACTGTATTAATGTTCCTGGAGACATTTATATTCACTCATGTTGGCAGGGGTCTTTGTTTTATTCAGATATATCCCAGGTGCCTAAGAGAAAATGTGTAACACCCAGTAGTTGTCTGATAAATATTTGGGTTTTGTGCTTAGTTTCCTGATTTTCGGCTCAGCTTCACCCTTCTGTCTTTCTGGTCTGGACCGCCTCAGATAGGACCCCTATTGAACTGAGATGATCCACAGTTTCACATACCAAAGACAGAGTAGGATGGAGACTGAGAAGACACTGCATTGGGTCACTAGGAGGTTGTTACTGGCTTTTTGTTTTTTTTTTTAAGACAGAGTCTCACTATATTGCCCAGGCTGGCCTTGAACTCCTGGGCTCAAGCAATCTTCCTGACTCAGCATCTGGACTAGCTGGGACTAAATGCGCATGCCACCACACCTGGCTGCTACTGACTTTTAAGGGCAGTTTTGATAGAGCGCTAGGTTTGGAAACCACACTACAAGCAAAAGCTTCCTCATTGTGCTTCTTTGGGTTTTAAATTCTACATCAGTGAGGATTAGACTATGATATGGCTTGGATCTGTGTCCCCACACAAATCTCAGGTTCAATTGTGATCCCCAATATTGGAAGTGGGGCCTGATGGGAGGTGACTGGGTCACAGGGGTGGGCTTCTCATGAATGGTTTAGCACCACCCTCCTTGGTACTGTCCTCACAATAGTGACTTCTCATGAGATCTGGTCGTTTAAAAGTATGTGGAACCTCCCCTGTCACTCTCTCTTGGTCCTGCTCCTGCTCCTGCCATGTAAGGAACTGGCTCCCACTTTGCCTTCCACCATGATTGGAAGCTTCTTGAGGCCTTCCTAGAAGCAGAAGCCATTATGCTTCCTGTATAGCCTGCAGAGCCATGAGCCAATTAAACATATTTTATTTATTTTTATTATTTTATTTATTTATTTATTTATTTTACTTTAAGTTCTGGAATACATGTGCAGAACATGCAGGTTTGTTACAGAGGTATACATGTGCCATGGTGGTTTGCTACAGCTATCAACCCATCATCTAGGTTTTAAGCCCTGCATACATTAGGTATTTGTCCTAATGCTCCCTCCCCTTGCTCCCCACCCCGCAACAGGCCCTGGTGTGTGATGTTCCCCTCCTTGTGTCCATGTGTTCTCATTGTTCAACTCTCACTTATGAGTGAGAACATGCAGTGTTTGGTTTTCTGTTCCTCTGTTAGTTTGCTGAGAATGATGGTTTCCAGCTTCATCCATGTCCCTGCAAAGGAAAAGAACTCATTCCTTTTTTATGGCTGCATAGTATTCCATGGTGTATATGTGCTACATTTTCTTTATCCTGTCTATCACTGATGGGTATTTGGGTTGGTTCCAAGTCAACATCTTTTCTTTATAAATTACCTGGTCTCAGCTATTTCTTTATAGCAATGTGAGAATGAACTAATACAGAACATTTCCCATATGCACTGTAGATGTGGGAAGGAAGGCACACAGCCAAGCAGGGCTAGCAGGATGCTACTACCCTAATAGAGTTTACCTTAATACATTTATCCTGCTCTAAGTCTGGCTCTCAGTTGCCAAAATCTATGAGCTTTATCTCAGAGAGCCTGATTCACACTAACCCACAAGGGACTAAAACACCCCAATATGCTTCATGATTAATTTTTTATTGCAAAATATAACTATCATGCAGACATTTTATGCTTATCTGTTTAACCAGTACATTTTTTTTCCTTTAGACATGCTATAGGGGATAACCATCCCAAGATAGTTTGAGATTTATGGAGTTAGAGCAAAGAAAGAGGACTTGAATGTTAAAATGGAGTCAGGTTTATTAGCCTGACAATTGCGGGGTTTGAAGAGTCAAGATATTTTGGATATTTATCAAGATTCAAGGGGACCCTCTCCCCAGCACAGTGTGTAGAAAGGCACTACCCACTACTTAGCTCACTCTGCTTTTTTCTAGGGCTTTGCTGCTGGCCAATCTTTGTTTCTGACTGACACTAGGGTTTCCAAGAGGCCTCTGTAGGCAATTGCCTGCATCAAGGCCGTGGGGTCTTTGCATGTGGAATGTTTCAATACAGAAGGGCTGGATAGGCAATGCAATTTGTAAACAAATCAGCAAGTAAAGTAGTGCTAAATTAAAATTTGGCTGGCTCTTCTTATAAAGTTGATTATATCATTACACTGCTGGCACACCAATTTTATTTTGGAGTTATACCTCTAAGACAAAGGATTAAGGAAAATTTCACAACTATTTGAACAACCATGGTCTTCCAATGAACCACAAGGTAATAAATCATTGTGTCAGTGTTGTATTCACCTTTATATCTCCCCCAACTAATCCTTAATTGTCTAAGCAGTTTCAAGATAAAATTATACACACTAAATAAAATGTAAGCACAAGCATGTAAATAATATCACCGTAGACCACCATTCTTGTCAAACTTAGCCTGTGTACATTTATCCATATGCATTTATTGCTATCCAGGTTATTGCAACGGAGTAGCAGTTTTCAAGGGGGCAGGGGTTGCTTCAGAATCACCTGGTGGGGTGAGAATAATAGCCTCCTGCATTTTTTTACATCCTAACCAGAAGAAGAAGTTCTCTCATATTTATTTAAAATTCCTGGTTTATTTGTTAGTATTTCTACCACAGTTGGTACATGGTTTCCAGTTTCTTCTTTTTCTTTTGAGGCATCTGTCCTCTTCAGATGCCTGGTTATTTGGGCCTATGAACTCACATTCCCATGGAGGTACCGGCTTCTTTGCCTCATAATATCTACAGGTAATGGCTGAAGGCCAGGCCAGCCCCTGAATCTGGGTCAACTCCAAAGTTCAAGGAGAGTAAAAAGGAGTCCTAGGTCTGAGCACCACAGAAACCAGGGTTAATCAGTCCTGTTTGTTCTCATCCCATCAAACAAATACCCAAATCAGGAACATACCTTTGAACCCTCAGAGACAGTAGCACTTGGAGAAGGAGGTCCTCATAGGTGGCATTCCATCAGCTTGGTGGGTTTGTATGGGCAGGCGTGATTGCCTGAGGCCAGGCAGTCTAACCTGTTTTCATTCACCTGTCACCCAAGAGCCTCTGGGCTCTGCTTAACATCACTCGCATGTCCCCACGCAACCTTAGTTTCATCTGGCTTGAGTGTATCCCTCAAGAGAAGTCCTGCATTTGCTTTTGCCAGGAGCTCTAAAAATGTCCCAGCCTCGGACCATTTTTTATATTAATATCTCAACCAGGAGTATCTCAACCATTTTTTATACTAATATCTCAGGACTGCCAGACCACACAGGTAATATAAATTCAGATTATGACCCACATGAGAAAAGGCAGTTATTATTAATTCTCATAGGGATATGTTTTTTTCATTCAAAGCTCAGGCAAAGGCAGACAAATTTCTTCATTTTCTACCTCAGCTGATCGATGACTTTTCTTTCTACTCAGCTGTAGCCCTTCCAGACTCCCAACTCTAAACCAGATTCTTAGTTCCAATTCCCCATCTTGTCTTTCTACAACCTTGTCTCCTGACCCTCAAAGCTATTAAAACCCAAGCTCCTTGTTTACAAAAATCAGGGTACAGTAAGTCCTCACTTAACATGGTCCTTAGGTTCTTGAAAACCATGTCTCTAAGCAAAAACAATGTAGTATAATGAAATCAATTTTACCATAGGCTAATTGATATACAGTTAAGTTCCTACAGCATATTTCTGGTCACAAAAACATCATCAAACTTCTAAATAAAGACCAAAGCACTTCTAATATGAAACACTGGAATATGTGTGAGCTATACATACATTTAAGAAAGATTAATAAAAATAAATAAGATAATCATTTACCCAATGATTCCAGTTCAGGGTCATAGGTGGCTGGAGCGTGTCCCAGCAGCTTAGTGCACCAGGTGGGAGCCAGTCCTGGCCAGGACGCCATTCCATCACAGGGCCACTCACACACATCACACTCACTCAGACAGGTACCATTTAGACACACCAATAAACTTGACGTGCACAGCTTTGGGATGTGGGAAGCACCCAGAGAAACCCCATACAGACATGGAGAGGACATGCAGACTCCACATAGATGGTGACCCAGCCCAGAATCCATTTTTTTCTCTCATCAATGTTATTATAGTAAAAGGATGAAACAATGATATTCAAAGACCTGCTGCAGTCTCTTCCACTGCCAAGGGAAACAAGGTATCAGCACCTGCTTATTAATGTGGAATTGTAACTCCAGCTCTCATTTTGTCCCTAAACAATTTCCCTTACAATTCGAACTATGCATTTAAAAGGATATTTCCCTTATTTTATCCAGTACTTCTCGGCGTTCTGTAGCAGAAGGGTTTTCAGATTATTCAGTCTGCCATGTGGCCCAAAGTAGAAGACCTATTGAAGTCTAGGAAGTATGTAAACATAAATATGACCACACTTCAGCCTTAGAATTCCAGGCTTGCATCTAGTAATTCTAATGTGCATCTGTGCTTAAGACTCAATGCGAGAGAAAATAATAAGCTTGGATCATTATATCATTCGAGGAGACTGTTCATATTTTGCTGGAAAATAATCTTAGACTATTTTTCAAAAGAATGAAACCTTTCTTGGCATCTACAAAGATAAAATGCTTTTGCTACAAGTGATTGCCTTTTGGTAGTTAGTTCCTTTTATAGCTAATTGTATGCAGAAGATTTTGTTGAAATTATGTATTATTATATAGTGGACAATTTCATTTTCTGAAAGGGTAAGAAAAAAATAGATGTTTACATCATGTTTCCTGCATGGAAAATTTCTTTGGCCAAAATTTTGCTGAGCTCTGAAAACATTTTAAAACTTTTATTATCATTTGCTTTGGCCTGTCAATATGCTGTAAGCCAGTATCACAGCATTTGAACTTTGGCAGTTTTTTAGCTGAATGAATAATAATTCAGCAATTTTTAATTGTGTCACTGATAACTAAACAAGTAGATGAAAAATTTTAAGTACCAAATACAGCCGCTGTCTCGTTTGCAATTCTTACTAAAACCCATTGTCTTATCCATTTTGTGTTGCTATAAAGGAATGCCTGAGGCTGAGTAATTTATAAGGAAAAGAGATTTATTGGGCTCACAATGTTGCACGCTGTACAAGAAGTATGGCATTGACATCTGCTTCTAGTAAAAACCTCAGGAAGCTTCCACTCATGGTGGAAGGTGAAGGGGGAGCAGATGTGTCACATGGCAAGAGAGAAAGCAACAGAGAGACAGGAGGGGTACCCACACTCTTTTAAACAATCAGCTCTTGCATGAACTAATAAAGTGAGAACTTACTCATTATTGATAAGACAACACCAAGCCATTCATGAAGGATCCACCCCTATGATCCAAACACCTCCCACCAGGCCCCATTTCCAACATTGAAAATCAAATTTCAACATCAGATTTGGAGAGGAAAAATAGCCAAAATATATCACCCATTAAATCCAAATGAATAAAATGCCCATTGTAAATATTGTACAGAATTTACACAGAAGGTATGCTATGGTTTGAATGTTTTTTCCCCTCCAAAACTCATGTCGAAATTTGGTTGCCATTGTGGCGGTGTTGAGAGGTGGGAATTTGGGGAGGTGATTAGGCCAAAAGGGCTCCACCCTCATGGGTGGGATTAATGCCATTTTAAAAGGGTGAATTTGGTCCCCTCTTGCTCTCTTGCCCTTCCATCTTCCATCATGTGAGGACATAACAAGAAGATCCTCACCAGATGCTGGCATCTTGATCTTGATTTCCAGCTTCTAGAACTGTAAGAAAGTAAATTTCTGTTCTTTGTAAATTACCCAGTCTGTGATATTCTGTTATAGCAACACAAAAAGAGTAAGACAAGGTGCAAGCTACATTTTTCAAGTGATCTATCAGAATAACTGTTGACACAATTTATGCTTTATATAAAAGTAATAAAAATTAAATTTTTTAAATTAGCTTTGGCCGGACACAGTGGCTAGCGCCTATAATCCCAGCACTTTGGGAGGCCAAGGCAGGTGGATCAACTGAGGTCAGGAGTTCAAGACCAGCCTGGCAAACATGGCGAAACCCCGTCTCTACTAAAAAAAAAAAAAAATACAAAAATTAGCCAGGCTTGGTGGCACATGCCTGTAATCACAGCACTTTGGGAGGCCAAGGCAGGTGGATCAACTGAGGTCAGGAGTTCAAGACCAGCCTGGCAAACATGGCGAAACCCCGTCTCTACTAAAAAAAAAAAAAAAATACAAAAATTAGCCAGGCTTGGTGGCACATGCCTGTAATCGCAGCACTTTGGGAGGCCAAGGCAGGTGGATCAACTGAGGTCAGGAGTTCAAGACCAGCCTGGCAAACATGGCGAAACCCCGTCTCTACTAAAAAAAAAAAAAAATACAAAAATTAGCCAGGCTTGGTGGCACATGCCTGTAATCCCAGCTACTTGGGAGGCTGAGGCAGGAGAATCACTTGAACGGGAGGTGGACGCTGCAGTGAGCCAAGATCATGCCACTGCACTCCAGCCTGGACAACAGAGTGAGACTCTGCCTCAAAAATAAAAAATAAAATAAAATTAGCTTTCTGCAAATTCTTTTACTTATCAGATAATATTAGAAAATAAATGTAAAATTTTCTTTTCTGTTATTTTGTTTTGACAATCCTCATTACCATATCAAGGGGGTATGTTCTTGCTCCAAATTGAACCAATTAAAAATCCATATTCCATGCATCATGAGAAGTGTTTTACAGGAGGTATCTCATTTATTCCTTACAAGAAACACCTGCTAATATTATCCACATTTTTACAAATGAGAAATGAAGTAACTTGCAAGATTATACAACCAATATGCAGTAGAGTTGCAATTTGAACCCAGGCCATCCAACTCTAGAGCCTTTATGTCTAACAACAAAACTATACTGCCAGTTACATTTTAAAAATTAAACACACACACACGCACACGCACACACACACAAAGTAAGAAATCTACATCAGAGGCCAGGTGCAGTAGTTCATGCTTGTAATCTCAGCACTTTGAGAGGCTGAGGCTGGTGAATTGCTTGAGCCCAAGAATTTGAGGCCAGCCTGGGCAACATGGCGAAACTCCGTCTCTACAAAAAATTTTTAAAACTAGCCAGGCGTGGTGGCTCACTTCTGTAGTTCCAACTACTTGGAAGGCTGAGGTGGGAGGATCACTTGAGCCCAGGAGGCAGAGGCTGCAGTGAGCTGAAATCACACCACTGCACTCCAGCCTGGATGACAGAGCAAGACCCTGTCTCAGAAAAAAAAAAAAAAAAGAAGAAAGAAAGAAGGAAGGAAGGAAGGAAGGAAAGAAGGAAATAAATAAACCTACCTAAGGAACATTCTAGGATCACAATGTTTAAAAACAAGTTTTATTGGCTCTACCCCTCCAAAGAGCTCCCAAATCCAACTACTTCTCACCTCCTTCAATATTGCCTCTCACTGAGACTATTGCAATAGGTGAGTTCAGTGGCTTTCACAGTGCTGTCCTGGGACCAGCAGGAGTGGCATTACCCAGGAAGTTTTTAGAAATGCAGATTCTTTAGCTCAACTCCAGACCCACTGAATCAGAAATTCTGAGAGTGGGGCTGGCAAGCCATGGCTTAACAAACCTTCCAGGTGATTTTGATGCACAGTTATTTAACAACTAGCCAACAATAAGAGGCATTCACTTAGTCTTCTGGTAGCTTTTCCAACTTTAGACAGTCTCTGAAGAATCATCTTTCTTTTAGGAGCCAGTCTTGTATCTTTACAGAATAAAGTTTCACCTTCAAAAACACAGAGAGAGCCAGGCATTGTGTCACACACTTGTAATCCCAGCTACTCAGGAAGCTGAAGCAGGAGGATCGCTTGAGGCCAGGAGTTCAAGACCAGCCTGGGCAACATAGTGAGACCCCATCTCTGTAAAAAAATTGAAAATTGAAAATTAGTCAGGCATGATGGTGGCATATGCCTGTAGTCTTCACTACTCAGGAGACTGAGGTGAGAGGATCCTTCGAGCCCAGGAGTTTGAGGCTGCAGTGAGCCATGATCATGCCACTGCACTTCACCCTGGGTGACAGATGGGTGACAGAGCAAGGCCCTGCCTCTAAGAAAAGGAGGTGGGGGCTGGGCATGGTGGCTCACGCCTATAATCCCAGCACTTTGGGAGGCCAAGGCGAGCAGATCACTTGAGGTCAGGAGTTCAAGACCAGCCTGGCCAACATGGTAAAACCCCGTCTCCGCAAAAAATACAAAAATTAGCTAGGCGTGGTGGCACGTGCCTGTAATCCCAGCTACTTGGGAGGCTGAGGCAGGAGAATTGCTTGAACCCCGGAGGCGGAAGTTGCAGTGAGCCGAGATCGTGCCATTGCACTCTAGCCTGGGCAACAAGAGTGAAACTCCATCTCAAAAAAAAAAAAAAAAAAAAAAAAAAGGAGGTGGGGTGCAAAAAAAATCCCAGCTCAGCTGAACTAAATGTGCACACTTCCAAATCCTCAAGATTTCCTAAATAAGTTCCAAAGCTTCATGCACCCACTTTATGTATAGAATCCTTTATGTGAAAGCAGGATTTAACAGCTAAAATAATTTAAAAGGATTTCTAATCTCTGCTTATGCCCCTGCAAAAACATTAACAGTGACTAAAATTAAGGGACTGAAAATGTCAAGTCCAGGTAAGGATAAGCACAACTGGAACTCTCTCACATTGCTGGTGGGAGTGTACACTGATATGTCCACTTTAGAAAACCACCTGACAGGAAATACTAAAGATACAGATATGTCCACTCTATGACCCAGTAATTCCACACCTGAACAGACAATAAACATAAATGAGTGCTTTATATCCATCCACCAGCACATATAGACAAGAATGTTCATAGCACTTGTATTCATAATAACCAAATGCTACAACAAACAAATATCCATCAACTATAGAACAGATGAATAATTTATGAAATACTACACAGTGGTTTTAAAAACTTATTTTGCTATGTAAAACAGTATCGATCAATCTTATAGATGTAATGCTGAGTGAAAGAAATCAAACTAAAGCCAGGTGCAGCAGCTCATGCCTGTAATCCCAGCACTTTGGGAGGCTGAGGCGGGAGGATTGCTTGAGCCCAGTTCAAGACGAGCCCGGGGAAACATGGTGAGACTCCACCTCTACAAAAAATAAAATAATTAGCTGGGTGTGGTAGCACATGCATGTGGTCCCAGCTACTCAGGAGGCTGAGGTTGGAGGATCACTTGTTCCTAGGAGGTTGAGGCTGCAGTGAGCCATGTTCACACCACTGCACTCCAGCCTGGGCAACAGAATGAGACCCCGTCTCAGAAAAAAAAAAAAAAAATTAAGAAATTAGACACAAAAGAGTGCATACTGTATCATTCCTTTTTTCTTTTTTCTTTTTTTTTAGATGGAGTCTCACTCTGTTGCCCAGGCTGGAGTACAGTAGTGCGATCTCAGCTCACTACAAACTCCGCCTACTGGGTTCAAGTGATTCTCCTGCCTCAGCCTCCCAAGTAGCTGGGGCTACAGGTGCACGCCACCATGCCCGGCTAATTTTTGTATTTTTAGTAGAGATGGGGTTTCACCATGTCGGCCAGGCTGGTCTTGAACTCCTGACCTCAAGTAATCTGCCTGCCTCGGCCTCCCAAAGTGCTGGGATTACAGGCATGAGCCACCGTGCCTAGCATATTATTCCATTTTTATGAGGTTAAAAAACAGACAAAAACTAATCTATGGTGCTAGAAACCAGAAAAGTGATTATTTCTTGGTTGTGGGGCAGATGGTTGACTGGGAAGGGGATGAGGAAGAAGACATGTGAGGTGCTGGTATATTCTGTATTTTGAGATGGGTGGTGGTGACACAGGTGTAGACACATAAAAATTCATTAAGCTCAGCCCTTAAGATTGTGCACCTGACTGTACATGAGCAACATCTCAAATGAAAAGAAAAAAGTGAAAACAACAAAGAACATCAAAAGCCATCCAAATCATAACTGACAACACCCATCCTAAAGCCAGCTTTTTTCCCCTCCCCAATTCTGCTAGAGTACCCCTCACTGACCAACCCCAAAACTCACTGTGGCATCCAGCAAGTAGTTTTTCTCTCATCTCTCCTTTCTTTTAATTTTAATCCTAGGCTTGACTTGGCTTTTTACTGAATCTTTTCCTCTTACCCACCCCCTTTCAGGTCCATCTCTTTCTAAGTCCATCTCATTTTCCCAATTCTGCATCATAAAAGATACAGAATAGAATAGCAAAGACAAAATTCTCTTTACTAGATAGTTATGGGGAGAGAATGAAAGAATGCTCAGCCAGTAATGTATCTTGCTCTCTCACATATCCTCAGTTATAAAGTTAATTGAACTTTCCTAGAGAAAAGATACCACTGAGTAGTTATTTCTTTTTAGTGACTATGTACCAGTAAAAACAATTGACCGACCCCTCACCTAAAATGTAGTAGTAAGCTTTTGTCTTACTCTTCTTAGCAATATCTACCAGCCTATACCAGGTATTTCCTGCAGGATGGGTTTTTTTTATGAATTTGTTTTTTGCTGAAAATTGTAAAGGTAGAATTAGGAAGCAGCATGGCATCTGGAGAATGGTAGAAGAAACATATTGCAATTTCTTAAATATGAATATTGGCAGCACTTTTCAACTTTAAAAGGCACTGGTTTTGGGGCCCAGAGCACATCAGTAATCAACAGCACTTTCCAGGTATAATTCTACAATGTTAAATGTATAATCTTTGGGCCAGGCACAGTGGCTCATGTCTGTAATCCCAGCACTCTGGAGGCTAGGGTGGGAGGATTACTTGAGGCTAGGAGTTTTAGACCAGCCCGTGCAACACAGTGAGACCCCATCTCTACAAAAAGTTTAAAAATTAGCCACCTGTCACGGTGTGCACCTGTGGTCCCAGCTACTTGGGAGGCTGAGGCAGGAGGATCACTTGAGCCTCGGAGGTCAAGGCTGCAGTGAGCTATAACCATGCCATTGCACTCTAACCTAGATGCCAGAGACCTTGTCTCGAAAAATAAAAATGCATGGTCTTTGACCATTTTTTCTCCATTTAGGGCCTGAGAATATCTGGGGTTCTGCAAATATATTCTCAAAGATCTGCAATGACTTTTCCCTTTAAAACAGGTCCATAGGAAGTTATCAGGTAGAAGGGAGCAAAATGGGGAGTTATTGTTTAATGGGTAAAAAATTTCCATTTGGGAAGATGAAAAAGTTATGGAAATATATAATGGTAACTGTTATACAATGTTGTGAATATATATACATGCCACTGAATTGTACACCTAAAAATGGTTAAAATGCAAATTTTTATGTTATGTAAATTTTACCACAATTTTTAAAAAACAAGTTCATAGGGACTTCCATTCCCAGCAATATAGCCTATTAGCCACCCTGAAAAAACCCTCCTAGTACAAAAATACCCAAAATATAGAATAACATATTTAAAATATTTCACAAATGCGTAGTTGCTATAGTAGAAAGTAAGGGAAATCCTTAGAGGTAAAAAAAAAAAAAAAAAAGCAAGATTAAAAAAACACAAATCCAGAGAGGTAAGAGAGCTCTAAAGCTGGTGGCTTCCCTGACGTCATCTGCTGATCATAGGTGTTCCAGAGCTGCTGCTGTAACAGGCCATCTTTGGGGACAGAAGATAAAGCTCAGAGACTTAGAAACTGGACCCTCAGAGGGTGAACCAGAACAAACCCAATTCATTCACCTGTTCTTCATATGACATATTTCCCAGATCTTTTACCACCCCTCCCCACCTCCACAGACTTCTTTTGGGTACCTTCTGGTTTGTCTCAGTATTCCTCTTAAGGAATAATGGCCATAACTGGAAACAGTGATGCGGATATGGCTAAACTTATACAGAATAGAGTGGGATTATTGCCACTGTCAATTGGTGTATTAATTATCCACTGTTGAATAACAAATTACTCCCAAAACTTAGTGGCTTGAAATAACATTTATGATCTCACCATTTCTGTGGGTCAGGAATCCATACAACGTAGCTGGGTCTTCTGGCTCAGGGCCTCTCACAAGGTGGAAGTCAAGGTGTTGGCTGCAGTGGCAGTCATCTCAAGGCTCAACTGGGGAAGGACCTGCCTCTGAGTTCATTCATGTGGTTGTGAGCAGGACTCAGTTTATCACAGGCTATTGGTCTGGGGGCCTCAGTTCGTCACTGGCTGTTGGCCAGAGGCTGCCTTCAGGTCCTTGCCACATGGGCCTCTCTAGAGAACAGCTCACGACATAGTAGCTCGCTTCATCAGAGCAAGCGAGGAAAGCCAGAGAGAGAGAGAGAGAGCAAGCAAGCAAGACAGAACTCACAGTCTTTTATAACCAAATCACAGAAGTAATAGCCTATCACTTTTGCCATATTCTATTTGTTAGAAGCATATCACTTGGTCCAGCCCACTCATACAGAGCGTGGATTACATAAGGCATGAATAACAAGAAGCAAGGATCATGAGGAGCCATTTCAGAAGCAGCCTATCACAACTGGACACCATGCTTCTGATCCTGAACCTAAAACTATGACCTAAAAAGAAAGCCCGCATGAATGATTTACTTTAAGTGACCTCAGGTTAGTGAGGCCCCTAAGTATTTGGCAAAAGCAAACAATCATCATCTCTGCAAGAACTTACTTTAAGCCCAGGCACCAAGTGCTTGCACAACCACATGAAGGTCCAATAAACATAAGTTCACAATGGAAAAGAAAAAAACATAAGTCACTATGAGTGACAGTTAGCAGAAACAAAGGACCATACCTGCAGATACTATAGACACTGGAATTATCAGATACACAATATATAATAAGATGTTTAATATGTAGAATTGAAAATACGACTGAGGAACAAAAGGGTTTTTAAAAATAGCAAATCATTTCTGAAATGAAAACAATATTGCTTCTCAACTTTTTGGCTAAGATCAAGTAAAATGAAACCAAATATAATTTCTAGAAATAAAAAATAAAATAGTTGAAATTAGAAATCAATAGCCTGGTGGCTGGGCGTGGTGGCTCATGCCTGTAATCCCAGCACTTTGGGAGGCCGAGGCAGGCAGATCACTTGAGGTCAGGAATTTGAGACCAGCCTGGCCAACATGGCGAAACACCATCTCTACTAAAAATACAAAAATTTAGCCGGGCGTGGTGGCACAAGCCTGTAGTCCCAACTACTCGGGAGGCTGAGACAGGAGAATTGCTTGAACCAGGGAGGCAGAGGTTGCAGTGAACCAAGATTGCGCCACTGCACTCCAGCCTGGGTGACAGAGTGAGACTCTGTCTCAAACAAAAAAAAAAAAAAAGAAATCAATAGCCTGGTTAAAACAGCGGATCAGACACAGTTGAAGTGAGAATTAAGAAACTGAAAGATAGATTTCAAGAAATTACTCAGAATGCAGCAAGGGAAAGACGTGGAAATTCCAAAGAGAGGGCAAAAGGCACAGAAAATAGAGAAGGTTTTATATATAATTGGACTTTCAAAATGAAATTAAAGAACAAGCAAGAGAATATTCAAAGAGAATGACAGCTGGGCAAGGTGGCTCACATCTGTAATCCCAGTACTTTGGGAGGCCAAGGCAGGAGGATCACTTGAGACCAGCCCGGGCAACATAGCAAGACCCTGTCTCTAAAAAAAAAAAAAAAAATTAATCAATTTTTTAAAAATTAGCCAGGCATGGTGGCATGTGCCTGTACTTCTAGCTATTCAGGAGGCCAAGGCAGGAGGATTGCTTGAACCCAGGAGTTTGAGGCTACAATGAGCTATGATTGCACCACTCCCGCCTGGGTGACAATGTGAGACCCTGTCTCTGAGAAAGAAAAAGAAAATGGCAGAGAATTTACCATACGTGATGCAGACAACAAATCCTAAAATTCAGAAACTAAACTGTACTGGTTATTTACCTAGCTTTCAACTCCACATCCATCCTTCTATTTCCTGCAAAATAATGCTAGGATGGGATGTCTTCAAAGCACTTTTCCAGGCTCTGTTAGTGGCTGGCTTCCCCCAAGGTTTCACCAATAATAGGCACTGGTCAGTAATCATAAGGTAGGAAAGGGGAATAGCAGTAGTTCTTCCCCTCTCTTTTTTGGTCTTTTCCTTCTGGTTCTAAACTCTCAGCAATAGCACTTCCTCCAACCATTCAGCCCCAGTAGCCCAACCATTGAGGAGATGGTGGTCCCTCCTCTTCCCTTCTAGATTCTGGTAATGTAACTTACTCTCTTTGATTCCTTGAGCCCTAGAGATGTGATAGCTACTTTCTGTATTTTCTAATCTCTGGGCTACCTCACCTTTGTTCCTCTTTCAACCTTTTGACATATGTGTAGCTAATTCCCTTACAAAATCCTCCACATAAAAATTGTATACAAAATACAAAAAAATGTTTTAAAATACCTAGCATGGTTTCTTTTTCCTGCCTGGACTGTGACTCAAATACCAACAATTCCAATCAGAAAGAATAAAAAGAAATCCACACCTAGACACATCGAAGTCAAATTTAGATCATCAGAAAGAGGACAGATTGCCTAAAAGAAGTGACTGGTGGATTGATGATGGACTTAACAGTAACAGTGGAAGCCAAAAAATAAGTACCATTCTCAAAGTGCTGAGGAAAAACAACTGTCAGCCTAGAAGTACATACTCTATGAAACTATCATCTCAAAATAAGCGGGAAATCAAGATATTTTTCAGATAAAACTCAAGTGTTTTCCACAAACTGAGACTCTCCAAAGAAATTTCTTAAAGATATACTTCCGGAAAAAGACAAATTGTCCCAAAAGAAAGGCCTGAAATGTTACCAGGCAATGGTGAGGAAAAAAAAAAAAAAAAAAAGAAGCATCCAGTTATCTAAAGAAATACTGCCTCTAACAAACAACAAAAATATCTTTTTATGTGCTTAAATAACATCAACAGAGAACCAAAATACCAGAAAAAAATGACACGAAAGTCAGGAGTGGGGTAATGATCATTAAAGCTTCCAAAGGTCCTGATATTATTCAAGAGAATGCTAAGGGTATTGACCAATTTTAGACCATGCTGAGTTAAATAATAGAGATGCACCAAAGTTTAGTGCATCTCTATTATTTAACTCTAAACTTTGGTGCATCTCTATTATTTAGCTCAGCATGGTCTAAAAGACCTGGCCTTGGGATCTGGGGTTTAGTTTCCCCCTCAGCCTTGCCTTTAGAAATCCAATTAGCCAGATGCCTACTTTGACATCATTTCTGGCATCCCTGAAAAGTTGCACAACCAGTTATCATATGATTGAGTAGGTACTATCATATTTAATTAGTGAAACAATGTCTGTAATATGAATAAGGTATGCCACTTGGATGAATTGAAAATACTTTAATATTTACTTTTGAATATACATA